>NC_000003.12:63949393-64252424 GCF_000001405.40 Homo sapiens | reverse complement strand
CTCCAACAGTTCACCCAAGGGATGTAGAGGGGTTGTGCTTCCAGCTGGCCCCCATAGCATGTGGTTGACCTGAGTGGGCATAGTCAGTGGTGACCAAGCTTGAACTTTCCTGGGAGAAAGGAGAGTTGGTATAGGAGCCCTTATGGGGGTGCAGGGTGATTTGAATAAGCTTTTTTACCTCAGAGTGTCTAATCATGGTGATTGCCTCACATTTTTCATTTTTAGTTTCCTGTTTGAAGCACTTCATTTAATCTTCCCAACAACCTTATCAGGTAGGAAACTATGGGTGTAGATTATGCCTATTACTTACTTTTTTTAGACCATGTTGGGTTGATTGAAATGCATTCTTAATCACTTTGCCATGTCTCCAGTGTGTTCCATTAAAATGTGAATTCACCCATAGGAAGGTCTGACCAGACAGGCAGTAAATGATGTCTATGTGCAAATGGCAAGAAGCCCCCATCCTTAGGTGGTGCATCAGGGCATTTATGTCCCATATGCACTGATGTGTCCCCAAAGCCTGGAACAGAGCTGGGATGTAGTAGGAGCTTAGTAAATATTTGTTGAGTATTTGATGAACCAGATTTCATGATGTGAAATGTTCTT
Organism: Homo sapiens; assembly: GCF_000001405.40. NCBI lineage: Eukaryota > Metazoa > Chordata > Mammalia > Primates > Hominidae > Homo > Homo sapiens. Next base: position 64,251,818 of record NC_000003.12, on the reverse strand, counting down.
AGCTTAAGTCACCAAATATAACTAGATTGCTCTGCAGCAAGGGAAAACCCAATCTGGATCAAGGGGCCCAGATGCAGATTCAGAAATGGAACACTTGAGACTTGCAAATCAAGATGAAAGGCACTGAATAAGAGACACCTAGGTGTGAGCTAGCCCCAAACTCTGATGTCTGTCCATGCTTCTCCCCTGCCCTGTAAACAAAATGAACTCTCTGCTTCTTGACCAATATGTGAAGGGGAATCTCATAGCTGGCTCTCTCCCACCACACTGAAATTTTCCCTTTTTTGTCAAAGTCGGCTGTATCAGGATTTGTCATCTTATGCATACTGATTAGGTATAACATGATTGCTTGGTGGGAACTTGGATTTCTTGCCCCCCTGTCCCACTGACAAAGAACCAGTAAGGAGCCTACTGTGGTGGGGGAGTGGGAGAGGACATGCAGAAGTGGTGGCAGAGTGGGAACTGCCAGCTCCTGGTATTGTTTTTGACACTCAGATGCTCTCCTGATTCAAAGTGGACTGTGATCCTTTTGTGTTTGCGTGGAGCAGGGACTACCTGGAGCGGGGATGGTTTTGACTCATCTTTAAATGTTTCAAATTCCTAAGCCTTATATTGCTAAGCCTTTTAGTCATGGAAGTGAAGATAACCAGCCTCCCTCAGACTGGGCACCACATGTTGGATTGATTGATTGATTGATTCATTTAATCAAAATATCTTTATTGAGCACCTATTTGCATATCCAACATGTGCACAATAGAGACAAAGTCCCTGCCCTCGTGATCTGATATGTCTAATGGGTGAAGATAGACAAAAAGGAAATATATAGCATGTCAGATGGTGACTACTATGTTGCTGGGGTTGGGCTGAGGGTGCTCCTGCAAAGAAAATGTCAGGAAAGGCCACATTGAGTTTAGAACTGGAGGAAGTGAGGTGTGCTGGTTATTGGGGGAGTATCTCTGGCAGAGGGACCAGCACCTATATTAGCACAATGCAGGAAATGCCAGTGTCTATAAGACCATGCCAATCTGGAAAAGGACTTGGGGTTTCACTCTGTGCTAGGAAGGGAAGCCCATGTCGGACTCCATGCACTACAGTGATACAGTGGATAGATTAATCAGGCCTTTCTGGGTTGCAAGGTTCAACATCTCAAGTCAAACCAGTATAAACCAAACTACAAAGTGCCATGATCTCATGAGTGAGGCCTTCTAACTCTTTTAATGTTCTTATCAATGCCCTCTCCACCAAAAACACCTACTGATTGGCCCTGCCTTGATAACATACATTCATGGACTAATCAGGGATGGGGGAAGAGTGTGGGATGCTCTGGTTGTCAGTTTGGGTTGTATGCCCACCCCCATGCTAGGTAAACCTGGCCTCTGCAACAGCCCAGCAGTTCCTAGCTGGTTTGAACTCCCCACCTGGCCCACTCCCCTAGACATTTGGTAATGTCTGGAGACATCTTTTATTGTCACAATTTGGGAGATGAGGCCACTATTTGAATCTAATAGGTAGAAGTCAGAGATGCTGCTAAATATCCTACAGTACACAAGACAGCCCCCTCCAACAAAGAATTATCCATGGAAAATGTCAGCAGTGTTGAGGTTGAGAAACCCAGATCTAACTCCATGAGGATATTGTTCCACAGGAGAGCAAGTATTGCAGGCCTGATAAAAGGCTGACTCTCATAACCTTCCAGGAAGCTTGCTGATTGGTGATGCTGTGGTTGAGAGGTGAGACCAGTGCTTGCTTTGGTGATAAAGGGAAGGGAAGTGAATGTGAATGTGGCATTTGAAGTCCTAGGTTCAGTTTTACCTCTGCTTCATAAGAATATTCAGGCCTTGAGCACGTCATTAAGCTTCTGTCAAACCATCTCACCAAGTCTCTGGGAGGGTTGAATTAGAAATGCCATGTGAAAGCAATATTGATATGCTACACAATGCATGCTCTCTAGTAAAAAACATATTGTGTGCAAGGCGCTATACTAGGCACTACTTATTTCACAAAAGAGAGTCTCCACCTTCAAGGAGCATTTATTATAGTCTGGAAGATAGGAACATACTTGAACTACAAGACAGCAAGTAGTAAAGTAGCCCTTAAAAGGTGAGAGGGATTCAGACCTGGATGACATAACATTCTGGAAGTAGAATAGAACAGATGACCAGTAGGGTTCAAGGAAAAGAGCTGTGGAGTCTTCACATCATTTTTTTTGTAACTTTCTTCCCCTTGGGGTTGAGCAATGTGGCAACAAGTGGTTGGCTGTGTGGTTCACCCATTGGTGCATATTAATCTTTTGTACTGAGCCTCCATTTGACAAGACAATGACAGTTAATATCTTGCAAGTCTACTACAGTTACTGTAGCAGCTATCACCCACATTGGATTGTGATATGGTTTGGCTCTGTGTCCCCACCCAAATCTCATGTCGAATTGTAATCCCCCCATGTTGGGAGAAGGGCTTGGTGGGAGGTGGTTGGATCATGGAGGCAGATTTCCCCCTTGCTCTTCTTGTGATAGTGAGTGAGTTCTCATGAGATATGATGGTTTAAAAGTGTGTGGCAGCTCCCCCTTCGCTTTCTTTCTTTCCTCCTCTGCCATGGTAAGAGGTGCTTGGTTTTCCTTCATCTTCTGCCATGATTGTAAGTTTCCCGAGGTTTCCCAGTTGTGCTTCCTGTTAAGCCTGCAGAACCAAGAGCCAATTAAACCTCTTTTCTTCATAAATTGCCCAGTCTCAGGTAGTTCTTTATAGCAGTGTGAGAACAGACTAATACAGATTGTTAATGTATTTATTTTCCTTTATGTAATAGGAAAAGATTGTCAGAGTTTTAAAAGTAGTAAATACTAGTGAAAATAACTTAATAAATCAAAGGTATTTAAATCACAGCCTTAAATTACAGCTTTGGGTAAGGAATTTAAAAAGAATTTCCCTTAAGAGTTAAATTCTCAACTCATTTTCAGCTTCATTTCAGGTCTGTTACTAGCACAGGTAGTATGTTATCATGGTCTGTTATTAGCACAGGTAGTATGTTATCATGGTTTCTATAGAGTCTTCTATTATTTGATTTGGTTTCCAAAGAATGTTCATTAGGATCAAAGATTTGCCACATTTTGCAGTATGGAATGGGATGGGGAGGGAAGTAATGGTTTTTTTGTTTTGTTTTTTTTGGTTTTGGTTTTGTTTTGTTTAAATATATGATATCAAATGAAAGGACAAGGTTTTTCCAGCTGGGTTTGTCTTAATGGCTTCACCTCTTACTCCTTTGATGTGAATGGTGATTGATCTGTGGTTCAAGTCACCACCTTCTTGACAGCTAGAAAGGCTGACCTTTTTTGGTTTAAGAGGTGGACTTTAATCATTAGCCTGCAACTTACTGCATATGTGGGTGTCCCGGCATCCACAGGTTGGTTACACATTAATTAACTCTCTGATCTTTTCTCATTGGAAACTTATTGGGGAAAGGAGTCAATTTCCCTTTGAGTTGACTGGCAAGTTTTTGTTTTTTTGCCTAATTATTTGCCATTTGCCCCTTATTAAATGCTTTCCTTGAAATGAATAAGGAGCATTGAAGAGGAGTCTAGATGAAACCATTTGCTGCCAAGACAGATCATTAGCAAGAAGTTAGTGAGAATGACTCACAAAAATTAACTAACGTTGAGTGAATTATTTCTAATATGCACTTACATTTTCATCTGGTGAGATAGTGGGCTGCCTTTTTAAAACTGAAATGTGTTCAACTTACTCCTGCAAAAATTTTCAGTGAGTGAAGTTTCAGTTACATAAGTTTTATAGCGGATGGTTGGGTTTTAACGTTTTGTGGATTGAGGTGCCCAGCATGGGGAAGATGTTAGTTTTTCTGACCCTTCTAAAGAATAAATGGCTGATTTCTTAGTTGGTAACAAGCTGGCAAAAAACAGTCCAGACCCAAGGTCACTTTGATCTCAAAATGACTTTTTACAACCACTTGTGTTTGAGGCCCATTAGAAAATGAAATTCCATGCTATAACTCCTAATTAAATTAATTTCTTTACTAAGAAGCAATTTAAGTTGTCATGAAGTCTTTGAATCTCAGTGCATTGCTAAAGAAATTTTGGCAGGGGATAGGGGGAGTTAACTTTCTCATATGTCATAGTCATAGCCCAGGTTGTTTAAGTTATGATCTACAGTACTTCAATCTTTGCACTCCTTCTTTTGAAATAATGTCTTATTAAGTAAAAGGAAGGAAATTTTTGCCTTGCTCCTAATTGCTGAAAAATTTTGCATAGCTAAACAATGGATTCAAAAGAATCCACCTACAATTAAAGCCTGATTCAGTAAGATACAGGAGATTATGTATGATGTAAGACAAAAAGATTACAAAATGAAATGTCTTTATCCCCTGAGAATAATAGTCATTTAGAGTGTTGGTTACTCTTTTAAGATCAGAATACTTAAGGATAATCTGTAGCCTATAAATACATGGAAAGGTAGTATAAATAGGATGGTGATGCTTTAAAAAAAAACTCACTGATATCTTTTCTGCACATTAAAATGCATGCATAGTAATAGTTGCTATTATCAAAGTATATTTTAGGAGTCTTCTGTTCAAATGGGGAAAAAGTATGATATATATAATTAAAATGTGTCGTCTATTCAGGGAGCCTGGCCTGCTAGAGGACGTTTTACTAGAAGGTGACCAGGCAAGAACCCTAGATTCTAGGGGCAGCTCGGCCAGTTGCTACCAGCACTGTGGCTTTGGACAAGTCACATGACCTGTTTTGGTTTCAGGATTTTCATCTACAAAATGAAATGCTTAAATATGTGATTTTTACAAAATGGACTTCGATTGAACCATGGAGGCTGTATTTCGGAGCTTCCTGTGAATAAGTATTGCTGAGAATGAATGAATGTGGCTACATCGTGCCCCTCCTCTGGGATTCCTCAGTGTATTAGAAGGCAGGATAGTCCAGGGGAACCAGAGAACTTTATGAGGGTACTTTCTACCAATAATTTTTGAAATGAAGGCAGACATGTAGCAAAGGAAAGTAAAACCTTTGGCTGTGAACTGGACCAAAGTCTTTAGACATATCTTAGCCTTTCATGCTTAAGCATCTAATTTAGTGTTCCTCAAAGTGTGATCCACATATCAGCAACATCAGTTTTACCAGCACCTGGAAAGTCGTCAGAAATGCAAAGTGTCAGCTCCACCCACCTCAGACTCGCTGAAAAACACATTGGGGTTTGGTCCACGGGCCCAACAATCTGTATTTAACAAGCCTTCCAGATGATTCTGTTGCACATTAAAGTTTTAGAAACACTGATCTAACTGAACTCAGACCACAGGCATTATCAAATAGAGAAATACGAAGATCAAAAAGAAAGAAAAGAGAATTTTATTCTTATGTTGGAAGGTAGGGTTGTGGGGGTGCTATAGGTTGGGTCACGGTTATCTGAGAAGATCACTAAAGTTTTTTCCAACTTCAGGGCTCTGTTTTTAATAGCATCGTCAAGATCCCTTGTACAGCGTTTTTTAAAGGTAATTATAGCAATGAGGTTTTCCAAGGAAGAGAGGTGTACAGTTTTTGTTTTTGTTTTTGTTTTTTTGAGATGGAGTCTTGCTTTGTCGCCCAGGCTGGAGTGCAGTGGGATGATCTCAGCTCACTGCAACCTCTGCCTCCCAGGTTCAAGCAATTCTCTTGCCTCAGCCTCTTGAGTAGCTGGGACTACAGGCACGCACCACTACACCGGACTAATTTTTGTGTTTTTTGCAGAGGGGTTTTGCCATGTTGGCCAGGCTGGTCTCGAACTCCTGGCCTCAAGTGATCCACCTGCCTTGGCCTCCTGAAGTGCTGGGATTACAAGTGTGAGCCACCACACCCAGTGGTTTTTAAATGATATTCAGGAGAGCTCAAACCGATAGGAAAAGTCTCAGTGAATTATCATTTAATGAGAGAGAACCCCATCTTTGCAGAAATAACTAGGTTATTGGCAAATTGAGAGCACACATGGTTATTCAGACACCTGGTCCTTTCACTCCTGCCTTCTTTTAAACCTAAAAGCTCTGAGACTAAATGTAGATTTCAAACCCTGGATCTTCAGCTGAACAATGCTTAGCTGCCCATTCCGTTGGATTTAAAACTTTCTCAGGAATCATCCATTGGTACAAAAAGAGGAATCCTCCCCCATGCCTCTCTGGATTTGAATGGTTGGCCCAGACAGGAATACTTACATTGCCTGGTCAAAAGCCCCAGAACTGCTCAGTGCAACCTCCTAAAGTCTGTTGCAACACACGTCACCTCTTCAAGGTTATCATTTTCCTTTAAGATCTTCTATTGTTATGAGGGCGGACACTGATTCCAAACAGAAGCAGCAATCTACATGTAGAATATGTGTTTCAGAGTACTCTGAATGCTCTGTCTAAAAGTGGAAAGATGAGACTGAGAGGTGAGGGCCACTAGCATTGAGATAGCCGTGACTACAAAAAAAGACTTCTAATCCAGTATTTCCCAGTTTTCCCAGCCTGAGAAACCCCATAATTCTTGCAGAGATAAGCTTTCCCGTCCTTCCTTATCTGACCCATCTAAACTTTTTTGTTGTAGAACACTTTCAAACACTAGAATTTTTGGCAGGACATTTTAAGGAATTGGAGTTGAGCTTTATTTTTTCTTGTTAAATCAAGCTTTGGAAAAATCGAAAAAAAATTCTAGCATTATCCAGTGAACACACATTTTTTCTCTTAGAAAAATCGGCTTGAAATTTTCTGTGCTTCTTACCTCTTATTAGTAATAATTTACCCTATTGACAACAAGTGGCTAAATAACTTAATTCCACATTCTTTAGATTGGTAGCGATGTTATGGTAGGCATCTATGATTGAAAAAATAATTTACACACATGGATCAAAACTTGGCAGCCTGGTTTTGAAATATTCGGGGTATATTCATGTGTGCTATGACATACTGGTTGAGAACCATTGGTCTACCCACAACCGCAGTAGAATCATACCTGTGTATTACATATGTAATGATACTGCTCTTTTTTGAGCCATGAGCCACTTGACCCAATTACCGTGCTATATTTCTGCTATATGTTGGTGACCAGATGAAGCCTAGGTCATGCTAAGTTGTGTTTTGTGGCATGTATGAATATATCCATTCCCATTTTTTCGCTTTCTGTCTCTCTCTCCCTGTCTCGTTCTCCCTCTCTATCAGACACACACACACACACACACACACACACACACCAGTCATTCACTTTTTCTCCTCTAGGTTTATCATAGTTTCCCCTTTTATCATCATCACCTAGTGGCCAACATCAGAATGTCTAGCATATGTTCACTAAATCCAGGGTAATTGAAAATCAGCCCTGGCCAGGGAGAGCTCCTTCCTAAATATGACTTGGTAATTATCCCCGACATTTTCAAGTGAGAGACTAATTATTGCATCAGTTACTACATAATTCCCTTTGCCAGTTAGCTCATCTTATATCCTCCCTGAAAATGACAAGACACAAATAAGTATACAAATTGGAGCATGTTAAGATGGTGTTTTTGCATTTGAACTGAGATTCCAGGGTATCCAGCCTTGGTTACCAGTGGCAGCACAAACATTTTCACTGAGTAAAATTAAACAGAAGGTGTTCCAGGACTGTGGTTGATTTCGACAGAATATCAAGGCCAAAATACGGTAACTTCCCAAATGCTATAAGGGTTGCTCTGAGCCACTGCTTTGATTCCATGCAAGTTAACATTTCTATTCATCCTGTTAGTTTTTCTGTTGTCTTTGATTCGTCATGGCATCAAACAGGTGATGGGTCTTCCCTGAAAGATGCAACTTTTCCTATTCCATAATTTGGCTGCCACAAATTGGAATACTAACAATTATGACATGAAAGAGCATGGGTAGTACAGAAATAACATACTAGGAGGCTCACAGATACCATTTTATTGGGGTAAAATGAGACAGGGCATTGAGAACAGTGATCAAATATGTATATTTCTTGGACAAGTAGACTGGGTCCTAACCAAAATTAGTCTTCTTGTTTCTGAGCCTCAGTTTACTCATCTCTGAGATGAAGTGATTAAATCTGTCATCTTCTAACATCGTTTTTCTTAATAATCATAACTGACATTATTATAGCACTATTACTATGTGTCAGGCACTCTGCTAAGGGCTTCATCTGCATAATCTCCTTTAATCCTCAGAATACTATTATCTGTCCCCATTTTACACTGAAAGCCTCAAAGAGGTTGAATAATTCACACAGCTAGTAAGTGACAGAGCTGAGATTTCTACCCAGGTATGACTGATACCAGAATCTGTGTTCTCATCCTCTACCTTATATGAACCCCAAAGTAGCATGTGACAAGATAGGATTTCTAAAATGATTCTAGACCACTGGTTCCCAAGGGGGGCAATTTTGTCCGTCAAGAATATTTGGCAATTTCTGGAGATATATTTGGTTTTCACGACTGGGGAAAGGGTGACCAGTGGCATCTCATGGATATAGGTCATGGGTACTGCTGAACACCATGCAATACATGGCACAGCCTCCAACAACAAAGAAATTGGCATGAATTGTCTATAATGTCAAGGTTGAGAAATGCTGTTCTAGGCCCAATAAAGAAATGGGTACATCATTGAAACTTTCTGTTTTCTACTGTCCACAGACAATTTTTTAAAAAGCTGTCTTCAAGGGATGACATTCCTGTTTTTAGAGTTTTTGCACACATGCACTTCATATTCCCACTCTCAGTACATGGTTGTATTTAAAAGCCACAGGTTTTGGTATAAGACAGACCTAAGTCCAAATCCCTGCTCTCTCACTTTCTGTTTTTCTTTGGGGCCATCACCTAAACTCTTAGGCCTCCTGTTTCTCATCTCTCAGATAGAAACAATTATTCTCTGTCTTGGGATGACTAGGATATAGTAAGTGCTCAGTAAATAGTTATCTTCTTTCAGCAGTGCTTCTCTTTCCTTTTGTAAATATCTCAGTCAGACTGTGCTCCTCTTACAGATGACCAGGTACACTCTTGGCCCCATCATTAATGCTGGCAGGGTGCACAGATTGCCATTCACAGACTGATGCTCACTGTCTTAGACACACAGGAACTGGAGTGGGTGAAGTGTACCCAAAGAGAAGCAGCTGTAAAGCAATGATGGCCCAATGTGAGTGTAGGGGGAGGAGCAGTAGAAGCCAAAGAATCTGGGAATCTTGGCCCCTGGCCAAGTCGTCCACTGAAGTGGACTCTCAGGGTTGGCTAGTTTTATTGTAGAATACATTGTTGCTCTATACTGTAAATGGAAAATTAACTTGTGTAACCAGTCAAACAATCTTTGTGATTATTTGCGGAGCATACCACCCAGATAAGCTGAAGATTTATGTATTTTCTTTTAAAATACCTTTTCTAGGGTAGACAGGGTGGGAAAGAGGGTATAAGTTGAAGAAAGGGGGTTGGGAAGTGATTAGGTGAAGGAATTTCCTTCATGGAAACACTCCTAAGGAAAATGTGCAGTTGGATATGCTGCGCTTAGTTCATGAAATGTAAGTTAAAATGCAAGGTTCTAGCTAGACTGCTAAGAAGGTGACATTAAATATGCCCTTTTCCTTCTTTCAGAAAAAGATCATTATTATTATGTGCACATTATTTATTTATTTGCGGTAGTGTGGGGACAGAAGAAGAGGAAAGAAAAGCGGGATGAAGGTGGAAGGCTCCAAATAAGACCTCTGATCCCTTAAGCTGCTTGCAAAAAAGAGAAAAGATAATTAGAAGGCACACTTGGCATCCCAAGCTTCCCAAAGAACCCTTCAGCTAATCTGAGCGAAATAATATACATGGAGGGATTTCTCCTCCACGATCTCTCATTTGCAGGGTATGAGGTGGAGAATGAGAGGACTGATGTGGTAGACTATTATCCATTTTAATTTCAGGACATGTTTAGATACCTGGTGGGTTTTGTTTTGTAGGGAAACAAAACAAAATAAAACATTTTCCCTTGCTTTGGCCAACGCTGAAGGCATGATTGGGGCTGCCGACAATCAGGCCCTTTTGTGTTGCCTTCCCAGACAGTACTGCTGACGTGCTCTCACAGCATTCCTGTGAAGGAAGCAGAAGAGGGATGATTTCTGCAGCAGGACACAGGAAGAAACAGCCTCTGAGATGGTCAAGGTCTTGCTCAAGTTGCAAAGTCAAGGACAGATCAAGAGCTGTGGCCCTCATCCCTGAATTCTAAACCAGGCTTCATACCATGGTGGTATTGGAGCACTTTAGAGACAATTGAGATGAGGGGGTGGGGATTCATATAGTATAAAATACTGAAAAGCTGGTAGGTGTTAAAATATGCATGCATGCACACATAAGTACATAACCATGTTACTTACATATATACATGTATGTGTATGCACACATGCATTTATGTCAATATAAGTAGATGAATAAGAGAAACGAGCAGGATAATAAATGTGAGCTGACTCTCCGCCCTGGTGTTTCAGAGAGAAGAACTGGGGACTGTGGAAAAGTGTAGAATGTGTCCCCACTAAAAGAGGGCTGTATCAGTCAGCTCCAGCTGGTGGCTGCCTCCTAGGAGCTTGAGCTCAGCGTATCCAGATGTTGTTGTTAAGAGGAGCCATTGTATAGGTAGAGAGTTGGGAAACTACAACTTGTAGGTGCCTGTTTTGATAAAGTTTTATTGAAATATAGCAATGCCCATTTGTTTGTATACTGTCTGTGACAGCTTGCATTCTATGACAGCAGAGTTGAGTAGTTGTGACAGAGACTAAGTGGCCTTCAGAACCTAACATATATACCACTTGGTCCTTTACAAAGTTTCTCGACCTCTGGTGTAGACCCAATAGTATGCTTATGTGGGCCAAATTCCAGCTCCATGCCACCAACTGGCCATCCTGGACCCTCAGAGGCTCCTCTAGCCTCTGCCATTGCTCACCCCTTCCTCTTCTTGGCCATAAAAAGAAGTTGTTGGGGATTATTTAGACCATTGGTTCTCCAAATGAAACCTGTGTGCCTAATCCCCTGGAGAGCTTGTGGAAACTCAAATGACCAGACTCCATGCTCAGAGTTACAGATTCTGTAGGTCTGGGTAGGGCCTGAGAATCCACACTTTAAACAAGTTCCCTGGTGATACTGAGGCTGCTGGTCCAGGATCATGTTGTGAGAACCGCTGGCTCAGACATTCCATGCTGTGGGGGAGATCTGAAAGCACCTGGCCTACCAAGCAAGTGACTAAGTTGTCCAGAGGAGAGGAATTAATTCTGTAGGCCCCATGGGACCGATTCACTGAGGCATTTCATAGCCCACACAGGGACTTTAAGCAAAGAATTCTGTGGATCCCGGGAGTCCTGCAGAGTTCCTATATTTCCTCAATTTGAAGAGTATCCCTTGGGCTCCATTCAGGCCCAACTCCATTTAGCCTGCAAAGAGGCATTAGCTATATATAAAATATTCAGTATTTCCCATCATTGGTGGTGCTATGCAGAGGAGCTGTAGCTTGTTTAATCCTTCATTCACTGACAAGCACAAGAAACTTGATTAGACCTGGAGTACCTGTTCTTCCAACTGTTTTCCTTGGCCTGGTCAATGTCTTGGTGACCTCATGGCCTCCCCATGTAACTGGCCAAACCCAGGTGTCCCTTATATCACATTCGACTCAATCCTAGGATGGAATGGAAAGAACAGATTCAGCAGGCTAAATGAAAATTTTATTTATTTTTTGAGACAGGGTCTCTGTCGCACAGGCTGGAGTGCCGTGGTGTGAACACAGCTCCCTGCAGCCTCGACCTCCCAGCCTCAAGTGATCCTCCTGTCTCAGCCTCCCAAGTAGGTGAGACTATAGTCACATGCTGGGCTAATTTTTTTTTTTTTTTTTTTTTTTTTTTTTGGTAGCGATGGGGTTTTGTCATGTTGCCCAGGCTGGTCTCAAACTCCTGGGCTCAAGCAATCTACCTGCCTTGGCCTCCCAATGTACTGGGATTACAGGCATGAGCCACAGCACCAAGCCCTACATGGAAAATTTAAGAACAGTAATAAATAAAAGAAAAAGGAAATCGATTCAGAAATTAGACGGATGCTTACACTTAATAATTATTTTGATTTCTCTGAGCCTCAGTTTTCTTATCTGTGATAAGCAACCATAGGTATAACCTTGAAGGGTTGCTATGAGGGTTGAATTAGATTTGTGTCTGCAGTAAATGTCACCTATAAATCTGGCTTATAAATCACCTCCCCTCCCCTGTCCCTGTGGCTGGGAGTGCCTGATAGCAATTATCTTAGAGAGTCCCAAAGGATTACAGGATTACAGGCCTTCGGAATGTCTGTGGATAGCACCTGGTGGCTCAGATTTGGCTCTGCCAAAGGATCCCTCCGGGAAGCATCTCCATGTTCCCTGGGCAGCTATCTCCGGCCACTGGCTGACTGTAACTTTCTTTCATTCCTGGTGTTTCTTATTGCAGAATATGTCTCCCCTCATCCCAGCGAGCTGAACCTCCTCTGTGTATCTCTGTTTTGGCCACGCTCCTAACAGCCCTTCCTTCCACAGCTGCCCCAGCTGTGATGAGTTGAGCAGAGAGGACGCTGCCAGCCCCCCGCCCCCCAGCAGGGCTCTGTGTGCTCCATTTAAGGGAAGAGGAATGTGGTGCCTGACGGATGAGTCAGAGGCTGCTACCTCGCCCTGTGGTGTGTGGAGCCGGCTGTGAGGTGCATGCCTGGCCCCCTCAGAGGAGGGTGCTAAATAATTCGCCAAGGCAGTCTGCTCTGACATCCGTCTGGGCCTGTCCCCTGGTGACCCTGAGGATGCACCAGCAGGGCTCCTGCTTGCTGTGGCATCTCAGGGAGCTAGAAGAATAAACAGGCAGCCTGAAAACTGCCCTGGCTGCCAGGGATTCCATGGGCTTGGGTTGGGTGGGCTGACTGGTGTCTGCTGATGGCCACTCAAATCAGAGGGCTTCAGATGCCCTCGCTGTACAGAGCAAGATTGATAGTGTGTTTATACTCAGACTTGATAAACATTTAGTAAGCACCTGCTGTATGTTTGGCAATTTTACCTGCATTACCTCATATAATTCAGAAAACCCATGTGGCAGAGATTCTTAGATGAGACTCAAAGAAGGAAAGTGACTTGTCCCAATTCACACAGCTAATAAGAAGGGGTAGGGACAGAACTTGCCTTACCCCACCTCCTGCCTGACACAGTGCCTGTTATCCAGAGGTCCTTGGCAGCAGGGGACCTTTTCTCCCTCTTACAGACACTGGCTCTCTTGGTGATTCAGACCCCTACATGTTAGCCCTAATTCTACCAAGTTTTCTTTTTTCTTTTCTTTTCTTTTCTTTTTTCTTTTTTTTTTTTTTTGAGACGGAGTCTCGTTCTGTTGCCAGGCTGGAATGCAGTGGCGTGATCTCGGTTCACTGCAACCTCCACCTCCCGGATTCAAGTGATTCTCCTACTCAGCCTCCCGAGTAGCTGGGACTACAGGCAGGCACCATCATGCCCAGCTAATTTTTGTACTTTTAGTAGAGACGAGGTTTCACCATGTTGTCCAGGCTGGTCTCAATCTCTTGACCTCGTTCGTACCTGCCTGCCTTGGCCTCCCAAAGGGCTGGGATTACGGGTGTGAGCCACCCCACCCAGCCAATACTACCAAGTTTTCTAAAAGGAAGCACGTTGTGGTATATAACTAAACCTCTTCTGTTCATTTCAACTGTTTCAGGTTCTGATACCTGCTTCTTATAGTTTGGACCCTGCTTTGGTCTGGTCCTCCCCTGATCAAGATGGTGGCTGCAAGGCCATTTTCAAAATGATGGCCTTGTCCACTGAACTTCTTGCTCTCAGGGAGGGTTGACAGTCTTCAGGCAGAATTCCCAGCAACCTCCTGCAGGGTTTGAGTTAGCCTAGGGGTGGAAGAGTGAAAAGCAGACTTGGAGGAGGAGAATGATGGACAAACAAACAAGAAAGGGGCTTTTTCTCATCCTGGCAAGCCAAGAGGAGTTAGTTCTGCAGTTCTAGGAAGGTAAATTTTGTACAATACATCCCACAGAATTTACCTTCATGGCTACTGTCTCCTTATGATATGGACAGGAGGCAGGGAAATACTAGGCAGAAAAGGGTGGGGCCCCCCGGTGAAGCCCTACCCTCAAGCCTGGATGCGTGGCCCAAAGTGAGAACATGCATTCCTGTTTTCCTGCCCAAATTTTGCCTTTTCCAAAACTAACCTGGTCTGCCCCACCTCCCATCCTGTAGCCATAAAAACCCCAGGCTCCACTGGCAGAGGAGCAGGGCAGAGAGGTGGAGTGGCAGAGTGGCAGGAAAGGAGAGAAGAGAAGGAGCTGAATGTCCAAGAGAAGCAACTTGATTTCACAGGGATGGCTTGGCAGTGGGACCTCGGAGAAGAGTTCGGCCGGAGATGGCCGAACTCCAGGGGAAGACTACCTTCCCACTCAATCCCCTTTCCAGCTCCCCATCCCACTGAGAGCCACTTTAATTGGCAATAAAATCCTCCACATTTATTATCTTCAATTCATTTGTGCAACCTGATTCCTGCTGGATGCCAGACAAGGACCAGGGTGCAGATGCAACAGGCTGTCACACTGACCCTCCACTGAGCTAACACTTAAGCCATCCACAGATGCCAAAACTAAAAGAGCACATTGTAACATACGCCCTCTGGAGCTCTGGGGCTCATAGACAATCCCTAGACACTGCTGCGGGCTTGCATGGAGTTCTCCTCCTGCCGATTGCCCATAAGTGCTCATCCTGGCCTCTGAACCCACTCACCTGCGTGCTCCCCATCCTGTGAGGCGTTGAGAGCTGTAGGCTGAATAAATGAGCCAACCCCTTCATGAGTCCCACAAAGGGGTTAAGGGAACTATCCCATTTCACTCAGATGCAGAGATCACCGCAGCATGATAAGTGGGAAGATCTATGATTACTCTTTGGCAGATAATAATAGTACCTTACACTTACTGAGCACTCCTGGTGTATTTGACACCATACAAAGTGCTTTGTGAAGATAATACAATTGTCACCGTCATTCATGTTTTTCAGAGGAGGCTTCTGAAGAGCAGAGAGGTTAAATAACTTTGTCCAACATCACACAGACAGCAAGAGCCATAGCCCAAGGATCAAACACAGACTCTTAATTCTAATACCAGGGTGAGTTCCATTATAGCAGGACTTTCTTTCAAACCAAGATAAATTAGATGTCTTTTATTTATTTAGAGCAAGTTATTTATAGGTCTTATGGAATATTTAAGATTAGAAGGAACAGAGCTAGGATCCAGTTCAATGGTTTGAGGGATATGTAAGCTGTAGTTACATTCCTCATTCTCTTTTTTTTCATCAGTCACCTGGCTAATGAAATTCACAGATGTGACAGTGTCCCTAGGCTGTGATTAGCTTGGGTTACTAATTGTCATAACCATGGATAAAGAACATCAGCTGTGGCAGTTTATGGTTGGCTATGGCATACATAGGATAGGCTGTGGGTCATGGGCATTTCTTCTTTCATTTCTTTATTCAACCCATATTTATTGAGGACCTACTATGTGCCAGGCATTTTTCTGGGCCCTGGGGATCGAGGGCTGAATAAAACTGACATAAAGCAGCATAAACAAGTCAAACATATCATGATCTAAGTATGCTAGGTGTTGGGCATCAACTTCCAGTATGGCAGTGTGAGGAGCATGGTAGACTCTTTAATCAACAAAACAATCATTTGCCGAAAATTATTTTAAAATATAAGCAACCTTTTAAAGTTTCTGGAAATTGTCCCAAGGGTATACAACAAATGGAAAAACACAAGGAAATCTAAATCTTAGTAAGAAGAGTGAGAGTCTATGGCATTTTAACCATGATCCTCTCTTCTCCAGGTACCCCTGCCACATACTGCCCCTCCCCCAACTACACACACACAACGCAGATCAGTGTGATGGAAACTCCACTCTGGGTATGTTCAGTCAAGCAGATTGGGCTCTTTCTCCACCTAGCTTCTAGTCTCGGGCTATGCTTTCACACTGGGAGGGGCAGCCTCAAAGACTGGCAACACCCTACCCTTGCAAAGGAACCCAGCTTTCATCAGATCAGACTGTGGAACAATTTATGCCAAAAGGAATTGTCAAAACAATAGAACAATCAGCTAGTGATTAGTGGAGGTTAACTGTTGGGTGTGATATCAATAGGAAAACTGGTCTCAGGCCCTCCGGAGGGACATCAGAAGCTGCACACTGCCAGGGAAACAGACTTCGCTCAACTTGTCTGCCTAGCCACTAGACAAATAAGCAAACAACAACAAAAAGCTCCAGAAGGGGGGCAGGGTGGTGGTGCACAGTCAATATCCAGAATTGCTATAATATAGTATCTACAATGTCCATTTTTCAACAAAATATTTTGAGACATGCAAAGAAACAGAAAAGTGTGACCTATATACAGGAAGAAAACAAAAGTAACTGCCCGTGAGAGGGTCCAAATGTTGGAGCTAGCAGGCAAAGACTTCAAAGCAACAATTATAAATGTGTTCAAAGAACTACATGAAACTTTCTAAACAATTAAAGGAAGGCATGATGACAGCATCTCATCAAGTAGAGAATATCAGTGAAGAGAAATTGTTAGAAAAGAATTATAAAAATGAAAATTTTGAGTTGAAAAGTATAATAACTGGAATGAAAAATTGACTAGAGGGGTTCAAGAGTAGATTTTAATCTGACAGAAGAAAAATATTGGCAGATTTGAAGGTAGGTCAATAAAGATTGTGTATGCTGAAGAGCAGAGAAAAGAGAGTGAAAATAAATAAACAGAGCTCCTAAGAAATGTGAGATACCATCAAGCACACCTACATATGCTTACTGGGACAAGTAAAAGAGGAGAGAGAAAAAGCTGAAAAAATATTTGAAGAAATAATGGTAGAAGACTTCCGAAGTCTTATGAAAAGTATTAGTCTACACATCCAGGAAGCCAAAGTACTCCAAGTAGGTAAGCTCAAAGAGATTCACACTCAAACACCTCATAATCAAAATGTTGAAAGACAAAAAGAAAATCTTGAAAACCGCAAGAGAAAACAACTCATCACTTACAAGGGAACGACAGCTGACTTTGTAGTTCTGGCAGAGACCTAGAAGAATGCTCTTAAAAAGCGGAACTGAAGTACAAGGGAAAAAAGAAAAAATAGATAAACGAACTTTATCAAAATTAGAAATCTTTATGCTTCAAAGACACTATCAAGAAAAAGGATATACCCCACATGATGGGAGAAAACATTTATAAATCATATATCTAATAAGGGACATGTTCCCAGAATATACAAGGAACTTTTATAACTTACTAATTTTAACACGTGTGCCCAATTTTAAAATGAGCAAAAAATTTGAATATACGTTTCTCCAAAGAAGGTATGCAAATAGCCAACACACATATGAAAAGATGTTTAACATTATTAGCCATTAAGCAAGTGCAAATAAAAACCACTATGAGGTATTACTTCATACCCACTAGGATGACTATAATAAAAAAGACAGTAACAAGTTTTGGCAAAGATGAAGAAATGGGAAGCTTCAGATATCACTTGTGAGAATGTGAAACTGGAGGAGCACTTTGAAAAACTGCTTGATGGTTCTATGAAATGTTAAACCTAGAGTTATACGACCCAGCAATCCCACTACTAGATATGTATCCAAGGAAAATAAAAAGCATGCATCCCCACAAAAACTTATACGTGAATGTTCATAGTAGCATTATTTATAATCATAAAGACTGGAAACAACCCAAATATCCATCAATTGATGAATAGATGAATATGATGTATATTAGTACAATGGAATATTACTCTGTCATAAAAAGAATGAAATTCTGATATAAGCTACAGGATGAACCAAAAATACACTAGGTGAAGAGCCAGGCACAAAGGGCCACATATTATATGTTTTCACTAATATAAAATGTCAAGAATAGGCAACTCTATAGAGACAGAAAGTAGATTAGTGTTTGCCTAGGCCTGGAGCAGTGGGACAAGTGGGGAGTGACTACTGCTTACTAGAGGGTTTCTTTTTGGATTGAAGAAAGTTTTAAAGTTAGATTGTGGTGATGGTTGTACAACCCTATGAATATACTTAAATGGGTGAGCTGTATAGTATATTAATTATATTTCAATATAACTCTTCTTAAAAGGATCTAAGGAGAAAAATAAAGTAGGGAATTGTTTGGCCATGTTAGTAAGATGCGGGAAGGATGACAATCTCAGATAGGATGGTAAGACTTAGCCCTCACCAAGGTGACATTAGACTTGAAATAGTGACAGAGCAAGCCACATGACTTTCTGCAGGAGGAATATTTCAGACAAGTGCAAAGACCAGGAGGCACACATGTGCCTGGCATGTTTGAGGGCCAGTGTTCATGTGACAGGAAGGGAGACAGTAGCAGGAGATAGTGTCGGAGAAGCAATAGGACCTAGATCTCCAGGGACTTATTCTGAGATGAGCAGCATCACCAGTGTAGTCTTGAGCAGAAGCATGGCATGCTGCAATGTTTGTTTTCAGAGAATCAAGATGACTGCAGTTTTGTGAATAGACTGAAGGGGAGCAATAATAGACCAGGTAGGAGGCAAGAGTTGATGGTGACTTGGAACTTCATCCAGGAGAGAAATGGCAGTGGCATGGACCAGTGTGATGATGGTGGAGGAAAGATATTAGATCCTGTGTATATTTTGACAGTAGAGCTAACGGGATTTGCCAAGGGCTGGAAAATGTTCAGTGTCAAGGACCAGAGTGTAAATGTATTAGGCTTTGCAGGCTGTACGTTCTCTGTTACAATGACTCAACCCTGCCATTGTATCATGAATGCAGCCATAGATAGCACATAATGAATGGTCATGATTGTGTTCCAATAAAAGTATTTGCAAAAACGTGAAGCAAACCAGATTTGGCCTGTGGGATATAGTTTGTCAACCTCCTCTGGATTAGATGTCAGGGGTGAAGGATGGCTCAAAGGTATTTGTTCTCATCCGTTGGGAGTGTGGAGTTGCCATTAACTGAGATAGCAAAGACTACAGATGGAGCAGATTGTGGGGGATATGGTGTGGACTCAACTGGGAATTAAGAGATGGAGATGTGACATAGGCAGTTGGTCTTGAGATCATGGAAAAGGTCTCGCCTTGAGTCATCAGCCTAAAGGTGTGTTTAAGACCCTACCCTAGACCAGAGAAGCAAATGTAGATATACAGGAGTCCCAGGACTTAGCCGCAGGTTCTCCAGCATTAAGCTCTGAAGGAGATGAGCATGAGCCAGCAAAAGAGCCTGAGAAGGAGCAGCCAGAGGGTAGGAGGGAAAGCAGGAGAATGTGGCATCCTGGAAGCAAAGCTAAGAAGTGTTTCAGTGAGCTGAACTCCATCCTTTCCTTTCCCACTCACAAGAGTATGTTGGAATGCAAATGAACAGAGAGGTATTCTTACAGGAATAATCCTGAAATTCCTCTAATTTCTAGATTAGAAGAAGCATTGTCAAGCTTTTTATTAATTCCAAAAATGTTCATTAGCTGTCAGGCCACAAAGCAGTAGATCCTTTGAATAGAATGGTGAGCCACAAAAGGCATGGTCTCTGCTCTTAGGCCACATAGAGTCTGGTTAGTAAGAGAGAGAGGTTAATCACATAATCGTTAACATTGACCAAGGATGGATCATCATAACTAACCAAGGATGTAGAACTGTGAACCAGAATGAGAGTCCTAAGGGAAAGGACACACATCTAAGAGTGCAACACTCTATGTACTCTTCCCTTGTACAAAGGAATTGATCTAATCTGATGGCACAGGGAACCTTCTGTGTTTTTCTGTTTTTAATAACACATTATTTCCCACACTTCACACCCTAATGGGAACACACCTGGTTTTTGTTTTTGTTTTCGTTTTTGTTTTTAGAGGAAATTTGTGATCCTCTGAAGTAAAGGAAAGAATATGGGTTTTGTCGTCAGACCCAAGACCAAACTTCAGCTGTGGACCCTTGCATCATTCTTTTATCCTCTTTGGACCTCTGCATCTTCATCTGTATGATAGGGGATAATAAATGCTACATTTTTGGTTTATGGTGAGGACTAAATGAGATAAAGTATGCAAGATGTCTGGTATGTCCAGTCCTCCTCATTCCTTTAGAAAAACAATATTTTAGTTTGTACCTCTGTGGCATTTTGTAGTAATAATTTTTCTTGAGCAGGTCTTTGTTGCCAGTTTGCTACTTTATGAGGCAGAGAGTTTTTAGCCTTTTTCTAGGATATCATTCATTTTGCCAATGTTCTCTTCCAAGAGAAACGTGTAGGAACCTGAGTGTTCGTATTTAGGGAATACTGAAAAACCAGAGCATCCCTGTACAGATCTTTGTTGTTCTCCTAGTCCTTTACATAAAGAAAATTCAGGTTTCAGCTGTTTAATGAAAATTAGTAGTTCCCAAAACCTGCCATTATAAGTGCAGCTTTCTTTGTCTAAGGAAAAACCATTTGCTAGCACATCATGTCAGTTTAACAATATTTTCATGGAAATGTGCAATGGTATGCCTAGTGAAATCATTGATGCAATCTTTAATGTTTTTGTGGGGAGGGAGCAAAATCTTTAGCACTCTTTCATTTTGATGTGCACAGTCTAGCCTGTCCATATTTCTCATTTTAATTAATGTAATTAAAAGAGGATAAAAGGCTGTGTTAAAATTTTGTGTGTTAGATTATCGGGATCAAGAATAATTAAAATGTATGAAATGTGACAGATTCCTAAGATGATAGGGAAAAAGGAAGGCCCCTTTTCTGAATTTAAAGTGTACCAAATTATTTTTCACAAGATTTAGAAATGTCCATGGATAAGAAGCGTTTATGATATGGAATCTTCACAAATGGACAAGACAGAAGGCTTGAGGGGGTGCTTGTCCTTATGTTATCATGAACAGTTTTATCATTTATATTTGCAGCTCTCCTTCCTGTTGCCTTCTTTGGAAACCAAGTGGAGAATAATATTGATTTAACACCTACTATATGCTAGGTACTCTACACAGTACTTTATATATCTCAGTTCATCTAATCTTACCGAAGCCTTTGATAAAGAGATGTCTCCATTTTATAGATGGTGAAACTGAGGCTTAGAGGTGAGGTAGCTGTCATCTGCTAGGTCATGCTGCTAGGAGGTAATTGGGCCAGATGTGAATTCAGGTCTTTTTTGTTGGAGTTTTTCAATGACAATACTCTGCCCGTTGCAGGAGGCAGATTATCAGTATGGATTAGAAATTGGCTAGAAACTGTTGAGGATAACTCTTTTGAGCATTTCTTTTTTATGAATGCAGCTATGCATCTTTACCTACATTGTAGAAGCTTCACATGTTTCAAATATTTATTTTCTTTATGGTTACGTGGGTTGCCTGTTGTTGCTTGAAAGTTAATTAAAATTTACAATATTTTCTTTTTCTTTGTTCTGAGGTAAAACAGATGCAACTTTGATCTCTAATACTCATTTAGGACTATCATAGTTTTTTAAATGTTAAACATTCCTTTGTTTAAAGGCATTATGTGTTTAATAGATTGTATTTTGTTTTGTTTAATGTTTTTACATAGCACAAATTAAAATGGACAGCTATGGCAGACATTACTGGGGTCCTCCATTGTCTGTTTTCCCTGTTCTTTGTGAGCATACACTTCCCAGCCTCCTTGCAGCTGGGTGAGGTCATGAGACTAGTTTGACCACTAGAAGTGATATCATTCATCTCCAGGCTGAGGCACCTAAAAGCCTCTTCAGTTCTCTCTTCTGCTGTTGTTGTAACTTGGAAATTATTCACTGAGATCACAGAGGCACAAGAAGGAAGCAGAGTAGATCCCTGAGTCGCTACTTAGAATGGAGTACCTGGAAAACCTCTGGGCCTCCAACCAACTTTGCCTGAGAGAGAAATCAAACTTTCTTGTGTTAAGCCATTGACATCTGGGATCATATGTTACTGCATCATCACCTATGCTAGACCAACTTACATGACAGTTCTTTGTCAGCTTCCTCTCCCACATTTACTTTATTAGACTTTGAAATCTAAATATCAGGATTACTCTTGAGTAAAATATTTAAAAGCACGCACACACAGAAATGCACACATTTGAAAAGGGAAACCTTATTAGATGAGTGGTTTGAAACTTTGGTAATATCCCTTACAACAATTAGAATTTCCCAATAGCAGGGCCAGAAGGTAGTAATCTAAATGAGCTAGGATGAGTGATGTCTGTCTTTTTAAAGTTCTCCAAAAACTGAAACACTGCCATTTCCTTGAGTGACCCATGTCAGTTCTTATCTCAATATTCAGAAGTCTTCCTTAGGTCCAAGAAAGATTTTAAATGACCTAAAGAGGAATTTAGGACCCTCTTTAGGTCGTTTAAATCCATTCCTTCTTATTTTATACCTGTAGAAACAGAGATTTAAAACTTGTTCATTGCAGCCTTCCTCATTACAGCTCTTCATCTAGGAGGCTACCACCCTTCCTGTCACTTACCCTTCCCTTCTGTAACCTGACCAGTAGAGATGTACTTGACCTTTCCCTGTAATCCTCTAACAAGATGCTGCCTAAAGCTGGCTAGAATGGAAAGATGATTTGATTTTCCAGCATGCATGGAGCTGTCTCTTTGTTATTACCTGCCAGTGTCATGTTGCTGCTGTTTTGCTGTCTTGTGTCCATGCAGATGTCTCTTAATTATGCATTTGTGTTCATAATTTTCCTTCCTACTCATGTTCTTATTCCTGCCTGGAACACCTCTAGCAGAAGGTGAATTTGACTAAGGTCAAATTTTTGCAGCCTTTTTCTACTTCTGGATTTTGTGTCATGCTTAGTAAGGCCTTCCCCCACTATAAAATTGTTTTTTAATTCCAAAAAAGTAAAAGCGTTTTTGACCTTGGGCCTGACCCAGATCATACTTTTCCTGGTTCCTGATCACCTCTGCCATAATTAATTTTGTCTTCCTTGTCCTTTTTCCTATATACTATATGCAATTATGGTCATTTGTATAAATATCCTATCATTCTACCTAAACAGAAAGTTCTGAAGGTCGACAGTTGCATCCTTGTCTCCTGACAAGAGTGTCCTCCGCTTCACAAATCCCTAATAAACATTTGGTTGAGTTTCTCATATGTATTACCTGTTCTTCCCTGCCTTTACTCGCATGAAGTTTGCTGTCATGAATGTGGAATTTCACTGTTTTTTAGAAAAACAATATGAGTTTTGTTCCTATTTACTAAGTCTCTGAAATTTTTAAAGTAGTTTTTTCTCACTTTTTCTAATACCTACCAGTATAATTTGTAAAAAAAAAAACACCTCATTAGAATGGTCTCCAGGATGAAAATAATGACCACAGGGAATTAACAATCTGTGGATTTTGTAATTTTAATATTCTGTGTAAGTGTGATGCATAGATATCCAGCTTCCTCATCACCAAGCTGAGCTCACAGAGCGTGTGCTGGCAAAAGGACTTGGGCAGCATGCTTTTGTGCCATCCCTCTCTTGAATGCAATTAGGCCTTTGAGGACTCTGCATGCCTCCTGCCATAACACACACCCCATTCTACTCTAATTGCCTACTTAATTGTCTTCTCTCTGATTGCCAAGCTCTTTTAAGGCAGGATCCATGTGTATCTTGGTCACCATGTTGTCCCCAGACCCTAGCACAGTGACTGGCAAATAGTAGGAGCTTATTTAATGAGTGAATGGATATATGAATGAATGGGTGAAGCATGTATTCATCTCAAAAATATAGTTGTCTTGTCCTGGTGTATAGTTTCAGAAGAGGGAGCCCGCCTCTTGGTCATTTTTACTCCTTTATTTCCTAGATTCATAGCAGTTCAAAGCATTTGTATTGTATCATATGGAAAATGGCATATCAGTGGCTCACCCACATTAGATAGAACTTTGAGATATGCTCTAGGAATAAAGATGATTTTGCAGTCTTCCCTTTACCGCTTTCTCCCCACCTTTTGAATTTTAACTGGTTACTTAACTAATTTGCGCTGAAGTTAATGGTGGAAGCATGATTGTTTCTATTAATATTACCAATAGCTAACACTTATTGAGTGTTTGCTATGTAACAGGCTCAGTGTTAAATGATTCACATTAATGCTCATTGGATTCTCCCAATGGCCCCATGCAGGTAGGCACTATCATTATGCCCTAGGTTACATATAAGGACCTCAGGCCTCAAGTCATAGACCTAGCAAGTGTCACAGCCAGAGTCTGACCCCAGGCAATCCATTTTAGACTCCATGTTATGATGTTAATTCTTATGAAGTTGGTAGTGATGTGTCACATCTGTTCCAGGTGAAGAGTAATCTCTTGCTATGTTTCAGCTGTCTTCTTTATTTCATTGTTGATCACCTGTGAATTGCCTCTTATATGACCATGCTGATCATGAGTAGATGAGAGAGTAGTGTACCCATTTTTAAGAAACTGAGGCATGGAAAGTTGAAGTGACTTGTTCGTGGCCACACTGGGTTAGAATGTCACTGCTTCCACTTGGCTACTGGGGGCCCCAAACTGTTAGACTTGCTAATTGACTTTTTGAAGGATATTGAGGTCTGGGGAGACCATCTGCCTCCCTACACGCTCTGAGTTCTGTGTGATGGAAACTGAAGGCTGAGTGTTATTCATTTGCTTGTATTTTATTTCTCTTACTGAGAAGTTATTCCAGGTCTCATGATTTTCACCATGAAAGGTCTTCTGGGAACTAGAGAGAAGCATTCTGAAAGAAGTTATTAAGCATTATTAATACAATTACATACAACAAAAGACATAATTTAACTTCCCCACATCCAACAAAGAAATTCATTTGAAGCTTCAGGAACTGCAGCTGGAAGGGCAGAGCTCATCAGAGTGGGTTCCCCAGGCGGGGGAGTGTGGGCAAGGAGCCGTGCTAGCTGCTTTGTCCTTTGGGACACTTCTGTGCATGATGGAATATTCCTCCCTCCCAGCCTCCCCAACCTTTCCCTCACCCTTTACTTTCACTCACAGTGCTTCCTTATCACAGGCACAGAGTCCAGAATATTGCCTGGCTCTTGCCTCTCTCCTGGCCCGGGATACTGCACAGGCAGCATTGAAGGAATATATGATTTTAAACAATTAAAGATGACCATGGAAATACTCAGATGCTAGGAACAGTGATCAGCCTAGTAGATAGTATGCCTCGGTGAATTTTTCTAACTTCATTCAAAATATCAGAAATAGCTATTGAGTATGTGATATTGTGTTAATCTTCACCATAGTTCTATTCAATATTTTACTTTCTTTAATTGCAGTAGCCCATAAGGCCCTTGAAAGCAGAGACTGTGTTTATACCTAGCCTTTAGAGCTGTGCATGGCATAGAGTACGTGCTTAGTAAATATTTATTGAATGAGTGAATGGTACAGATGAGGTTATTGAAGATCCCACAAGTTAAGTTACTTGCCTAAGATCACACTGCTAGCAGGAAGGAAAGGCAGGATTTGAACACAGGGCTCTCCAAATGTATAGATTCCTTTCTTCCAGATTGCTTGGTTAGGCCGCCTAGTGGTGTATAAAAATGGAGCTCGGAGACCCCAAAGGTATTCAACAAAAGCTCTATCTGAGGTCTAGGAAATGTGGATTCTGACCCATCCTTGCTGAAATCCTGGTGTGACTTTAGAAAAGTCCTTTCTCCAGTTGTCTCCATTTTCTAATCTGTAAAATGAGGAGATGGAAGCAATGCTCTCTGAGGGTCTCAGGGTCTTCAGATGCCCTGGGAAGGTTTATGCTTTGTCTTCTTCTGCATGCAGTTGGAATTGGGGTAAGGGGTTAAAGGGCAGCTGACTGACTCACCACCCAAGCACGTGAGGAAAGGAGTCACTTGTGCTTTATTTCGAGGTGCACAAAAACTCAAAGGTGACATAGTCTCAGGCCAAAAAACAAGCAACACCCGAAAATGAAAGTTGAAGAGAGAAGAGAAAGAAAAAAAAAAAGGAGAGGCATTTTTGAAGGCTTGACACAGCATTTAATTAAAAAAAGAGTGCTCTGATTCCACTCCTAGGTTGGTGCAGCATATAATCTGAAACAGGCGCTCAGGTTGATAATTGTGCCCAGATCTGAACCTTGGCACCTAAGAGCACAGCTTTTAAGAAGAAAAAAAATAGGCATGTGTCTTTAAAGCCTCTCTTCTTATATGTGATTTTTTTCATGCTCATTTGGAGGTTACGTAGCTGGGCCTTTGCATCCAGCAAAGGCTTCCTTCCCCTCTCCCTGGCTTGGGGATTATTGATTTGGAAGGCAAGGCTAATTTACATGTAAATAAATCTCAGCACTGGGCAGCAGGATGGGACGTCCAGATGCCGTGACTGACTTGCTGACATCACAGCTTCATTAGCATGCGGAGGATGCAAGCACTGCAACAGCGACTTCTCAGGCACCACCAGCAGCGCCACCGAGAGTTATTATTATTTTTTGACCAAGCAGCACATTTCCTGGTTCAGTGGCTTGAGCTCTGTGAGCAGCTGACTAGTCACCCCGGGTCTGGCTCAGGATCAGCTGGTGACGCTGGGCTGGAGTCTATGACTTCTTCCTTCAGATTGTCATGAAGAAGGGGAGTTAAGAGGAAACTGGGGGTCCTCCGGAAGGCGATCTGAGCACTCAGGCTGATCTAGAGGAAGAGTAGAAGTCATACTTTTTTTCTCTTGCTTGGTGAATTCCCCAGCAGAGTCTGGATCCAGCAGTGCTGTTTTCCCTGAGGGAATGTGGAGCAGCTCGGCTTGAGTCTGTTGCCAGCTTCAGGAAGGGTTCAGACTGAAAAGGGGGTTTGAGGAGAAGATGCTTTGGCTGCCTGAGGTCCTGCTTGCGTTCTTAGAAGTCAGATCCAGGGAGAAAGTGAACTGGGACAATTGACAAGCTCCAAGGGTCTGGCAGAAGCTTCCTCCGAGACTGGGCATTTCATCCTCCCTGGAGGTGGGTAAGAAATTTGCTCTAATTCACAAATTAAACAGCAGTATATTTTCTAAGGAGGATGAGAAAGCCAGATCTAGGGCCTTTGCACTGGGGGAGGATATTGGGTCTTCGTTTTCTTGGCCAGGTAGCATTTTTGGTGGCCCTGCGACCCCTTTTGCCTTTTCTATGCTGATTAGAAAGCTCGATTACAAAGTGTTATGTCACAGCTCTAGGGAGTCCTGAAGAAACGCTTAAATCTTGATGCTTAAGAAGAAGCAGCGTTTCTCTAAAAGTGTAGCTTTCTTTAAAAAACCATAATAATATGGGGAAAGGGGCTAACAGACCAAATACCTGATAGCGTTCATGTACAGTAGTCATTTCAACACATGATGTCAGAAACCATTAGGGGATCTGAGGAACAAGGACTCAGCTGAGACTTCCAGGTAAAGAAATGGCTTTCAAATTATTTAGGTTTAATTTTAGACACTGCTTTCAGATTAGAAATGGTGACAGAGCTTCAGAATATGACTGCATAGCCTGGCTGAACACATGATTCGGTTTGCCCTCTATGCTGGGTTTCTTGAGGGAGTGATCATAGTTAGTTCTCCTCACTCTTGGCTTCTCGAAAACCAATCATAGCATTACTAATTTGCCATGGGGGTCTTGCAATGAAATACAGATTTTTAATCCCATGGTTTTTTGTTATGTGGTCTTGGACTATGCTGGGGTCCAGTGGGACTTTTATGAATCATAAATAATCCAGGCTGGGCCAAATCACACTGAGGTTAGCGATCCATACCAGATGTGATGCCATCCGCTGGTCCAAATGTGGCTCTTGTCTAACTTAGGCACATAGATTATTTCCCCAGTGAGAGAGTTCTGCTTCCCATATCAATGCATGTATGAGCACAGTCAGGGGAGGGCTCCAGTGTGCCATGAATATGTAGACATAGACTGCCGTGTACTGAATCTGCAGCTGGTAAGGCTGTGATTTGCTTTGCCTGCACATCTCTTCCCAAAGAGTGTTTTAAACCATCTCAGTGAGACTTAAACTAAATGAAGCAGCCTTGCCTCTTTGCTAGAGGCCAAATTGGCTGCTGTAATCCTGCTCCTCAGAAGGCTTACTGCCTGCTGATGGCTTTCACAGATGGGTCAGGATGAGGGTCCCCAAGGGCTCCAGAGTAAGTCACAACTTTGACATAATTACCATATTTTGGAAATTTGGATTTTAATGCCTTGAGTGCTTATAAAGGTTTTGCCTTTCCATCAAATGCTCCTTCCCCTTGGGAATTCTGTTTTTCATGTGAAAATTAAAACATACTGGCTCCATCGGGCATCTCAGTCTATAAAGATTCACGGGGCAGCCAGAAAGAGTAAAATAGCATTGTTTGAAATGGTGTGTTTATAAAGATTTACCCATGAAATGTGAGGGAATAAAATAGAAATAGAGGAAGAAAGATGCATTTATGGAAGCTTAAAGAATGAGAAGGGAACTTAGAGGTTAGATAGTATGAGATGATATTTATCCAGGGCTCAGACTCTGGAGCTGGAAAGAGCTGAAGATACTTAAAGCTACCCATTCCTGCCAGTAAAGTGGAGAGAGCAATGGAATCTATAGTTAGGGTGATAGGTGTAAGGATTTAATGAGATGACCTATGCAGAGCACAGTGGCAGCCACATAGTAAATATTCAGTAAATATTAGCTGCTATTGTTGTTGTTGTTGTTGTCATTGTTACCATTTTGTCATTATCATTATAAGTGTTGTTGCTAAAAAACAGTATTGAAAAGGCAACATGTTCACATCCATTTGCCTGCAGAAAGGTTTTGCTAGCAGAAAAGATGCCATCTCTGGTACTGTTATATCCAAATGATTCCCACTCAAAGAAACTTTCCACCCTATTGATTGAGTTGACAGAATAAAGTATATTATCCAGAACTACTGTATTTCACAGAACTGAAAGTGACCAGCTGGTATAATGAAAATCATTTAGAACTAACTGGGGCTTAGGCAGCCTTAAAGAAGGCATCCTGTTTTGGCAGCTGACAAGTCACATGTAGAAAGCTGCGGGGTCCCAGTTGGAATCAATGCATTTCTAGATTTCTCTTCTGCTTCACCTATGCATGTGAGAGACAGTCCTTTTCTTTCTTAATTCTTTTCAGTGCAGATATTGAGCATTTTCTTCTCTATCCAGGGAGGCCATTGAATATGTGCTTAACCTGCTGGTTGGCTCCTCAGAAGTTCCAAGGCTGAATTTTTGCCACCATCTGGGTGCCTTCAGCTTATGGGTTGGCTGCTAAGGGAAAGGAATAGCCCTCCCCTGCCTGCCTGCCTACCATGGCCCAGTCTGTCTGCTTTTGTTTTGTGTCACTGCTATGGCACAATTTTGCCAGGCTCGTGGTCTGCCTCCTTCATGCCGGTGGGCCTACTTCTGTCACACAAGTGGACTGCTGTTTCTCCCTTTCCTCCCAAGATCTTTCTTTTTAATTTTGGGGAATTAGAACTCTGACACAGGGATCTGAAAGACAAAAGTGAATTACAAGAGTGAGAGGAGTCTGCCATAAAATTCTTTCCCAAGAAACTCGGAACTGGGAGTTGGTCGTTCCTGGTTGCTACTGATCTTTAGTAGAGTTGTGTTTTGCACGGAGAATAATATTTATACCTTAACCACAGCCCACCTCCCTTACTTCCTGATGGGAGGTATGATCTCAGGAGAGTTGCCTGACCTCTCTGAACTTTGGCTTCCTCATATGAATATTGGAAATAAAGTCCCCTGAATGCATGGGATTGCTGTGAAGATAGCGGCTATAATGCCCTTGCCCAATTCCTGGTACTGACTGGATGTTGAGCATATTTCCCAGTTAATCCCGATCTGTGAACAACAGGGGGCAGTAATTTTAATATTTATTTAACGGAGAAACTGAAGGCCAATAGAATTAAATTAGAAATCAATAACAACAAGGTATTTGGGAAATCCAAGTAAAATGACATAGCAGATGACAAACCGTGGTACCCGTCTAGTGCTTCTTTTAATAAACATCAGTTCCAAACACTCTGAATTTGAGAAGGGCTCAATGACCCAACTGCACTGCCTGCCTCGAATTAGCAGAAACCTCTTTATTTAGTAGCCCCCAGGCTGTGGTCATTTCTTCTGTGCTGTCTGTAAGCACACAAGAGTCAAAAGGCTCTGTCCCTCAGATAGGAATTCTGGGTGGCAATTGGATAAAGACTTTCTTTTGTGCTTAAAGATCCACTGAAACCTTTCTCTGTTCATTCCCTCCATGACTGTGGTGCTTATAAACAGGGAACTGCTGGTGACCATGAGCTATTTGCAAACTAAGAAGCTTGAGGATGAGATATTGGCCAAATCTGTTTTCTTTGTTGATGCTTTTGAGTGACATTTGCCCCTTTGCTCTGTCTTAACCTGTAAACATTTAAAATGAAATGTTCTGGTTTTTATGCTGTGTGTGTGCGTGTGTGTGTGTGTGTGTGTGTGTGTGTGTGTGTGTGTATGAATCAAGCAGGGGTGAAGATCTCTTTTGGGGATTGAGTCAGTCGAGTTTGGAGACTTCGTTTTCTTTTTTCTTTGGCCTATTGTCTGAGCAGTTTATTATTTGGCATCTGAAAACCATAGGCTTGCTTGTTGTGTTATTTCCCTGGGGATAAGGCAGAGGAGAAAAAAGCAAGGCTGGAGAGAGGGGAGAGAGTGTGTGAGTTTGGATGGAGCTTTAAGAGGAGGGGAGGGAAAGGAAGACAGAATGGAGAAGCAGCTGGGAGAATATCAGAGCAATTGCCAATCCACCACGAAAGTGCAAAGCTGAAGGTTCCCTTTGGGTGAAGTTGCAACTCAGAAGGCAACTCTGTTCTCCTTTAGCTAAAAACTCCTCTCCCCATCTGTCCTACAAAACTCACAGCGAAGCCATTTTAAATCCGAAAACCCTCCTTATGACTAAGCACTGCACATGTTTTCCACTAGAGCACCATGGACCATTTCTAAAAGTACATTAATTAAAAGGAGCAGATTTTCAAGTACAATATGAGCCTGCCTTTCCCTGGTGGGTGTAGGGGGTAAACTTTAGCGCATGTTTGGCTATGAAGTCTATAAAGATCAAATTGGCTGAACCAAGCACTCAGATATGAGTGTTGACTTGGAAGATGAAACCTAACACTCCAGGGGGCACAGAATCCAGAGATGTCGCTGGTTGGAACTGGAGGCATGAAGAAAATCAGGGCTGGCCTCGTTTGACAAAGCATTGCCAGAGTCATGCTCACTCAGAACAGCAGAGTGAACCTACAGGAGGAAGCAATAGTCGGGGGTTCTCTGATAGCTCCCTTCTTCCTGGTGCTAGTGTTTGAGCTGCTGTATGTGTTTGAGCTGCTGTATGTAAGTGTTTGAGTGCTGTATCCTGGGGCACTGAAGGCAGCACAGGAGCCCTTTCTTTATCTCTTTGGACATGGAGCAAGAGCCACTTCCGGTTGGTATGTTTTCCAACCCAGCACCCAGCCTGCCTCGAGTGATAGGTGGCTGACTTGAGTTGCCTCGATTCCTCTCACACTGGGAGTGCTATTGTCTTCAAGTCACCCTCCTCTCCTCGACTCCTTAAAATCAAACCTTGTAAATATTTTCCAGCCCCATCCAGGGTTAAGGGTAGCCAGGGCAGAAATTCTTAGCATTTCATTTCAACTGGGCAAGATGCCAATTTTTCCAGCTCTTTTCTTGGCATCCATTCATCAGTTATGAGTCCTTAGAGATGCCTGCTCATGAAAGTTCCAAGACTTAACTAAGAAACAGCCTATTTTCTATGGTCACAAAATCTGGTAAGGTTTTAAGGTAACTGTTAATATAGAAGGCAATGTATGTTTTGGGTGTCTATGTGTCTGTGTATAGTCTATGGTTAATGTTGATGTGGATGTATGATAACTGTCACAGACTGAGCGCCTACTGAGTGTTTGCTACGAAAGATGCTTTATGTAAACTTGTCTTGTTAATTCTTACAGCAATCATGCAGCTAGATATTATTGGTTCTATTTAGTAATTGAGAAATCAGGACTCCTGGAAGTTAAGTAACTCGTTCAAGCTTACACAGAGAGTAAAGAGTAATGCTGGGATTCGAACCCAGGATAATTAGAGTCCAAATCCTGTCCACCATTCTAGGCTTCTTTATACTTTTCATTATAATGTCCCCTGGGGATGTGTTTGTTTCTCTTATATAGCTCCTTTATGAATCCCTCATTTGAGAAACACCTCATTATTTAGCCATTGAATTAAAATCTCGTTGGTTGATCTTTGGTAAAGTTGGAAACACACAAGAGAATATGTCAGACTTGAAACAGAACATAGGGGTGTCTTCACCTTCTGCTTTTAATGTGGCTTTTGGAATGAAAGTGTGAGATTGCTTGGAAAGTCAGAAGACACCCTGAGATGAGAAGTAAAAACTGCAGGCAGGTGGAAGAAGTCCTTTGCTGGACTACAGGGAACATAGGGAATTCTTCTGGTCTAAACTTGTGGCTGTGGGCAGAGAGATGGGAGTTCGGAGAGAGGGAAGCCAAGCTTGTTGCTCTTGATCGCCAGTTGTGTGCACATCAGGTTCTAACTAAAATGTATGTTTCCGTTTTCTGAGCCTCAGTTCTTTCATCTTGAACATGAAGGTCCTAAATCAGGTGATCTATATGTTGTCTTCCAGCCATGACCTTGATGAGTGCAAACTTTCAGAATGAATTCAGCCTCATCAGGGAAGGAGTGTAATTTGCACTGTTGGCCACTCTTGGCGGGGAACTAAAAGGTCAAGTTTTAGATCAGGACCTGACTTCTCTGTGTTGTGAATATGTGCTGGAATATGAGAAGTGGTAGCCCCCCAGAGAATGGCGGGAAGCTTCCTGGAAGAACGTCTGACCTTTGGATGCTTTCCACTAGTGAAGAGGGGGTGTCAGTGGGCAGTGTGTTGGTGTTGCTCGTTCACTTTCAGAAGCTCTCCAGGGCTTTGTTATGTATGCAAGCATCCTACAGAGTGCTAGAGACCAAGGCTTCTCAAGTTTAATGTGCATCTACCTGGGGGCGTTGCTGAAATGCAGATTCTGAATTTTTAACAAGCTCCCCTGGGATGCTGATGCTACTCCTTCTAAACTACCTTTATAATAGGCATAGAGGAAAGAAAATTTGACTAAATTCAGAAAGTCCAGAGTCTAGTTCCAATTGTCACTTATTTGAGTAAACCTCAAATAAATCCCTCAGCTGCACCATGACTCAGTTTCTCCATCTGCAGAGTAATAAAATAATATTTAATATTTAATGATTACTGCGTGCCAGGCACTGTGTTCACT
Organism: Homo sapiens; assembly: GCF_000001405.40. Taxonomy (NCBI): domain Eukaryota; kingdom Metazoa; phylum Chordata; class Mammalia; order Primates; family Hominidae; genus Homo; species Homo sapiens. The sequence goes on along the minus strand of NC_000003.12, from coordinate 64,218,610 downwards.
AGGTGTTCACTGTTTTATGTGCTGTATTTTACTTGATCCTTGAATTAGGAGGAAGGGTTTGTTACCATCTGCATTCTGCAGTAACTAAGCACAGAGAGGTTGAATAACTTGACCGAGGTCACACAGCTAGTTAGTGGCCAACTTGGGATTTGAATTCATATCACCTGACTCTGGAACCGTCACAACTTACAGACATAAGAGATGTGAAATATCTTGGGACTTACTGTGTGAATGTGTGTGTAATTATATTATATGTACAATTACAAATATTTCAGGTACTTGAGATTATAAGAAGTAGATGTTTCCCAGATGAGGTTTTATTGTTTTTAAGTAAAAAATGTTCTGATTTATATAAATTAAGGTAAAAGGCATTGTGAAGTTTCAAAGAGCACAGGTGTTTGCTCTGTTGTCACCTGGGGTGGGGAGGAAGTGGTACATGAAAGGAGTATTCTGGGGAATGAGGGGTTCTGGTTAACTGAGGTTTTGGCTATTTTAAATTAAATCCCAGTTCATTATCCGTCTTGGTTTTGTAAATTTGTACAGTATGACAGATACTTTTTCTGCCTTAATAGGAAAAGCAGGGTTAGCCCAACTGAGTATATCTTGTGATTCAGGCTGTGGCAGCCATGCAGATTATTGTCCTGAAAATGAATCCCAGTGATCCTATTTTGTAAGGAAGCCCGAAGAGGTTGATTGTGAACATTATCTGAGTTTGATATTTGTCACCTCACTAGACACCAGGCTGTTTGGACTTTACTCTTATAAATGTCCTGACCATATGATTAGTATGTCAAATATGTGGCACCTGTATCACCATGCTCCAGTCTCCTTAGTCCACTTCAGACCTCACAAATAATCGACACGTTTTTTTCTGTCCAGCCCCAATGCATCCCCAGAGTCCTTCTCAACACAGCACTGGAGGCAGCCTGTACCCATGAGTTACAGTTGGCCCAGGAGATTTACACTACATGCTAACCCAACCCTTGGATACCCCCTGGAAGTTGATTCTCTTTCCAGTTTAGTAAATACGTATTGAACACCTACCAATAGCCTAAGTGTGCTGGAATGAAACCCTATTTTCCATTTACTCTGTATTTTATTCGTTCTTACGAATGTGAATGTTCTGCAGGCTTACTGAAAGTTTTAGTTAATTACTTAATGGGTACAATGTACACTATTTACGTGATGGATATACTAAAAGCCCAGACTTCATCACTATGCAGTATATCCATGTATCAAAACTGCACTTGTACCCCCTAAATTTATACAAATTAAAAAGAAAGTTTAATTTTTGGTAAATTAAAGTTTTAATAGTCTTTTTTTCTTTCTTTCTCTGTAATATACATCCTTTTATTCTGATTAATACCTTAGGGCTCCTGTCCCTTTTCAGTACCAGTGATGTAGGGTCTTTCTCCAGGTCTCCTGCTGTGATGCTGTCAGAGGAATACCTCCTTTACAAGGGGCTGTTTTCTGTAGGCATCCTCCTGGCAGTCCAGCCATTGGTTAGGTAGTCAGGGGATATGAAGTGCGTGCTCCTGGCACAGCAACTGCATAGCCCTCAGCTACAGCTCTCCCCTTCCCCTGACAGCTTATCCAGCAAGAGTCAGAACTTCATTTAAATCGCTGCCTGAGTCTATTACTTGCTTTTGAGTTCATCATCTCAGAAGTTGCCAGGAAAGCCTGTCAAGACTAGAAGCTTGCCACGGACTGGAAAGATGACACCCCCACCCTTGCATCCTGTGGAGGTTGGGCCACTCCGAAGTGCCTGCCTCATTAGGAAGGAGGGTGAAAATGCACAGCAAAGAATTCACGTGCTCCTCTCTCAACAGGAGCTTCGATTCTTGCTAGACTGGCTTCTGAAAGGGGAATAAGTAGAAAGCAGCATAATCACAGGGCCTGACTGATCAGAAAGCTTGAACCTGCCTTCTTTTCACTGTGTCAGTTTGGCTGCCTAACCAGCTGCCTAAACACTCACGTTGTTTGCCCTTGTAATGCTTAAAAATGGTTTTAAATCCTGCACCACTGAATTGCTAAGATGCAGCATCCTAAATGGTAACTATGATATCATGTGCTATTTTGAATTTTTAAAAGAATGTTACAGAGAGTGAGAAATAGCAATTGAGCATCTGCGAGATGTAAGGCGCTGACTTTGGCCCTGTGGGTAGTTTAAAATATCACAGCCGGTCTTTTGCACTTAACCAGTTTTCCAAACCAGATGTTTTTAGCTTAGGATCCCTGGACAGCAAAGGACTGGACAGAATTGATGAACTTTCTGAAATTTAATGCAAAATTTTCTGTGAATGTGCATATGTCCATTTTTTAAGGGAGAGGATCCCAGCTTTCATCAGATTTTAAGGGCATCAAGTCACCCGAAAGGTTTAAAACTGCTAAGTTGGCTGGTAGGTTGTTGTAAACTCATCCAGAGAAATCTCTACAGGTTAATGTGAGACTGGAAAAAATAATGTTTTTCTGCCCCAGAGCAGATAGCCCAGAGAAATGCAGCATTTTTCTACATGATTACCCAGGAGCTAATGTTAAACCCTGCGGAGCTAGAAGGAGAGAGTTACCTGATTTTCTTCCATTCTGTAGATGAGTAAATTGACGGTCGTGGTCTCAGATGCCAAGGCCATAGGAGTTCTTGTTCCTTCTATCTCTCAGATAGTTTTTATTGTTCACTCAACAGTTTAACAACCTTTTGAACATTTGCTGTGTGCTAGGCCAGAGTTTTTCAGTATTTCTGTACTTGAGGCGTTCTTTCAAATACTTGACATTTTGCAGTACAGTAACAGAATTAAATTACTACACTATAGTTATGGTACATTGTCAGCTGTAATATATTTTTCTCTACCTCATCTTAAGCTTTTGCATACTTTCATTTAATTGAGGACAAAGGCAGTCTTTCTTTAATGTGATCTTGGCCAAACACTACTCGTCATGTAGTTGAATCACATTCTACATTTTTGACATCATTGTAGCAATATACATTTTCAGTTATTGTAAAAAAATAAATATGAAAAATAAAATTTACGCTTTGGTCATATCTTGTTAGTAGCTCACTGGTTGCAGTTAGATTTCAGACTAAGTATTAGTCAAAATTTCAAAGAGCTACTTATTGAATGCTTATTATTCTAGATAAAGGATTTTAAAATTTACATTACAATGGGAAAAGGTATTTTAGACACACCAACAAATAAAATGGCGTCTGATGTTAAGGAAAAGATGTCTTTGGTTGATGATGGGAATAGTGAAAAGCAGACCAGCTCCTGAAGTACTGAGGGAAGGGTGTTTTGGGCCGAGGAGCAGCTGCTGCAAAGATCCTAAGAGAGGGAAAGCCTTGGCAAATTCAAAGGACAAATAAAGACTGCTGAGGCTGGAACAAGATGGGGAATAGAGTAGAACAAAATAAATTTGGGGAGAGAGGAACAGACCAGGTTATATAGGGTCTTGTAGGCTATGGTTAAGGAGTTTGTGCTTCATTCTCACTGTTGTCAGAAGTTAATGGCACATTTTAAGCAGGAGAGCTGAGTGTTATCATCATTGTTTAAAAAACAAACGGTGGTGGAAATTAGATTCTAGAAGGGCAGGCATGGAGGCAGGAAATTAAGAAGTAGGCTATTGTAGTAGCTCAAGCAGGAGGTAATGGTGAGTTGGAGTAGGATAGTAAAGATAGAGGTGGTAAAAAGAGATAATGAATAAATGACTAAGACTCATCCCGTGCACCAAGGAAGTCCACGGTCCCGGCTCCTCCTTGTTCGTTTCGTCAACTATGCTAAAAGTGTGTAGGCGTTGCTACATCTAGCAGGCTTGGGACGCAGTGCGGGGGCTGGGATGGAGGAGGGGTACATCCTTCAACCAGCACCTTGTCAAATCGGAGTAAAACAAATTTTTTAATATTTTCAAAACCTTACTCCTGTAGACATGTGAATCCAATTCATCAAGGGCTTCTTTCCAAAAAATCATGAAACCAGGAAATGATATTTTCTTTCTGTGTACTTTCCTCCTTCCTTTCACTGCTGTAAGAATGAGGAAGCGAGTTGTAGCTCAGAACAAAACCACAAAAACCTTTCCATAGATCCAGCTCAAATCAGGGAAATCAGCATCTCACTTTTGCTGCCTGTCCCTCCTGTAGAAAACCCTGAGAATTTTGTTTGTTTTGTTTCTTTCTTCGGACTTGACTAAAGCCAGGTCTCTCCTGAAAATAATGTCTTTCCCTGTTGTGTCTAACTCAATCTGAATTGAGGGGCTTTACATCCAGCATTGGTGTCTGGTAAACCTCCAATCGCTCGATTCTCTTGTTTCGCAAGTCCACTGGGGTCGTCCGGAGCCTCTGGCCTCCTTTGCTGAGCAACATGGATTTCTGGGAAGTTTTTCCCTCCAGCACTTCAGCACAGATATTAAAGGGCCCCTGTCAAGTTTTGAAGGGTGTGACCATTGCCAGAATCACCACAAGCCAAGCCCCTGAGGGATTCCGCTGCCAGCTGGCTCACGTCCATACCAGAGATGGCTGAATTTCTGTGGTTCTCTGTGCATGGAGCTGGCCCAGTTCCCCTGGATGAAAGGCGGCCTAATATAAACTGAAAATGTTATTAATAAGCAGCCACTTAAGAATTTCCTATGACTTGCCAGTGATTTGGGGGCCTCTCTGTGAACAGGGGAAAAAGCACATCTTGTTTTACATGGATTAAGGGACCAGTGCAGCCAGTCTGGAGGGGCTGCCAAAAGGTATTCAGGTGTTTGGTGAAGGGCTTTGGGTAAGTTCCACAAACTCGTTGAGCCTTGGTTGTCCTATCTGTAACATGAGAAGGATAACAATAATTTTCTTCTCATAGTGTGGTTTGAGGATTAATAAGAAAAGCGTGGAAAGCGTTTGACACAGAGCTTGGCACATACTCAGAAAATGTTTTCTGAAAAAAGTTGGAGAAATCACACCCCCAAAATGAAGCCAAACTGACCTTATGCCCCTGGGCTCAGGGGAAAATGAGTAAACTTGGGGTTCCAGATACCTCCAGCATTCAGTAGTAACCACAGTACTTGGCTTCTCTGAACTTCACTTTCTTCATCTATAAAGAACCCCTGCTCTTCTGACTAACCTTGTAGAGATTATTGGCAATTCAAAAGTTACATGAAATGAAAGGGCTTGGTAACTCTAAAGTCCTTGATTCATCCGACAGGTCATTAATTTACTGTCTAACCTGTCTGCCTTATTGCAACTTGGTATGAAAAGAAAGTCATGGCCGGGCACGGTGGCTCACCCCTTTAATCCCAACACTTTGGGAGGCCAAGGCGGGTGGATTACCTGAGGTCAGGAGTTCGAGACCAGCCGGGCCAACATGGTGAAACCCCATCTCTATGAGATATAAAAAATTAGCTGGGCATGGTGGCACATGCCTGTAATCTCAGCTAGATGGTGGAAGGCTGAGGCAGGAGAATTGCTTGAACCCGGGAAGCGGAGGTTGCAGTGAGCCGAGATTGCGCCATTGCACTCCAGCTTGGGCAACAAAAGAAAAATTCCATCTCAAAAAAAAAAAAAAAAGAACAAAAAACAGTCATTAGTATGACCTTGAAGGATTAAAAACTTGGTCAAGGATACATAATCCTTTGGTAGGGATAATAATGAAATTACCTTGCTCAGTCCAGCACACCTTTAAGTGTACACTAAGGATTTGCTAAGATTTATCAAAATGAATTGTTCACCACCCGTCTGTTTTCCATTGATCTCTTTCCATCCTAGCTGGAAATAGATTAGTAGGGTCTAGGTTGACTTCTAGAGAACAAGAACCCTAAATACTTTTGTTTGTTTGTTTGTTTGACTTTGTATCCCTAGACATAGGGTAGGACCTAGCACACTGGCACATAGTCAAGTTTCATTATACCAAGAATGTTGTATATATTAAGTTGTTAAATCCTAGTGGCAACTCAGTGAAGTTAGGATTTGAGCCCAAGTTATGGTAACCACAGAATCTAAGATCCTAACCCACTGTGGTATACTGCCTTTAAGTACTTAGGGAATATTTTATGCCTCAGATCTTGTCTGTATAAGTTTAGCCAACCTCGTCCACAAAGAAGGTAGAGACTAAACAAGTACTTCAGCAGGTGGCATGGAAGAGAAAAGCAAACGAAGAGGTGTTTTGTGGAGTCTTCTGATCCTTGCCTTGAAGTTTGGAGATGAGGTGTGTTAGAATTCAGTTTTCATTCATTTCCTCAGAAATTGGTCCCCCAAAGGATTTATCTGGAAAGGAGGGGCTCTTAGAACTTGCTCTGATAAATGTCCAATGAAGCAAAAGTGTGCATGCCATAAAATCACAGGTGGCATGTAGACAAAGTGAAGTGGAGAAATATATCTAGAAGGAGTAACCAACTCTATCTACCATGGTTTATTCTTTGCAGAACAGCAGGTCTGACAGGCAGCTGAGGAAATCGGAGCTTTTCTAGATACCCCACAGCCTTGCACAGGGATACAGTGATGTGGGGATGCAGGTAGTAGTGTTGCCATGGAGACACCATCAGTGGCCAAGCTCTTCTCCTTTGAGGGCTCACTCCGTCTACTCATCACGAAGTTGAATTAGCTCTCTATGTGCTTGGTAGGCAGATTCCTCACTGGCTTGTGAACGCTTTTAAAATAAAGCCAAAACTCCTTCCCAGCTGCCATCTTGTTACCATCCTAGACTCCTGTCAACATCTCAGTGACAGCATGTTCTCTCCCCCTGCCATGACTTTATTCACCTGTTAGGACTACTTTTTCATTATCTTTTTTCCTAGAAACCTCTCCTACTCAGTAACCTTTGGGTCCAGCTTCCTCAAGCAGGCCTTCCCTGATCTGTTGTTAACCAGGAACCTTCTGTAGCACAGTGGCTAACACATTAATGATGGCCTAACAAAAGAGTCGCAGTACCAACCACTTTCTTTGTTTTAAAACTTTTTATTTTGTAAAATTGCAAGGTTAGATCAAAGTTACAAGAATAGTATAACAAACTCCCAAACACCCTTCTAGATTTTTCTGTTAATATTTTGCCACATTTGTGCTGCTTATTCTCTCCCTCTGTTCCTCTCTCTTTCCACACACACAGGCATATACACATATCATTTTTGTTGAACCATCTGAGAATAAATTGCAAACATCATCCCTTATCTGTATACATTTCAGCATCTTTCTCTTCAGAACAAGAACATTCTTTTAAATATCTTTTTCACAAGAACTCTCCACTTTGAAATTTATGGTCTAGCTATTTCTGGCTGTATCATTGTGTCAGATAGAAACTCCTTTTTATTTTTTTAACTCCTTGCAACACCTACCACAATGCATGGTACACAGTAAATTTTCAGTGAATTATTGTTTAATAAATGAAGTTGACTGCCACAAGTATTTCGGCATTGCCTCTGTTCCGCCTTTTGGACTCATGGTTCCTGCTTCTGTAGAAACTCTACCTTGTTGGTTGAGCCTGCTTGTCTTGCCTGTGGGAGAGGGCAAAGAGCACCAAGGAGTGGTCTTCAACCAATGGCTGTTGAGAGTTGGTTGATAAGTACCCCTACTTCCTTGACTCTCAAGGGGAATGTATCTGAGGAATGTTCTGTACTGTCTCCCAGAGGTCCTCAGCTGAAATGAGTTCTGGTTGCTCAAAGCTGCTACCTGTTCATTAACTTACACTCTATTGGCATCCTACCCTTCCCCACTTTCATTCTTCTGTTCCCTGTCAGGCCTTTTTGGGATCTTCTCCCACAAGATTCAGATACCTTCCAAGAGTCTGATTCTGGGGAAAACCAATCTAAGATACTGCCCCTCAATGACTGAGGCATCATTTCTGCAAATCAAAATACAGTAAGAGATCTTTAAATTATATGTTTCCAAGCAAAGTCACCCAGGAGGCTTATTTTTAAAAGGGAAGGAATTTCCACTGCTCAAAAGTTACAAGATAAATTAGTCTAAAGTAAGGCACTGCATATAATTCTTCATTGAAGCATGAATTGGCATATTAAAAAGAGGAAACAACTGCCCCTGAAAATTACCCTGTACCAACTTCAGCAACCCCTGGGAGAGAGAAGCACTTCTTGGTGCAGATGGCCAGAGCCGCTGGAGCCCAGCCGGAAGGGAGGGAGTTGGATAGGACCAGGCAGTGTGGTCTTGGCACTCAGCACACACCAGCCTCATACCCAGCTGGCCCCGTCACAGTCTCCGCCCTTGAGCTTCTGTGTTTATTAGGAAACCATTTTTCCTTTCTCACAGAGATAGAAATCTTGCTCCCAGACATGGCAAGTGTCAAGGTTCATGCCTGGGTCCCTCATTCAGACTGAGTGTTTGCCAAAAAAGGGGAAAAACAAAGTATTGTGGCTAGGGGCAGGGAGTTAAGGAGCCAGTAAGACTGCAAATAACAGGATATGCTGACGTCTGGGTATCAAGACAGAGGGATATAGAAATTCCAAGGAGAAACGGGTTAGGGAGGACGCGAAGTTTCCTACACCCACTAAAATGGCACCGTCCCCTGAATTTCACATCTGTGCTTGGGCTTTGGGACAGGCAGTGGCCCAGCCAGTTTGGTCACTGTCATTAATCTAGACAGTGGTGGAGGAGGAGGGAGGCCACAATATCACCTTCTGAGAATGACTCACACAGTGCTCTTCCCCACCTCAGGACCTGTGTGCTCACTTCTTCTCTGCCGGGAAAACTCGTACTCTGATTTTTCTCATATCTGCCTCATAGTCTTCTCATCACAACTCAAATGTCACTTCAGTGGGAGGCCCGTCCTCACCCATCCTCAGTTCCTCTCTTTCTGATTTCCCTATTTCTGTCATAACACTTATCACAATCTGTAAATGGCAGGTTTATCTGTTTGTTTACTTAACTGTTGAGTGTCTTCCTCACTTGGTTCAAAGCTCCACGAAGGCAGGCATGTTGTCTGTCTTAATGACTGTCGTGTGCCCAGCATCTTAGTGCAGTGCCTAACACACAGTAGCTGCTCAGTCAATGTTGGTGGGTGAGTGGGTGGGCAGTTGGTTGGTTGGTAGGTTGGTTGGCTGGATGGATAGGTATGGATGTATGTATGGATATGAATGGATGGATAGATGGGTGGATGGATGGATAGATGTGGATGTATTTACAGATATGAATGGATGGATAGATGGATAGATATAGTTGTATGTATGGATATGAATGGATGGGTAGATGGATTGATAGATATGGATGTATTTATGGATATGAATGAATGGATAGATGGGTGGATGGATGGATGGGTAGATATGGATGTATGTACGGATATAAATGAATGGATAGATAGGTGGATGGATAGATAAATATGGATGTATGTATGGACATGAATGGATGGATAGATGGGTGGATAGGTGGATAGATATGGCTGTATTTATGGGTATGAATGAATGGATAGATGGGTGAATGGATGGATAGATATGGATGTATTTATGGGATGTATGTATGGATATGAATGGATCGATAGATGGGTGGATAGGTGGATAGATGTGTATGTATGTATGGATATGAATGAATAGATGGGTGGATGGATGGATAGATATGTATGTATTTAAGGATATGAATGAATGGATAGACAGGTGGATGGATGGATAGATATGGATGTATTTATGGGATGTATGTATGGATATGAATGAATAGATAGATGGGTGGATGGATGGATAGATATGGATGTATGTTCGGATATGAATGGATGGATAGATGGGTGGATGGATGGACAGGTAGATGGATGGATATGGATGGAATAAGAGAAGGAATATTTTGACACTGTACCTAAAACAAGGTAGGAGAAAGCACTGGTTTTAGAGTCAGATGACATAGGTCCTTAACTTCAGTCAAGTCACTTATGAGTTTATCAGCTAAATTTTTATATCTGTGAAATGGATAAAAATGCCAACTTTATAGGACTGCTGAGAGAGAAATGAGATAAATTAAGTGAAAATTATTGAATATTATAAACCTTCACAAGTATGAGCAGTTGTGTTAACAGTAGAACATAGCTGCTCTGTTCACCCCTCACCTGCCATCCTCAGTCAAAGCACAGGTTGAGCTAGAGCAACAGGAGTCAGAGCCTGGAGGTCACACCTGCCACCTGGAGGCCTTGATCTTTTGGAGCAGATTTTTACCTCTTGGAACATTCCCATTTGATTTCAGGCCAGCCTCTACGAATATATTTTCTTCCTTCCTTTCTGGCGTTCTGACTCTCCGCTTACCCCTTTTGCGAGGGATGTATAAGGTAGGAGCTGAAGCCCTGTGTGGGGGTCACATGATCCATACAGTTCTTGAGGAGCGTTGCTTGTGCTTTTTGTGATAGCTCAATTTTAACAACTCTGACCTGTTCAAGGCAGGATTATCTCAGCAATATCTTAGGGCAGGCAGACCTTGCTTCCAGTTCTTACAGACTCAGTGAAACACAACCGGGGAATGCCTTTCTTGCTAACAACAGCCACTGTCCTTTCATTTGCTTACCTTTTCTAGGCAGCCTGCAGTCTAGAAAAAGCTCTCTTTACCCAGACACCTAATTCCCTCCTAAAACCTGACGGAGGTGTTACTAAAGGGCAGTACACTTGAGAAGAATGTTTGGTTCATTTTAGGCTGGTGTTGTGCGTGCATGTGAAGAGTTGATGCTTTCATTGGAAACTCAGGGAAAATGGGCTACAGAGCAGATGGAGTAAGTCAGGCCGCTGCCCAGCTCCTCCTGCGTCAGCCTTTCCCAGAGATCTATTATATGGTTTGAAGTGATGTAAGTTATCGCAGCATTGGAGGTTATATGACTAGCGTACAAAGACACAATTCAAAGCCAAGTCTTAGTGGTTTTAAATTATCCGTGCCGCATCTCTCTCCACTTGCACAGAAAATTGCAAGTTGATAGCTAGTGAAATCTGGTTGTCAGATTTTTTTTTTATCGAAGGGACCTAACTTTTAACTCTGTGATACCCGTAAGTATATGTTATATGTAATTCCCACGTTGGAGGTATCTTTTACATTACATAAGTGGATTGTTGATCCTGCTGCAGGGCACCAGTTCAGAACAGACCCGCTTATCTGGATTGAATAATGCACATCTATTTGCTGAGAGTGTTGTGTGTGCATGTGTGGGTGGCTCTGGCTCATGTCTTGTCGTTACCGGCCAGAGTCTTATCCCCTGGCTCTGGCTGATGAGGAACACGTAGAATGAAGTCTGGTCTCCAGTTTCTTAACACTAAGGGAAAAGAGGACCAGCAGCTGTTTCTGTTTAATGGTGATTATCTTTGGGATTGTGAGTGTTTTGAAAATTTTTTACTCTTACTTCTTATCTGTAGTTTCTGATTTTTTCTACATTAGTTGTATAGTTGTATATTGCTTTTTAAGGATAAGGAAGTAATAACTTTATAATAAGTATAATAAGGAGGAAAATGTTTTCCTCTTTTTTTCTTATTAAGAATGAAAAGAGAGCTGGGCACAGTGACTCATGCCTGTAATCCCAGCACTTTGGAAGGCTGAGTCAGGAGGATTGCTTGAGCCCAGGAGTTCGAGACCAGCCTGGGTAACATGGTGAAACCTCATATCTACAACAAATACAAAAATTAGCTGGGCATTGTGGCATGTGCCTTTAGTCCCAGCTTCTCAGGAGGCTGAGATGGGAGGATTGCTTGAGCCCAGGAGGTCGAGGCTGCAGTGAGCCATGATCACACCACTGCCCTCCAGCCTGGGTGACAGAGCAGACCCTGTCTCAAAAAAATGTGTTCTTTTGCCTTTAGTGAGCTAGAGTCATGGAAGAATTTAAATACCTAGGATACATCTGTTATTTAGCAAAAAGCAATGGAGAGCTTTGGGTTATTTTAGCCCTTGTTTTAAACAAAAGTGTGTTTTCCCACCTCTGGCCTTGCCTGCCTTGGGCATAGCCATGTTGAATCCTATGTTGTGCATTCCTTGTCAGTCACTTGGTTTGTACTGGGGCTGAACCACTCTTTAAGCAGTCTGCCCCTTGTCCCTGTGCATGAAAGTGGCCTGAACCTGATCTAGCCATGGACTTGGGACAGAGGAGCCCACACCACAGGGGAGGTGGAAGTCAAGACAGATGGCAGGGCTAGCAACAAGAGACACTATTCTCATGTCTGATGTAGTCTTGCCTTTCACCAGTGCCTTTTCACACCCCACTGGGTACCCAGCTGAGTGGCAGGAGGGCCTAGTGATGCAAGAGGTTAAGACATGGTGGCAAGGAAGGGCTGGCATAGATTCTTTGGGACAGTTTGAAAATGTACATTGCCCAGAGTTGCTGAGACCATCGATTATATTGGTAAAACCCACACCTGTTTTTAAACCACACTCTACGGCACTCCTTTCTGACTAGGAGGCTACTACAGAAGAGTGGCCTTGAGCTGTGCTTGGAGGACCGGCTGCATCACAATCACCAGGCACACTGGTGAAAATGCACATTCCTGAGCCTGCCTCAGACCTATCCAATTATAGTCACTGGGACATCCTACTATTCCCCATGCATCTCCATGTAATGTCTTGGCAACCAGATATACAGTTTCTCACAACTAGAATTATTATTTATCTAAGAGTTTCATGATTAGGAATTATTTATTTCTTAAAAGCCGTTAATAGCCTCTATATTTTTTCTTCTTTCCATCTAGCAAATTACCAAGCACCTACTTCATATTTTGGCACATGCTAGAAATGACTTCGTGGAGTCTAGGAAATATGGTGGTTTTTAGCCTTGTGGCTTTGGAACCTTGAGAATTTCAAGGCCATGAATGTGCCTGGAGTTTGGGGAGGAGGTTGAGCTTAGGAGAAGTTGGGCTCATAGTCTTCTTCTCCACATCAACTTGGGCAGCCCTGTTTTCTGTTTTGAGTTTCCACTTATGAATTCTTTTACAAAATGTATTTTCCTCTTATTAAGAAGCGGGGGGGAATAAAAGAAACAGAAAAGTAAAAAACAGGCTTAATGATGTTTGCAATCCCATTCGAATCTCAATTTCTACAATTTGCTACTTGAACTTGTCAAAAATCATGTTCTAAAGGAAGATCCCTTTTTTGCCTTCATCCTATCACTTCTCACATAAAACAAGACCTTGTGGTTCAGGGTTCGGTGTTGTAAATAACCTGTCAAAATCTCAAGGATAAGTATTCCTGCCACCAACCCTGTCCCCAGTCTACTCATGATGAATCCTTTCAAGTAATGGCAGGCAAGTTAATTGGTATAGATTGTTAGTCATTTTCCAAATGATAACGGCCACTGGTGCAGATGACCAAGCTACTTGGAGATAGTTAAAGAGAGGGTCTCCGCCTGACAATACTGTGTATGCCATGAAAGGGCTAATTATGGCTGCTGAGATACGGAAGCCATGATTTAATGCTGCAACTTTGGGGTAGAGGATTTGCAGAGGTTGTTTTGGGGTAGAGGAGAATGCAGAATCTCCTCTCTCTAAATCATGCCTTATTCCTCAGAAACCTGTCATTCACAAACCCAATTATGTGCAGATAGAATGTCAACTCTGACAGAATGAAGCCAATGCACCCTTTGTATGTTTTTTTTTTTTTTTAACGAAATCCTGCTTTGCTAGCAGGTTCTATTTTCATAAATGTCTATTTAAAAAAAAAGCCAAATCATATATTTCCCCACACACTTCCGAATATGTTTCATTCAGGTTAAAAGCTTTAATCAGTGTGTTGAAAGAGAGCTGTTGGGTGTTGCTGTGTGCATTTTGCCAAAGGGGGAGAGATGCAGGAATGAAGAGAAATCCTCTTAGCATCACTTCTGACCCTCTGCCCCCTTCTGAGGGTCTGGGCCTTGGGTTCCCAATTTATACATGGAGGTTATTAAATTAGCCATTACCAAAGGTTGTCATGGAATCACTCAAAGGTTGAAAATTCTTTACAAAGAAAAATGTCTTGCCACGGGAGTGCCAGTTAATTATAAATGAGAAGTGGAAGGCGGGCAGCTAGCATGGAAAACAGATAAGGTCCTTGTGGCTTTGAGTTACTATTTAGGGTTTTGGTTTTTTTTTTCCTTTTCTTCCCCCCTCCTTGGTTTTGCTTTTGCGTGTGTGTGAGGTTTTTTGTTGTTGTTGTTGTTGTTGTTCAGAAGTAAAAGGGTATTCTGTGGTTGGAATCAGATAGATTTTCTATAAGTAACTTTTTGCTTCAGTGGTCAGTTAGAGCCTACTTTGAGTCCATGTTCTGCTCACTATTTAGGGTTGATCAACTGCTCTGAATAGTTCAGTTGCTTAACTGCTTACAAGCCACTTAACCACTCTGGGCCTTTGTTTTCTTCCGTGGGAAGTGGAGATAATATTTCCTTTCCTGGAGGACTGATGGAAGAGTCTAGGATCATGTATGTAAGGTATAAAGCAACTTAAATGCCAGGCATATGGCTCGGTATATGTCCCCTCCCCATCCTGACCTCCCATATCCTGCTTCTTTCTGGTTTTCAGTAGCACTTGCTGCCTTTAACATACTTTGTGATTGAAAGGCTTGTTATGTGTATTGTATGTTTCTCCCCTCTGAGAACGTAGGCCAAGAGGGCAGGGATCTTTGTCTTGGTTGGGTACCCAAGTACCTAGAGCAGGCCTTGGTACGTGGTAAGTGCTTGATAGTTATTTGGGTTTTTGTTGTTGTTGTTGTTGTTTTGTTTTTGTTTTAGAGTGTATGTGTGTGTGTGTGTGTTGAGACAGCATCTCGCTCTGTCACCCAGGCTGGAGTGTAGTGATGCGATCTGGGCTCACTGCAACCTCCACCTCCTGGGTTCAAGCGGTTCTCGTGCCTCCACCTCCTGAGTAGCTGGGACTACAAGTGCCCACCACCATGCCCAGCTGATGTTTTTTTTTTTTTGTATTTTTAGTGGAGACATGGTTTCACCATTTGGCCAGGCTGGTCTCGAACTCCTGGCCTCAAGTGATCCATCCACCTCGAGTTATTTGTTGAATGACCACATGGGGCCTCAGCCCTCCCCATCGTCTCTTTTCTGTTTATCCTTCTACTTGTCGATGCTCATTCTGGATCTGATTCTGCACTCCTCCTTTGTTTTCTTGTTATCTTTATTCCTTCTCCTGGATCCTCAGTTCGTTAAATCATGTCCATCCGGCATTAGTGTGCTCTTCCCTGCATAATTAGTATGTGAATAAATGAGTTTAATTGGTGGATATTTTGGGACTGAATTTGGTAAAAGTTTTCTACATTTTGATGTTCAAGTATGACTTTCTAGTAAAAAGCATTAGTCACCAAAGAGCTTAGTCAACTTACTTAAACACATTGAAACTTGTTTTTCCTTAAGTCATAAACTGGCATAAAAATTTCTTGGAGAAATAAACTGACTGCTTCCCAACAGACCTGACCATTGTGCAGTAGCTGATTAATTAAAGAGTTACTATTCAAATGAGCTCTGACTATTTTTAAAAGCAACAACCAGGGTTTGGATGGAACTTCTTTGAGTTGGAGATGCAAACGAGATCCAAGGTGTGCATTCTGTCTGGTGTATATTTCTGATTTGATGAGAAGCAGAAAGTGGGGGAATCTGACAAGCCAAAATCAGTTTGGTTAGACTAAACTGATTTCGTTTCTTCAAGTACATTTTTATGTTGAAATTTAGGCACAACACATTAATAGAATAAAGACATAAAATAACTAATCATCTTGATAGATGCAGAAAATGCATTTGACAAACTCCAACACCCTTTTGTGGTAAAAACAACAAACTAGCATAGAAGAGAACTTCCTCTACCTGATAAAGAGCATGTACAAATAACTCATGGCTAACATAATACTTAATGCTGAAAGACTGGTGCTTTCCCTTAAGATCAAGAACACAACAAAGATGTCCACCCTTGCTACTTCTGTTGAACATTGTACTGGAGGTTCTAACCAGGGCAATAAGATATGATAAAGAAATAAAAGACATCAGATTAAAAAGGAAAAAGTAAAACTCTCTATTTGCACATGATATGGTCTTATATATAGAAAATTCTAAAGAATACACACACACACACACACACACACACACGCACACAAGTACCTAAACTAATACAACTAATAAATGATTTTAGCAAGATTGTATGATTTAACATCAATATAAATATCATTTATGTTTCTATACAATAACTACCTGAAAGTGAAATTGAGAACAATTCTAATTACAGTAGCATCAAAAAGAATAAAATACTTAAGAATAAACTTAAAAGAAGTGCAAGCCTTGTGCCTAAAAACCACAAAATATAATTGAAAGAAATTAGATTGAAGTAAATGGAAAGGTAGCCTGTGTTCATGGATTGGCAGACTTAATATCATTAAAATGGCAATACTCTTCAGATTAATAAATTGATCTACAAAGTCAGTGTATCTCTATCAAAACTCTAGTTGGCTTTTTTTTGCACAAATTGACAAACTAATCCTAAAATTCATATTTTATGAATGCAAATGCAAGGGATGAAGAAGAGCCAAAACAGTTTTTTAAGAGAAGAACAAAAATTGCTTGACTCATATATACTTCATGATTTTAAAACTTACCGCAGAACTGCAGTCATCCAGACAGTGTGGTACTGGCACAAGGAGGGACATACAGACCACTGGAATAGAACTGAATGTCCAGAATAAACTCTTACAGCTATGGTCAGTAGATTTTTTGACAAGGGTACCAAGACAATTCAATGGGAAAGATTATTCTTTTCAATAAATAGTGCTGAAAGAACTGGATAGCCACATGAGAATGAAGGTGGACTCCTACTTAGTGCCATATACAAAAATTAACTCAAAATGGACCATAGACCTAAATGTAAGAGCCAAAGCCATAAATCTCTTAAATTAAAATGTAAGAATACATCTTTATGACCGTGAGTTATGCAATGGCTTCTTAGAAATGATTAAAAAAACAAAAGCAACAGCAACAACAACAAAATTAGACTTCATAAAAATTAAAAACTTTTGTGCTCAACAGATGTCATCAAGAAAGTGAAAAGACAGTCCACAAAATGGAAGAAAAAATGTTCCTATCACATATCTGATAAAGGACTTGTATCCAGAAAATATGTGAAGAAAGCTTATAACTCAACAATTAGAACACAACCCAATGAAAAAAAATGGACTAAGGATTTGTATAGACATGTCTCTATTCTAAGAAGATACATAATAAGCACATAAAAAGATATTCAACATCATTAGACGTTAGGGAAATGCAAATCAAAACCACAATTAAATACTGTTTTATACCCACTATAGTAGCTACAATAAAAGAAGACAGACAATAACAAATGTGACAAGAATATGGAGAAAATGGAACACTCATTCATCAGTGGTGGGAATGTACAAAGGTACAGATATTTTGTGAAAACAATTTGGGAGTTCCTCAAAATGTTAAATCTAAAGTTGCCACATGACCTAGCAATTTCATTTCTAGGAATATACCCAAAAGAATTAAAAACTTTGGCCAGGCGTGGTGGCTCATGCCTGTAATCCTAGCACTTTGGGAGGCCGAGGCAGGCGGATCACGAGGTCAGGAGATCAAGACCATCCTGGCTAATATGGTGAAACCCGGTCTCTACTAAAAATACAAAAAATTAGCTAGGCATGGTGGCAGGCACCTGTAGTCCCAGCTACTCGGGAGGCTGAGGCATGAGAATGGCACGAACCCAGGAGGTGGAGCTTGCAGTGAGCCGAGATCGTGCCACTGCACTCCAGTCTGGGCGACAGAGCAAGACTCCATCTCAAAAAAAAAAAAAAAAATTAAAAACATATATCCGACTGAGGGCAGTGGCTCATGCCTGTAATCCCAGCACTTTGGGAGGCTGACGCGGGTGGATCATGAGGTCAGGAGTTCAAGACCAGCCTGGCCAACATGGTGAAACCCCGTCTCTACTAAAAATACAAAAATTAGCTGGGCGTGGTGGTGCATGCCTGTAGTCCCAGCTACTCAGGAGGCCAAGGCAGGAGAATTGCTTGAACCTGGGCGGCCAGAGGTTGCAGTGAGCTGAGATGGCACCACTGCACTCCAGCCTGGGCGACAGAGTGAGACTCTGTCTCAGAAAAAAAAAAAGCCAGGCGTGGTGGCATGCCCCTGTGTGGTCCCAGCTACTTGGGAGGCTAAGACAGGAGGATCGCTTGAGCCCAGGAGGTCAAGGCTGCTGTGAGCCGTGATTGCATCACTGCACTCCATCCTGGGAAACAATGAGAACCTGTCTCAAAAAACAAAACAAAACAAAACAAATATCCACACAAAAAATTATACATAAGTAATCAGAGCATCATTATTCATAAAAGCCATAGGTGAAAATAGTCCAAATGTGCACAACTGATCAATGAAAATGTGGTATATCTATACAATGGCATATTATTCAACAATAAAAGGGGATGAAGGATTGATACATGCTATAACTTGGATTAACCTTGAAAAGTCATTCTGTGTGAAAGAAGCCAACTTCAAAAGAACCACATATTATATGATTGCATTTATATGAAATGTCCAAAATAGGCAAAACCATAGAGACAGAAAATAGATTAGTGGTTGTTAGAGCCTGGGGGCAGAGGGATATGGGAAATAACTGCCAATGCTCCTGGGGTTTCTTTTGGGGAGGGGATGAAAATTAGATAGTGATGATTCACAATTCCGAATGTATTAAGAGTCCATGAATTGTACACTTTGAAATGGTGAGTTTTATGGTTTGTACATTGTATCTTCACAAAGCTGTTATCAGAACGTTCAGGCACATCTGGGGATTAAAATTCTGGGCTCTTTTATCACCTTTATAAGGTGCTACGGAAACTAATAATTTTAAAAAGAGTGAACATGGAATAACTTATTTCCTTAAAATTTTCCTCCTCTATTCTTTTTTTCTCTCTTTTTATTTTATTGGTGGAAGCTAGAAATGCTTTTGTGTTGCTGACATCAACATATTTATTGCTTCATCATTTCTGTAGCTATGGATAAGAGAACAGATGGTAACCTTAAAAGAGAAATGTTCAGTTTGGGAGATTTTTATCTTTGGCTGCTACCTTTTGAAATAATTCACATGCATGATCTTCTTGTATATAAAAAACCCCACCAACATAGGGAAAATTTGGGTTTCTAATTAGAATTCCAAACCTACAGGGATCTTTAATGGAGGTGAAATTGTCTTTCCTATGAGATCTTAGGGCCAGATACGTTTCATGAGAAAAAATATGTATGTTTGCTCTTCTTCTTAAAGAACATTTTACCTGCATTTTTAAAACCATTTTCTCCATTTTCCAGGGCTTAGGAACCTTTTATAAAAGCAGTATGTTGTCAGTATTTGTTAAATCTACAAGTAACACTTCAGGTCAACATATGTATTATGTATATTTAATTGCTATTGCAGTCAAGGAAATTGTGGTCATGGGCCATATCCAGTGGTCTACCTAGTAAAATAAAAACTATATTACCATTCCTCTTGGGGTATTGATTTAGAAGAGAAGGCTGGGGTCCACATGTAAACACCCTTAGCATGCTTACCTGGTGGCCTCTGACCTTTCATGCTGTTTTCACATGCGTGTACCACGCCCTCTGCAAAGACAGTCATGTTCTGGAACACTGCTCGCGATGCCTTTGCCCGATGCCCATTGCCAAGGAATGTGTTTATGGTTTGGGATCCAGGGGCTAGTGACTGGCAGGCTCTTGGAAAAAAAAAAAGGTTTTTTCCTCTTTCTCACCTTCTACCTTTACTGCCTGCAGGAAGATCTGCCTGCACTGCAAGTGTCCCCAGGAGGAGCACATGGTGACAGTGATGCCGCTGGAGATGGAGAAGACCATCAGCAAACTCATGTTTGACTTTCAGAGGAACTCGACCTCAGATGATGACTCAGGCTGTGCTTTGGAAGAGTATGCCTGGGTCCCGCCGGGTCTGAAGCCTGAACAGGTACCATTCTGGATGGGAGCATGCTGGTGGTTTGGGTGTTTCACTTTGCCTTACTGGTCCTTCCTCATTCCAGTTCTGTAGGAAGAGTAGACTTTGCTGATTCAGAGAAGTGGTAGGGCTAAATATGTTGAAGATGCCAGGGGCCCCAGTGGAAAATGAGGAAGGGAAATGAAATTGAGCCAGGAGTGATCCATTGCTAATTCATTCTGTATTGTCATTATTAACTGTTACCAGGATTGTCTAGAAACATCTCAGAGGTGTACCACATTTTTCTCAGTGAAATACAGCCTCTTGTATTTCTTGGTACTTCAAATTTTCTCCTCTACCAGCCCCATGTTGTTTAAGAAGCTCTTTTATAAGCTGGGTATTTTCATGATGTTTCCTGTGAGAATCTGAAGTGCCAGAATCTGAAGTGTTTGACCACTGTTGACTTCCTCTGACACATAAAATTTCTTTCTCAGGACATCTTCTCTATGTCCAACAAAAACGTTTTAAAGTTTAAACAGCCCTTGAAATTTTTTTTGTTTTATTTATTTATTTATTTATTTATTTATTTATTTATTTATTTATTTTAGATAGAGTCTCGCTCTGTCGCCCAGGCTGGAGTGCAGTGGCGCGATCTTGGCTCACTGCAAGCTCTGCCTCCCGGGTTCACGCCATTCTCCTGCCTTAGCCTCCCGAGTAGCTGGGACTACAGGCACCCGCCACCACCCCTGGCTAATTTTCTTGTATTTTTAGTAGAGATGGGGTTTCACCATGATAGCCAGGATGGTCTCGATCTCCTGACCTCGTGATCCGTCCGTGTTGGCCTCCCAAAGTGCTGGGATTACAGGCGTGAGCCACCACACCCGGCCATCAGCCCTTGAAATTTTAACTTGGAAACTTTAGGTGTGATAATGCTTTTAGGGAAAATTCTTTTTTTTTTTAACTTTATTTTCAGTTCATGGGTACATGTGCAAGTTTGTCACACAGGTAGACTGGTGTCATGGGAGTTTGTTGTACAGATTATTTCATCACCCAGATATTAAGCCTAGTACCCATTAGTTATTTTTCCTGACCCTCTCCCTCCTCCCAGCCTTCACTCTGTGGTAGGGCCCAGTGTGTGTTGTTCCCCACTATGTGTCCATGTGTTCTCATCATTTAGCTCCCACTGCATGAGAACATGCAGTATTTGGTTTTGTTTCTCCATTAGTTTGCTAAGGGTAATGGCCTCCAACTCTGTGCATGTTCCTCCAAAGGATATGATCTTGTACTTTTTTATGGCTGCATAGTATTCTATTGTGTGTATGAGTCTAATATGTAGACTCTATAAGGAACTCAAACAAATTTACAAGAAAAACCAAACAATCCCATTAAAAAGTGGGCAAAGGTCATGAACAGATACTTAAAGGAACGCTTATACATTGTTGGTGGGAGCGTAAATGAGTTCGGCCATTGTGGAAGACAGTGTGACAATTCCTCAAAGACCTAAAAACGTTAATACCATTTGACCCAGCAATCCCATTACTGGTTACATACCCAAAGGAATATAAATCATTCTATTGTAAAGACACATGCACACGTATGTTCATTGCAGCACTATTCATAATAGTAAAGACATGGCATGAGCCTAAATGCCCATCAATGACAGACCGGATAGAGAAAATTATTTATAATAAAGAAGAACCCAAGAATTCACTCATAACTTAAGAGTAGTGATACTAATATAAACTCATTGATTAGCCATTGCTCATTTTCTTCTAATTTTGAAGTTGCAAATTGGCAGATGAAATCAGGGACACGGTAGGATTTGTTTAGCCAGCAAGGTATTGTTTTAAAATTTAATTAGCTACTAATACTTCAAAATTAGAGATTTTTTCATGTAAAAGTTTATGTCTTGAAATTTTGAAGATCTGGAATCTCATTCCTGTAAGGATATAATTGGTTGGAGTTGAGTGATGGCCATTCCTTTTAGACAAAACAAAACTTGATTATACCGAATCATCCGAGTCTCTACAAAGTCCTTTTTATTCTTTTGTGTTACCTTCCTGAAACCTACAGGCACTTCCGTTTTGTGATCTCTGTTCTAATTCTCACTACAGGGGAGAAAATGTCTTAGAATAGAAACACTCCCAGAAAATAATCTCCATGAGAATTGAAGGCAATTCTCTGTTGGGTTATTAACAGGAAGAAATGAGTGCTTTCTCCCAGTCTGTGAGTTGAGGTTATATCTTCTGTTTTAGTAAAGATTTTATTATTAAATAATTAGTTTAAGAAGAACGAGAGTGTTTGATTGAGTTTGTTTAGACACTCAGAGAGGGTAGTGGCTGACCGCATAACTTTGTTTGACATTGCCATTCTACCACCAGTACTTGAACAGTGTGTTTTCATACCTAGATACACCAGTGAGCTTGTTTCATTTTCTTGCTAACCTTATTTCCAACAACTTCTGCTTTAAGCAGCCCATCTTTCTTTTGTTTACCTGAAGGATGTTGCTTCTTGCTAAATTGGGCTCTGAATTTTCCAAAGTTAAGCTTTTGTCAGTTTCCTGCTTAAATAGAGTTTTCTCTAAGACCATTAAACGTCATTCCCTGAAATGCAGATTCAGAGAAAACGTTCTACTCATATTGACCCAAGAAAAAAGACAATTGCAGAAGCTAGGGTTTTGATTAAATTTATGATTTCAAAAGTGAGTGCTAATGGTATTTTTGGAGGTCCCTTGACTCATCCAAAATGAATGTCTTTGGGAAGCATAAATCTGAAATGTCTTTGATTTGTTTTGAAAGAAAGTCATTAGTGCCATTGAACAAGTGGTTTGAATTATGTCAAATGAAAGGGTAGTCCTATCTCTAATAATTCTGTTGTTCTTTGGATGGTTTTCCCTATTTCCTACACTTACTCAAATCTTTATGACACAGATGATTAGAAAAGGAAATAGCTCTGCAGAGAGAGACAATCTTCTCAAGTTATTTTAAGAATTCTATAGCGCCTAATAAAATATGCATCTATATTAATGGTGTTTGAAGGGGTCATATTGCATGTAAGAAATGGGCTTCAAATTTGTAAATTGGAAGATCTTTTAAAGTCTATTACGTATAGCACTGTTTATGAATTTAAAGGTTTTTTTTTAGAAAGCTGTATAGTATGCTGTAAGAAAAAATTGAGTTCCTAAATGCCGTTCACTAATAAAAATTCTGATGTTTAATATCATATTAGCTGTCTGAGAAAGTCTATTTTTCTATCAAGAGAAATTATAGTGAGTGTAAAAATGCTTTGTCCTGGAGGCAAAAATATTAAAGACCAGTTAGGGTTGAGAGTAATGTACTTTCATTTTTGTTAGAAACCTTTCATTTCACTCCCAGGTCGTAGGTTGGTAATATACCTTCAGGTGATACTCTTTATTATTTTATTTCTCCTGAGAAATGCCTTCAATTGAATATAATGTAAACGAAAGTCCCCTCCCTTTTAGGGAAGTGTTCTCGAATACGGACATTTAATTTCATAAAAATGCACTAGCTGTAAAACCCAGCCTTTTAAAAATAGTGGGAAAATAATAAATATAACAGATGATGCCAGAAAGGAAAGGCATTTATCTTGTGATCTCTAATGACTGAACTGAAAACTGATCAGAGAAGTTGTTCAGATCCTTTGCCTCTGCTCACTCCAAATAAGGGGTTTAATGGTAGCAGAACAGAGGGCTGGAATATGCCCCTAGTTGATCATCTGAAGTCTTTTTTACTTTTTTGTTTATTTTTATTTTTTTAAGAGACAGGGTTTTGCTGCCACCCAGGCTGGAGGGCAGTGGTACGATCATAGCTCACTGCAACCTTGAACTCCTGGGCTCAAGGGAATCCTCTTGTCTCAGTCCTAAGTAGCTGGGACTGCAGGCACATGCTGCCACACCCAGCTAATTTTTGTATTTTTTGTACAGAAGGGGGTCTCACTATGTTGCCCAGGCTGGTCTTGAACTCCTGACCTCAAGCAATGCTCCCAAAGTGCTGAGATTACAGGATGGGCCACCACGCCTGGTCTGAAGACATTCTTAAGGCTTCAATTTCATTTCAAACTCAAACAGTGAATAGTGTATACCGTATCTCTTTGAGGTGCTAGGATGATACATTTACAGTAGATAATATTAAAATAGGAACTTAGAAAATAATTAACAAGCTATAAGAAGGGCAGATGATGAAGAGGATTTCTCAGCCTCAGCACTGTTGACATTTTGGACAGGATAATTCTTTTCTGTGGTGACTGTCCTCTGCATTGTGTAGGATGCTTAGCAGCATCCTTGGCCTCTACCCACTGGATACCAAAAGCACTTCCCATTTGAGGTAACCAAACATGTCTCCAGACGTTACCCAATGTTCCTGGGGAATAGGAGGATCACTGGGTGGAAGTGATGTTAAAAACTGGAGGACATCTCAGCAGAATTCTGGCCCAATCAAGACAAAAAAGGATGACTCAATTTAGCAAACATTTATTGAGCACCTACCATGCTCTAGTTCCAGCTTAGAACAGTTGTTGCCTTGTAATATGGTCGAGTATTCAGCAGAGTGAAAAAGTGGGGATCCCACGTTGCTTGAGCAGATCCCTGAGGCAGATCCTGCCATCTTCACTAAATCAAAATGAGAATTGGAGCTGCATGACCAGCTGGCTGTGGAGGGTCAGCTTTTTGTTCTCTAAACCAAAAAGAACTTTTTCCTCTTTTATAAAAGGGAGACTTGTTCATTAAAAAAGAAAAGAAAAAATGTGAGACATCCAGGAAAGCAAATAAAAATCACTCACAATTCCACCAACCAAGGAAAATTGTGTTTCAACCTTTTTGCCTGTGCATTAGTCTGTTTTCACACTACTGATAAAGACATACCCAAGACTGGACAATTTACAAAGGAAAGAGATTTAACTGGACTTACAGTTCCACATGGCTGGGGAAGTCTCACAGTGATGGCAGAAAGCAAGGAGGAGCAAGTCATGTCTTACATGGACGGCAGCAAGCAAAGAGAGCTTTTGCAGGAAAACTCCTCCTTATAGTAACCATCAGATCTCGTGAGACTTACTATCACGAGGCCATCATGGGAAAGACCTGCCCCAATGATTCAATTACCTCCCACTGGGTACCTCCCACAACACATGGGAATGCAGGATGAGATTTGGGTGGGGACACAGCCAAACCATATCAGCCTGTATATTCAAGTTTCTATGTGTGTAGGAGTATATTTCTGCTTTGATTTGGACAAAAATGTGATGACGCTCTCCACTTATCTTGAGCTGTCTTTTCTAGGCCTTATATTGTGAACATTTTTCTGCATCAGTATATTTCGATCTGGATTATCCTTTGTAATGGTTCGATAGTTTTCTATTGGTAGGTTCTAACCTGGAGTGGTACCACTGCCTCTAGAGGGCATTTGGAAATGTATGTTTGGGAGAGGGCAATTACTGTCTAAATGACTAGGGGACTCCACTAGCCTATGC
Organism: Homo sapiens; assembly: GCF_000001405.40. NCBI lineage: Eukaryota > Metazoa > Chordata > Mammalia > Primates > Hominidae > Homo > Homo sapiens. Next base: position 64,193,332 of record NC_000003.12, on the reverse strand, counting down.
ATGGGTCCTTGAGATGCTAAGCATCCCAAAAAGTACCAGATGATCCTGTGCAAAGGAGAATGGACCCATCTCAAATGCCAAGATACCATCATTGAGCACCATGGAGCTGAGGGTTTAGTTTTGACCACTTGCATTTATTGGCAGCTTTCCTCTATATTACAAGACAGCAGCAGCTAACCTTATGCATTTTATACATGTGCCTGCTCCTTTCCATAAGCGTAATTTCTGGAGGTGTAGTGGTCATGTGTAAGCTTCTCTAAGGTTTTAGATTCATGATGCTACACCACTCTCCAGGAAGATCATAACTGGTATGTCTTGTGGGTGGATAGCTTTCATTGGATGCAAGTGGATTTTATATTAGTTCTCGTCCTTGCTGCTCCATGAAACTCTGAAGAGGCCATCAGATTGTTTCTCCTGAGTGGATGTCTTTTTCATTGATGTTTTGGATGCTCCCAAGTGTTCATGGAGGGTACTTAAATATGAATATCTCCAAAGGTTAGTAATTTTACCTTGACCATAACTATGTTTTAGCACAGAATAAGTTGCAATTAGATTCATCATCCAGAACACTCAACTCTCACTTCAAACTGTCGCAGGAAGGATGAAGGGTAGATACCAAGTGTGACTGCCTAGTTTTTGGCTTTCCAAAGCATTGTCTCATAAGTGGTAAAATAGAACATCCAGTACTACCCAGAGACAGGGGTGAATTAGTTGGATTTGAGCCTTGTAAAGCTGTAAAATATCTCTTTTGGGAGTGTATAAAATTCTTTATTTGGCTTTTATTTTAGTGACTATTACTCATCCATCAGGTGTCAGATTAAATGTATCTCCTCAAAGAACTACTTTGGCTGGCCCCTAATACAAGATTAGGTCCTCAGTTACATGCTTTGTAGCAAACCCTGCAATTTTTGTTATTAACACTTATAAAACTTGTAATTAGATACTTATTGGTATAATTATTTATTTAATGTTTGGCTTCCCTACTTTCCTTTAAGGCCCAGGAGGGCAGGAATCTTGCATGCTTTCTTGTTTCGGAATCCTCCCAGCACCTAGCATAGTGCCTGACACATGGCCAGCACCCAGCAAACATCTGTTAAGAGATAGGCCAACGGCAGGGGTCCTCTGTAGAACCAGAAATGTTCAGGTCGCATCACACTGAAGAGATAAAAGCCTTTGGCATTATTTTCGACATAAAGGGTTATTCCATATCAATTATTTCTGTTCCCTCGGCTGCTCCTAAAGATTTGTATTCTAAGCAGATTCCCCTGAACATCCCAATTGCTTCAGAGTTTGCTTAGGTTGCAAAAGGCCAGAGAGGGTGACATCTTGCCAACGGCTGCATTTAGCAAACCTGAGGCAGCTCCACCAGCTCCAAGTCTCTGGGTCTGGAGCAGGGTGGGAGGAGCAGTGGGTCTGGCAGAAGCCCACTGTGTATCCAAACCCAGGCACCATTTATGTCCCCATCCGAATCTCGGGAGCCCAGTGGGAGCCATGGCATGAGGAGGAAACAGCCTGGTCCAGTGGGAAGAGCCTTGCTTCCGGAATCAGGCAAATCTCTCTACTACTCCACTACTTTCTGACCACAGTAAAGTTGTTAAATCTCTGGGACCCTCAGTTTCCTCTTGATGAAGATGACAATGATGATGGAAAAGTAATTAAACTCTCATTGAACACTTGCTATGGACCCACCATCCTTTTAAACACTTTGCATGCATTGTCTCATTTAATACTCAACCAACATTATTTAGTAATTACTCTTCCTGTCTTCACCGTAGGGTGAGTAAAGCAAGGCTCAGAGGAGTTAAATAACTTGCCCAAGATCACACAGCTAATGAGTAGCAGAGACAGATATAATCTCAGACAACCTGACTTTGGAGCCGGTACTATTAGACCTGGAGATCACAGGGCTGATCTGGCCATGGATGAGAGAGTGCTTATAATGCTCCTGGCCCTCTGTCTGCACGTAGAAGTTGCTCAATAAGTCAGTTGTTTCCTTCCCATCTTTCTTGTGAAATAGTAGTATGTGACTAACTAATTACTATTGCCCTGAGTCAGCTCAAAGAGGAGCAGAAGGAACGTTTGGCTTCCGGGAAAGAGGGAGGTTACGTGGAGATGGAGAAGGCGGATTAAGCATAGGGTTTGTAGCAATCCTAGAGTCCTTCTCAGCCTTCTCAAAAGGTTTTCATAAGGTAATTTTGAATTCTGCCAATATGGGAACCTTTCTGTTTCCCAGGCCTTCTGCTGTGGGATTGTTATAAAGATACAAGTTCGTCCCAGTGGAGTTCTCTGGCTCTGTGGAGCCTGTGGAAGTTATTCAGGGCCCCAGATGGAGCCTCTTGATTCTGAATCCTCTAATGCCCCAAGCAGGCTTTGGGATTATCTGCTGAAGTACTGAGCTCTGCCACCCACCTTCCTTGGTGCCTGAGATCTCCTGCAGCCTCACAGTCCTCAGACCTGGGAGGAATGAGTCCTTGGGGAATTTTCTGTAGGCTTCTCAGAGTGCAAAGGGAGTCTTCCCACAAAGAATATTCTACACATCTCTCTTAGGGGATCAACAGGTCAGCAGAGGCTCCTTGATTTGGCCTCTCTGCCAGTTGGAACCTTGTTAGTACCTGTCTGTAATGGTTTGGCTATGGGCTTCTTGGCAGCATTCCACTTGATTTTCCCCATGAGAGTCCAAGGAATAAATCAGAGAGCATGCTAGAAAATTGGGTGAAAAGGAAATGGCCATTGGGCTTTTTCTGTTCACTCATTCACCTATTTAAGGATATTTATTTTATACCTACTATGTGTCAGGCAGTGTTCTGGGCGCTGGGGACAAAACAGTAAACAAGAGACTTAAGGTTTCTACTGCACTGTAGTTATGTGAAGAGTAAAGACAAATAATTAGAAAACAAATAAGTAAGATAATTTCAGGTTGTGATTTTTTTTAAAAAAACATAGTGATGTTAAGAATAGGATTGTAAATATTTAGAAAACTCTTACATGTGTCAGATATTTTCCTGGGTGCTTTACAAGTTGCTTCTCACTTAATGTATCCTATAAAAACAAAACAAAACAAAACAAAAAAACAGCTTCAGAGATCATTGATGTGGAGCAGGGTGCTGGGGGGATTGGCTAATTTAGCCCGATGGGTCAGGTCCGGCGTCTCTGGGGAGGCAGTATTTGAGCTGTTACTGAAGAAGCCTACTATGCAGAGATCTCATTTGTTACAGAAGTTAACGTATTCATTTGAGTGAAACTCAGAAGTGAAATAAAATCAGTACCAACTTTGTGCACAAAGAATTTGGGGAGAGTGTTGGCAGACTGGGGAGACACGAATGGAGCCCATGCAGTGCTCGGTGCTTGCCAAGACATCCCTGGACATGAAGGCAGGACAGTCCAACTACCTTGCTTGCCCCTGGAAAATTGGAGGCACTTAATCATCCATCCCCTTGATGTTTCTGCCCCAGGTGCACATAGGGCAACAGAGAGCCCCCATTTGACTACAGAGGTGACATCTTCCATATGTTAAATTCATAGCTAGTACTCTACTTACATTTATTTATGTCCATACTACCTTCCAAAATGTGAGTCTGTTAGAGACGGACATTGTCTTATTCACCACTCTATGCTCAGTACCAAAAATAATGCTGGGCACATGCTAGCCATTTAATAAACAGGGTTTGCGTGAATAAACAGTCCCATTTAATCCTTGGTACAAAATCTTCTATTTCTCCATTGAAATCATTGAGGCTCACAGGATCAGAAACTTGACCAAGATGCCGCAGTCAGCGAGGGACAAAGACAGCACTTGAACCAGCCATTTGTCTGACTCTAGTGCCCGTGTGGGCTTTTCCTCCTCCACCCCTTCCTCATGCACAGTGAAGAGCATGCACATTGCTCCACTCAGGGAATCAGATCCAAGAAAGCAGACTTGGTGTGAGTTGGAGGAGGGGAACAGCATGAGTCACACAGTCTCTTTCATTCTTAGGGATGGGAAATTTCTCCTAATCTGAGGTTGACCTTAGTGACTAAGGAATTCATCTTTTCCCCACCTCCAGTTTCCCCACCACTGCAGGAAGCAGCATGGCCCTGCTTCAAAGATTTGTTTCCCTATCGACAATCTCTGTTTATCCTTATCTCTTCTCACTCTCTTACCCTGGCTTTACTGTACTTCCTCCAGGGGCTCTCATGTTACTGGTACAGACAGCGTCACGTACCTGGGCACTCAATAGTGACATTCATTCAGCAAATATTTTTTGAGTGCCAACTATATGGCAAGTACTTTCCTAGGCACTAGGGGACAGCTGTGAATAGAAAAGCAAGTACTTCTGCCTTTGTGGAGCTGACAGTTTAGTGAAGGATGCAGACAACTTAATAGCTGAATAACAAGACACATTCAGAGACCGACGTCTATTAACAAAGCAATAAGAAAGGGTGATATGATCTGGAGCAAGGAGTTGACAGGCTTTGTCTGTAAAGATCTAGATAGTAAATATAGGCTTCATGGATTGTACAGTCTCAGTGGCAAATACCCAACTCTGATGTTGTAATGTGAAAGCAGGCATTGGACAATAGGTGAACAAATGGGCATGGTCATGTGACAATAAAACTTTACTTACAAAAACAGGAAGGGGGCCTGATTTGAAACACAGACCCCTGATTTAGAGAATCTATCTACTTTATATTGGATGGCTAAGAGAAGCCTCTCTGCAGAAGTGACATTTGAGCTGGGACTTTACATGGAATGATGGCTTGATTACCCAGATTTGGTCTGCCTCGTCCCGTGGTTTTCAAAACGAGGTTCCCATACCAGTAGCACTAGTATCACCTGGGAACTTGTTAAATGTAGACTCTTGGGACTTGCCCCAGACCAAATAAACCAGAACTCTGAAGATGGAGCCCAACAATCTGTTTCAACAAAGCTTTTAGGTGTTTCTCATGCATGACAAAGCTTGAGAGCCATTACTGTTGGCTAATGGAAAAGCCACATTGCTAGGAATAGATGAGGCCACATCTAGACTCCATCACTTAACTCTGTAACCTTGGGCATCTCAAGCATCAGTTTTCTTAGCTGTAACACGGGGATGCTTCTGCCCAAGTCTAAAGTAGCTAACAGAGAAGAAGTGAATTCATCTTTGTAAGGATCCTAGGACAAAGCAGACACCAAATAGGTCCTCAGCAAATGGTAGCTGCTGTCCTCATCAGAATCATTATTTGAATCTCCAAGACACTGAAGCAGATTTGCGTGCAGATACGGATGAAGGGTGTGCCCCAGAAGCTACCCAATCCCATTCCTGTCTTTTTGCCTTTGACTGGCATGCCCTGGATATCACCCAAATACAAGGCTGATTGTTAAAGGAAAACTCAAGATGCTTTTAAAAGTCTTTCATTGGCCCTGTTTCTTCAGCTCCCTTTCTGGCCTGTTAACCTAGAGCATGCGCTGATACCTTTTACTGCAGGACCGTGAATTATACAGCTGTGACTCACCACCACCCGGCTGGGGCCACAGTGCCAGGCGTCCAGCTTTACCGTTAGCTTTCAGGCTACTGACAGTTTGCTCTTTTATGTGAGAAGCTATTTATACCAGGAGGGACAAAGGCTGGCAGATGCTGGGGGAAGGGAGAGAAGAATGATAAAATGGTTCATCTCCCAAGGTCTGCTGGGTGGTTTTGGCTTATAGGAAAGGAATGCACAATCTAATAGCCCTTCTAAAACCCCCATAAAAACCATCATTAGACTCACCAGCCATTTGCAGAGTGTTGTCTTTATTTCATTACTCCATCAGCACATGCTGAGATCAAAATGGAATTTCATGGTACAGGGAGATGCATGTCTCTCCAACTGAATTGGATTAAATTCCCCCTAAGCTGCATCTCCTAGTTAGCCTTCACTGTCACTCACCTCGGTGTTTTCAATGCAGTTTGAGAGATGAGTTGGGAAGGGAGGGAAGAAGGGGGCAGGGCAGGAGGAGGCTTCAGAGCAGTCCACCTCACTCTTCTTGGGAAGCTAGTCACATGAACAATGCTGTATTTATCTTGGCTCCAGAAATACACTGATGTCATCAGATGGCAATGGGAAATATGCCTGTGTGTGCAGCTTTCACTAAAACTGCCTGTTAATAAACTTGTTTTCAACGGAGCTGTCAGAGTTGGGACTAGAACCTGGGTTCCCAGGCTTCAGGGCCTCTGCCAGATGAAGTCAGCAGCAACACGGCCAGATTCCACCAGCAGGGACTTGTCAAGGCTTGCGTGCAGATTATGAGGCCTAGAAAGGCCAAGGCTCATTTGCAAATGCAGGATGAGAGACCTGCCATTGGAGTTCTAGCTTTCAAGACAGGTATCTCCAACCTTTACAGTAAATTCACTCTGGGGTCCTAAAGTTTGGGACTTGGCCTCTTACTTAGACTTCCTGCATAAATTCACAGCTGCACACCCTTTCTGCTGACTGGGCAGTCTACACTGTAGCCTGGTGTGAGAGTTAATGTAGTATCAAGATGATCTCCTCTGCCTTATGACGCAGGAGATATTTTGAGTAATTTCATGGGATGATTGGATTAATCCACCACCAAATCAGCAAGTAACTAACTTCCTTCCTCAATCTATTTATCTGCCTGTGCCTTCCTTTATGCATTTATTTGTGCATTCAGCCATTTATTCGTTCAACAGTTGTTTATTAAGTACCCATATGTGCAAGCTGTTAGTATAGGTGTGATTTCAATATGGCAGTTTTCCAGGTCCAATCAAAAACTGGAGCTTTCCAACACCAGTCTTTATATGTTGCTTTAGGTGGCCTGGAGCCATACAAAGGTAGATGTAGAAAGTGTCTCATGGAAGACCCATGCAGACATCAGGCTTTGTGCTGGCCTCCGATAACTTCTGTCTTTTGAGTAACTATCCTTCTGGGCTCATAAGTGTTTGAGAGTCTAAGCTTCGATGATAACTAGCTCTGTGTTCAAATTTTAGCTGTGCTGCTTTCCAACATTGGCCAAGTTAATTCACCTCCCCAAACTTTCATCTCATCTTCTGAAAAACAAGGATGTCAGTACTTAACTACAGCATAGTTGTGAAAATTAAATGAAACAATGTTTTAAACATTTGGGGTTTTTAAAGTGGCTGCTCTTAGTTTTCTTTTCCATAGTCAAAAATTGGAAATAACTCAAAAGTCTATCCACAGGTACATGGATAAACATATTGTATTATATCTATATAGTATACTACTACTTCACAATAAAAGTGAATGAACTGTTGATCTATGCAAAGTGAATCAGAGTCTGAGAATCATTATTCCAAATGAAAGAAGCCAGGCAAAATAGTACACACTATGTGATTTCATTTATATAAAACTCTAGAAAATGCAAACTAATCTGTAGTGACAGAAAGCAGATCAATGGTTACTTGGGGATGGGGAAATGAGAGGGAGGAACGACAAAAGGATTGACAAGAGTTCTGGGGGTGATAGGTACATTTGCTATCTTGATTATGTTGATGCTTTCATGGGTACATACATATGTTGGAACTTACCAAATTGTATACTTGCATGTGATTTATTATATGTTGATACCTCGATAAAGTGATGGAATAAATGAATGAATGAAGTTACTCTTTAGCAAACAGGAAGGCAAGCTTCCTCCCATGCCAATGGTGGAGGCTTCCTAAGGTTTCATCAATTGCCTCAGGGAGTAGCTAAGTCTTTTGCCAAGCTTTTGTCAGAAAGAACTGCTCAGTATTAATCATGCACAATGAAAAGGAGATTTGGGGTAGAAACTCATCAACATCCAGATGGATGGCACAAGAAAATGAGTTCCACAGACTGGCTCATTTCATAATCTCTAAGCTCCCAAGGACAGTGCCTAACACGTAGTTGGCACTCAGTAAACAGTGGTGGTAGTTGTTATTGCTATGGCAATTATTAGAGTGGTACAAAAGTAATTGCTGTTTTTGCCATTACTTTTATCAGATAATCTAGCTTGGGGACTGACTTTTTCTAATTCTTAGTTGGGAGGCTGTCTTTTCCTAACTTACTGAAAGATACCAAAAATTCTAGCAGCAATCTAGGGGGGGTCTGTAAACATTAACTTCCCTACAATCCTGGGGTCCTGAGAAACCTTTCTGACTCTTGCCAAAGGGTGTTAGGAAAAAAGAGGTGGTGTCTCCATCCTCACTGGATCCAGTGTTTGGTGAGAAGGTAATAATTTCCTCAGGGTTGATGATCAAAATTGTGAACACTTAATCTCTGTATGTTCCCAAGGACAATATCTAACATGTAGGCCCTAACATTTGGGCTTGTATTATAGTCTCCTTTCTCTTCCATCATTATGTAAGTTATTGCAAGAATCATAGCCTTAGAGAGGCAACCAGGGAAAAAAGCTGCAGTGCCAACCAACTAAGTTTGCCAACCACTTGGCAATTCTACGTGTGTTGAGAGAGAAGGTCAAATGACATGGATAAATTTGAGGTTGGGCTTGAACATAGTTGTGAAACATCCATCTTCTTTTGTGCCCCATTGCTGTGTGGATAGTCAAGAATTCATCTGGATGGTGAATATGCCATGAGAAACAGCTCTTCTGGCCTGGAACAGTGACTCATACCTGTAATCCAAGCTACTTGGAGCCTGAGACAGGAGGATCGCTTGAATGATGGCTTGAGTCTAGGAGTTTGAAACCAGCCTGGGCAGCATAGCGAGATTCCATCTCAAATTTTTTTTTTTAAATCAGTCAGTCATTGGTGTGGGCCTGTAGCCCCAGCCATTCAGGAGGCTGAAGCTGGCAGATTGCTTGAGCTCAGGAGTTCAAGGCTGCAGTGAGCTATAATAGCACCATTGCATTACAGCTGGGTGACAGAGCAAGGCCCTGTGTCTTAAAAAAAATAAAATTAAAATAACTAAACATAACTAAAAGAAACAGCTCTGCTGAAATATGATCAGTGGGACCATTTTCTGTGGTCTTTCTCAAGCACAGTAATTAAGAGCCATGGCTGTGGTATCAGACGCAGCTGGGACCTGATCCAGTTCTGCCACTGTCCAGCTATATTTATGATTGGAGCAAGTTGTTTTACCTTGTTGAGGTCATTCTTTCTCATCTATAAAATGAAGACAGTAATGTTTCCTGCCTTATAGAGCACTTAATCAGTACCTGGCATTTCAAGAAATGTATATCTTTCCAGACTAGAATGGCCAATTGTTTTGAAAACACTTTTCTTGGTAAGGCCTATCTGGGGAAACAAGACTGAGATCTAAGTCTGAAGTTCTTGTCCATAGATGTTGGGGGCAAGAATTAAAGCATTCTAAGATATAAGCAAAACAAGACAGAACAGAAATTCTTAAGCCCAAACCTTGGATTTAATATTTAAGAAAACAGTCTCAGAGAACGTACATGACTTGCTCATTGTCGCATAGGGCCAGTGCTTAGGGAGCAGTTAATATACCACTCTTCCCCTACGACATCAGGGTAAATACCCAGGGAATGTAGACTGGGAAGATACACAGAAAAGAGAGCATTCAAGTGCAGAAAAAGTCATGGATCAGAAAAGTTTGTTTTCAGGCAGTGATCAAGTGGCCTTGACCAAGTTTCTTTGCATCTTCTAGCTTCTATTTCCCATTTGGATTGTAAAGATGTGAAATATTTTCTTTCCATTATAAAGTAAAAATAAACATGGCAATGTTTCCAAATTGTTAGAAGAAAGATGATGATAGAGTTCATGAACAGTAATTACTATTGCTGTGATATACTCTATAGCTTTCATAATTTTTGCCTTTTTGGTCTATCAATGCCGAATGAAGGCAACTTAAAATCTTTCTCTGTAATTATAGATTTGTTTTTCCTTAGATTTCTGTTTTTGCTTTATGCATTTGAGGCTATGTTTTTAGGTGCCCACAAGTTATAGTATATAATATATAATATAACCTATGGTTATACTATAGTTTTGATAGATTATTCTTTTGTAACATTCCTTATAAATATATGTGTTATTTTGTTTATTTGAACATAAAATAACTTTTAAAATTTTATGAACAGCTACATAATATTTTTCAGGAATAGAAGTAGTGAACTGGTGGCCATTATAAAACGGGTCAATAAATTGTATCACTAATAATTTTGAAATGACCAAGGATCTATTAATTGTAACATCCCTTTATATCTTGCCTAATTGTATTTGTTCAAATTCTGGTTTCTATAATACTAACATTGCATACTAGCTTTCTTTTGGTGAGTAATTGCAAGACTATGCTTTTCCATTCTTTTATTTTAAGCCTTTTCTTATGGTTTTAAGTGGGACTCTGCAAGCAGCACATGATAGATATTGCATTCCTATTATTCCAAACTGATAATCCATCTTTTAATTGATGGGTATAATACATTTAAATTTATTATAATAACTTATATAATCATTCCTACCACTTTATTTTCTATTTGCTATCTTTTTTCCTCTGCTTTTTTCTGTTTTCTTGTGTTCTATTTTTTTTAATGAAGCCTTCCCAGTTTTCTTCATTTTCCTTTGCTTGGTGGAAAGATACAGAATATATTTATATTCTTAGAGTGGTTATTCGCCATTTCTTAACATCCAGCCACACTGGATCCTTGTCTTAGTCTGTTAGCCACTTGTCTTAGTCTGTTTTGTGCTGCTATAACAGAATACCTGAGACAGTGTAATTTATAAAGACCAGAAATTTATTCTCTCACAATTCCAGAGGCTGAAATGTTCAGGATCAAGGCACCAGCATCTGGTGAGGGCTTTCTTGCTGCATCCTCAGGTGGTGAAAGGCCAAAGGGCAAAAGAGGGAATGTGTCCCCACATGGCAGAAGAACAGAAGAGATGAACCCACTCCAGCAAGTCCTTTTTTTTTTTTTTCTTTCTGAGACAAGGTTTCATTCTGTCACCTAGGCCAGAGTGCAGTGGTGCAATTATAGGTCACTGCAGCTTCAACCTCCCTGCACTCAGATGATCCTCCATCCTCCCACCTCAGCCTCCCAGGTAACTGGGACTGTAGATGCGCACAACCACTCCCAGCTACTTTTTGTATTTTTTGTAGAGACAGGGTTTCACCTTGTTGCCCAGGCTGGTCTCTAACACCCGGACTCAAAGGATCTTCCACCTTGTCCTCCCAGAGTGCTGAGATTACAGGTGTGAGTGACCACAACCACGCCTGGCCACAAGCCCTCTTTATGTCAGCATTAATCTATTCCAAGCAACTTCCAAAAGGTCCCATCTCCCAACACTGTTGCATTGGGGAATAAGTTTCCAACACATGAATTTGGGGGTACAAATTCAGACCATAGGGCCACTCTTCAAGAACTCCAAGCTTCCTCCCACCTCATGCCTTTGCACTTGCTGTGCTTTCCTCCCTCTATCACTTTTAACAAAGCTCCAGTTATTCAGCATTTTTGTCTTCCTTCTTAATAGTGATCTTCTGTGACACACGTTTTAATGCCACATCTTAGATTACCCATGAAAGATTTTTCTTCCCGCCTTGAGTAGCCTGCATCTCAATATACTTCTGAATCAATTCACCAGACCTTGGGTTCATATTCACTCAAGCCAAAGTAAGATATAATTTTGGGTAGTTTCTCTTTAAAACAAAATCATATGAATACTAAGAATTTTAAGATCATTTTATGTCTGTTATTTTTCACACATCTTTGCTCCCTTCACTTAACACATTAACAACGGATTCTGAAACTCCCATTTTCAAAGGTTACTTCCTAAACATGTGGTAGAAAAGTTAAGATTGTTTTTTTTTCTTTTCAATCCATTTTCTGCCTAGTTTCCGAAAGGATCTGGAAGAGCTGTCAGTAGAATAACTAAAACAAGGGGAAAGCATGCTATAGGCAACAAAGAGAAAGGACATAATTATAATAGATAACCAAAACTAAAGGGCACTAGTAGAGTAAGGCAATGTTGTTGGCTAACCACCTAACAGTATCTCCAGTTTTGGATGAAGACTGTGATAGCAAGAGGATGAGCGTTGTTTTAGTCTGGATGTTGGGACTGTCAGGATGCGGAAGGATGCCTGCCAGAACTGCTTTTTTGGGTCTGAGCCTCATTGATGCTGAGTGCTTGTCTCTCACAATTGTTGGCTAACACCTTTTGTTGCTTCTCATGCCACTCCTAGAGCAATCAGAAGACTCTGTCGTGAGCCAGGAAGAGGTACTGTATAAACGGAATTCTATAATCTGTAAAATATAACAAAGTGAATGGCCTGAGACTAATAATTCAGAAGCTATAACTTGCCCAATTATCAGTGGTGATTTATTTCCTAGGTCTTCTCAATGAAAATGCTACACACGAATGAGTTGCCAGATCATTTCATTTGTTATAGATTCTGATTGCTGGGGCCAGCATCTTCCCTGTGATCCTTGATTGTCTTATTAAAAACAGAAGGAAAGTTGCTTATGAAAGGACTTAAATGTAAGTGTAGACACACTGTCTGACTCATTTTCTCCCCATTGATTTTCACCATAATTTCAGAGAATTTACCACAGAAAAACATTTGTTCCCAACACGTAATAAAAATCACTCTCAGCTGGGCGGTGGCTCACACCTGTAATCCTGGTACCTTGGGAGGCCAAGATGGGTGGATCACGTGAGGTCAGGAGTTTGAGACCAGCCTGGCCAACATGGTGAAACCCCGTCTCTACTAAAAACACAAAAATTAGCCGGATGTGGTGGCACATGCCTGTAATCCCAGCTACTCAGGAGGCTGAGGCAGGAGAATTGCTTGGACCCAGGAGGTGGAGGTTGCAGTGAGCAGAGATAGTGCTACTGCACTCCAGCCTAGGTGACAGAGTGAGACTTTATTAAAAAAAAAAATCATTCTCAAATTGTCAAATTTGTAGATACTGAAAGGAAAATGGTGGCTTCCAAGGGCTGAAGGGGAGGAGAATGGGAAGTGAGTGGTTAATGAGTACAGAGTTTCAGTATGGGAAGATAAAAGAAGTTCTGGAGAAGGATCGTGGTAGCAGTTGCACAACTATGTGAATGTATTTAATGCTGCTGAAAAGTGGTAAAAATGCTAAATTTTATATTCTGTATATTTTACCGCAAAATAAATAAACACATACATACATAGATAACTCTCAGGAATTGGAGCAGTCCCTTCAAGGACCACATGGTCTTTGTTGAGGATGAACCTGGGCACATTAACTTCTCTTGCACAGACCAAAGGGGAAACAAATTCACCAAGCCTGAGTTAGTTCCCATAATCCTCATTATATAACATACGCACATAACATTCAAAGTATGCACATTACTCAATAATGCAGTTGATTTCTACCTTCTTTGGAGTTCAAACTGATCCATGTGGCTTTCATGATTAAGCAGCCACTCTGGCCTGTTTAGTATTTAAGGTTTTAGCAGGAATTGCAAGCTTGAAGAATGAACTGTGACTACACTGCTCATTGATTCATCAAATACATAGGACAGAGTGTAATCCTTTGACTAGTTTTGGGAGACAGTGGGGTGGAATGGATAGAGAATGAGCTTTGAAGTCAGACCTAAATTTAAATCCTGGCTCAGCCCTTTACTCCTTGGTGATCAAATGGTTTATAATTTTGTTGATCCCCATTTTTCATGATTCTGTATTTGCAAATGTGCCCACTTGCCAAAATTTATTTGTAACCCCAAAATCAATACTTGCGGCAGCACTTTCATGGTCATTTGCAGACTTTACTTGTACCCTGAAAATCAATATTTGCAGCACTCTCGTGGTCATTAACAGGCATACACTGAGGGATAAAAAATTTGAATTGCCTAATGCATACATGGCCAGCTGAGGTAGAACAGCTAATTCTATGCTTTCTTATTCCAGCTCACAGACTGAATAAACAAGTGGTCTATTTAGGGCCACTTTTTTGCATCCTATGCTTTTTGTTGGTGATTTCACTGTTTAAAATAGCCCCAAGCATAGTGAAGTGCCATCTAGTGTTTCTAAAAGCAAGAAGGCTGTGATGTGCTTTATGGAGAAAATACGTATGTTAGGCCAGGCACGGTGGCTCACACTTGTAATCCCAGAACTTTGGGAGGCTGAGGCAGGCGGATCACCTGAGGTAGTGAGTTCGAGTCCAGCCTGACCAACATGGAGAAACCCCATCTCTACTAAAAATACGAAATTAGCCAGGCATGGTGGTACATGCCTATAATCCCAGCTACTCTGGAGGCTGAGGCAGGAGAATCACTTGAACCCAGGAGGTGGAGGTTGTGGTGAGCCGAGATCGTGCCATTGCATTCCAGCCTGGATGACAAGAGCGAAACTCAGTCTGAAAGAAAGAGACAGAGAGAGAGAGAAAAGAAAAAGAAGAAAGAAAGAAGGAAAGAAAAGAAAGAAAGAAAGAAAGAAAGAAAGAAAGAAAGAAAGAAAGAAAGAAAGAAAGAAAGAAAGAAAGAAAGAAAATATGTATGTTAGATAATCTTCAGTCAGGCATGAGTTATAGTGCTGTTGGGCATGAGTTATAGTGCTGTTGGCCATAAGTTAAATGTTAATGAATCAACAATACATATTAAGTAAGTTGCCCTTAAAAAGAAACACACATGAAACAAGGTTATGGATTAATGGGTTAACGAAAATGTTGGGACCAGAGGCTCACAGGAACCTAACCCCATATTTCTCCTAGGAGGAATGTTTAGTATTCAGAAATTCAGTGTTTGCTGTGATTTTATAGCACATAACTGCCATGAATAAAGAGAATCACTTGTGTTTACCTTTGCAAAATGTAATATCCTGTTTACATAGTACTCTCTTCTTTCCCTGCTGTGGCAGGGATTATGGCTATTTACAAATGGTTGGTTCCTTCTTCTTCCAGGCACAAAGGGGGAATGTACTTTCTCAGTCCGTTTAAAGTTAGGCATGTCCATGAGACTTGCTTTCACCAATGAAACCTGAACAGAAGTCACATGTATCATATCCAGGAAAAAAGCTTTTCACTGCCAGTGTTCAGCTCCAACCATCCTTTTCTCTGCTGCCATCCTCATGGAGGCATATCTCCATATGGAGCCCCCATCACCTGGGTCTCTGCCTACCTATAGGAGGATACAGTGTGAGACAGAAATAAAATCATGGTATAGATAAGGGTTTAAGATACAGAATATATACGGTTCAACAAGAAGACAACTCAGTTAAAAGATGACTGAAGGACTTCAATCAACATCTCTCCAAAGACAATATACGGTCGGCTGATAAGCACATGAAAAGATGTCCAACATCATTAGTCATTAATATAATGCAAATCAAAACCACAATGAGATACTGCTTCAGACCTACTAAGATGGTTATAATTTTAAAAACTGGAAAATAAATGTTGGTAAGGATGTGGAGAAACTGGAATTTCTGTGCATTGCTGGTGACAATGTAAAATGGTGCAGCCACTTTGGAGCACTGTTTGGCAGTTTCTCTAAAAGCTAAACAGAATTACCATATCATCCAGTAATTCCACTCCTAGGTATATATGCAACATAATTGAAAGCAGAGATTCAAACATAATTGTACGCCAACATTCACTGAAGCATTATCCACAGTAGTGAAAAGGTAAAAACAACCCAAATTCCGTCAACAGATAAAAATGGATAAACAAAATGTGGTATATACATGCAGTGAAATAATAGCCACAAGCAAAGTCCTGACACATGCTACAACAGAAATTAGCCTTGGAAACATATTAGGTGAAATAAGCAGACACAAAGGACGAATATTGCATGATTCCACTTATATGAAGTATCTAGACTAGGCAGACTCATAGAGACAGACAGTAAATTAGAGGTTACCAGGGGCTGAGGGGAGGAGAAATGGGGAATTATTATTTATTTGGTGTAGAGTTTCTGTTTAACATGATGAAAAAGTTTTGTGACGAGATAGTGGTGATGATTGCATGATATTGTGAATGTACCCAGTGCCACTGAATTGTACACTTAAAAATGGTTAAAATGAGGCCAGGCATGGTGGCTCACGTCTATAATCCCAGCACTTTGGGAGGCTGAGGCAAGTGGATCGAGGTCAGGAGTTCGAGACCAGCCTGGCCAACATGGTGAGACCCTGTCTCTATTAAAAATACAAAAAACTAGCCGGGTGTGGTGGTGAGTGCCTGTAATCCCAGCTACTCGGGAGGCTGAGGCAGGAGAATCACTTGAACCCGGGAGACGGAGGTTGCAGTGAGCCGAGATCACGCCATTGCATTCCAGCCTGGGCAACAAGAGTGAAACTCTGTCTCAAAAAAAAAAAAAAAAAAAAAAAAAAAGGTTAAAATGGCAAATCTTGTAATGTGTATACCACAATAAAAAATTTTAATTAAAAAACACTGCAGTACAAAACTAGTGATATTTTGGTGGTGTTTGAGATATTGTGTCATACTCTAGCTCATCCAAACCAAACCTTCTTTCCTGTCTGTTTCTCTAAAGTGGCATAATATAGGCCCTTTAGGGTTTTATGGCTATACGCAAACTATAACCCGCAGGCCAAGATATTACCTTCACTGATCTTTTGGCGTTTTGGAACTGGAAAGACTGAATTCTCACAATTGTTTTTATGATTCATTTGAAACTTAGTGGGCAAGGCAAGTTACTCAGGCTGAAAGTAGCCGTGGTAGTCAGAAATACATCCTTTGTAATGTATAAGTGAGTTCCTTCATTTTCATATTTTCTGGTCACTTCTCAATCATGTATTTAATGTGCAGAAATGAAACTGCCTTAAATGAACTGACTTGAAACAAAGGTTACCTGTATTCTAAAATGTGTTTCCAACAATGTCCTGTGATCAGTAAGCTCCAGTCTCTTGCAAAAAGAATTCTTTCTTTGGATTATAGCATGTGTCATTATGAATCACTTTGGACACTTGAAAACTTGAATTGGTCCTAGAATTTCCTTCTGTCTTTGCTTTCTAAACTTTATTCAAACTGGCTTTGCATAACCCTGTGAAACTAATAGTAATAGAGGAGGGTAATGGACTAATTATGTCATATGTGAAGTGCAGAATCAAAAACAATGATTTAAAATGCACAGAAAAGATACCATGTAGGACACTCCTAAGGACTCCACATAAGAAAGAGATAACTCAAAATTCAGATATTCTTTGGAGACAGATTGCTAGGTGTCACCCAGTTTTAGCATCTCCTCCTTTCCTAATAACGGAACCTGATTGTATTCTGGGCAGCAGTATGCCCTACTAAGGACCCTGTTTCCTAGCTTCCCTTGCAGCTAGTCCTATTCAAGGAATTATAAATAGGAGGTTAGTACTTCTAGTAAAACTCTTTAAATGTTGTTGATCCATCTGCCTCTTACCCTTACCCACCTTCTTACCTCGAACGTGAATGTGATGGTTGAGACTCCAGTAGCCATTTTGCAGTTTTGAGCATAGATGTCACTAACACATGGATGATGGGTACAGAAAGACAGGAAGAGCCTAGGTGCTTCATGGTTTTTATAAAATGCCAAACCAGTCCTAGGCCACTATTCTCGGGTCATGATTACTAGCAGCCCAAAGCAATTATAATTTCTAGTTTTGTTGTTATTTTTAATAATAATAAAACTAATCTGACAATTATGTACAGCCTTATAGTTCACAGTGTATTTTCATTCTTTTGTCACTTTATTTTAAAATATGTTTATTTTTATTACATTTTATATTGAACACCAGCAAAGAAAATAATTGTAATAATTTCAAAATGCAATACCTGGATTCAATAAATATCCTGTATAATCAATTATACCAGTCAATATCTAGAAATGCATGTAGATGTAATGAACAAAATGACTAAACTATAAATCTAAGGGAACTTAAAGCTTTGATCTTTGTTAACTTAAAACAATTCAGTTTCATATGAAGAAATTCAAGAAGAAAATTTCGGGACCCTTGATCAGAAGCTTGCAATGCTTGTTGTACTACTTTGGTGTAGACAAATATTCAAATAAGGCCAAGAAAGAAGAGTGTTTCCACTGAAGACACGATCTAAGAAGTAGGTGAACTAGTGTTCTGTAGAAACTAACTAGCTAGCCATCAAGATATTTCCACTAAAGACTCCTTACACTAGCAACTAACCATGTTTAAAAAAACCTTAGCCAGTATTACAAAAACAAAACATATAGAGTAGTGTTCATGAATACAAGCATAATAGGTTCCTTGCCTTCTACAAAAATAATCATCTTTGAAATGCTAAAAGCAGGTTTCAACTGGGGTTCCTCTCTGTGATGAGAAGGTGCAGATACACATGGGGTGATCCACTGATTTACCTTCTCAAAGTATTCTTTGGAAACAGTTTGATTTGACTTGATTGTAGGAGACTCTAGTGTCCAGTTTGCTGGGCAGACTTCTCCATGGGTTTTTTTTACAAACTGGAATGCCTTTACCAAGCAGAGGGTGTCTTCCACGTTTTAGCCCACTGGGAGGTCACTGACACTCAAATGCTTGATAAATTCATGGGGTCAATTATGAAGACTCCTCTTAGTGCAAACCAGGACCTTCTAACAGCACACCATAGTCTCAGGAAATGTGTTTAATTAAATCTGAGAAAAGTGTGATGTTCATGTGGCCCAAATCACCATTCTTTCTTGGTATATTTATCCAAGCAAGATGGCTAAAGTGGGAATCCACTAAGACTGCAACAACTTCACAGTTCACATTGTAAAATTCATTCTTTATCACTAACAGCAAGAAATTGTTGTCGACACACAAAGGTGAAATCCAAAGGATAGGAGAAAAGCACCAAACATTTCCCCTCATTATCATCAAGGCTTAGATCTTTGAACTCTGCATTGACAAAGGCTGTACCTTTAAAATAGGGTGACAGCAAGTGCATGGTATGAGGAAATTGTGCCAAAGGCGAATTCTGCTCGACCAGAATCAGACCACAATATGTTTGTCAAGCATGTTTTCCCCAGAAGCCACAGGCCTAAGGACTGCAGAGACAGGATGGTGTGCACATGTCGGTCAACCGAAGCTAGGGACAACCTTCCCACAGCGGCTGCCATCTTCAGTGCCTTGCAGGAGCCACCTTTTCATCACTTTAAATCCTCACAATAACTGTATGAGATGAATACAAGTATTCTAGTCCTAGAGATAAGGACAATGAAGCCCAGAGTAGGTAGTTAACTTGGCCAAATATTGCACGCTTAGAATTTGTCATGGTTAGGACTCAAACATTCAACATCAAATGCAGTTTCTTTCTCCTATACTGTAGGTAAATATTAACTCAGTTGATACTGGAGTAGCTATTCCCAAAGTGGAGAATCTTTTTTTTCTCTATTAAGAATCACTGACCTACTAGAACACAGTTTGATAACAACGTACTAGCATAAAAAAGGAGTTTTATTAAGGTTTGGGAGGGGGTTTTGTTGTTGTTTTTCTTCTTCATGGGGAACTACACTATGTTTAACTCACATCCTCTTTACTTTGAGAAAACAAAACACCTGCCAATACATAAATAATTGTGAGTGTTCATCAGTTCTTATTATTCCTGGGAGTTTAGAAAGGAGACAGGAGGGAGAAAAGAAAAGCGTGGTTTAGAGAAAGGGCAAAATTCTGGAGATTCGGAAAAGGCTGGGAGACAGAAGAGCTGTGACTATTCTGAAGTATGTGTCAGCTGAGATAGACAACTTGGCTTAATGTGTGATTTGCTGGGACCGTTGAAGACAGAGTTGGGCAACAGATCAGTTGTCATCGTACTCTTCAAAGTGCTCTTTAGCTGTTTAATCTCATTTACAGCTCTTCTACTGCTCTTTTTACTTTTTAAAAGAGAATTTGCCAAGGATACTGGCCATTTAAGCTTCTGACAGAATGCTAGAGCCGGCCTCATACTGCCTTGCAAGAGCCAATTGGTCAGTTTTCAGGAATTTTGTAAATCCATTGTTAAATACAGCCATTATGAAAATTTAATTATATAAACTTATAATTAAATAAATTATATTTTTTAAAGATGATAAATACTTGAAATTCATCACTTCCTATTTAATTTATCCTATTCCACTGTTATCTATGTTCTTGAGACTGTTTTGCCTATTATATCTGTATAGTGGGAGTACTGTGTGATGGTATGCTATGTATAGCTCTTCCCAGTTCCACATCCGATGACATCACATTGGTAGCTTGAATGTGGGATTCATAGTGGGATCACATACCCTATGGAAATTGGCAAATGCTACAAATCAGTACCTAACTTATTTTTTATTGAATCTTTGTAGTGTTTTTGTCTACCTATTATGGCTTTTGCATTATTTTAACTTTGTATTGTAGTCATTTGTCTACTTGTCTTATACCCTCTGCCAAATATAACCTCTTTCCACCTAGGGGTGGTTTCCCATTCATGTGTGTGTTCTTTCCCCACAAGCACTCAACAGTTCCTTACACTTGCGTATCACAGATAACAGAATAGCACAGACTGGGTGGCTTAAACAACAGAAATTTATTTTCTCACAGTTCTGGAGTCCAAAAGCTCAAGATCAAGATGTCAGCAGGGTTGATTTCTGGTGAGGCTTTTCTTCCTGGCTTGCAGATGGCCTTTTCTCTGTGCATGCTCCTGGTTATCTCTTCCTCTTCTTACAAGGACACCAGTCTTATTGAATAGGGCCCCAGCCTTATGACCTCATTTAATCTTAATTACCTCCTTAAAGGCCCTATCTATAAATATAGTCACACATAGGGGTTAGGGATTTGATATGTGAATCACAGGGGGTACACAATTCTGTTTATAACATAGACATTTATGAATTATGCATTAGACTGCTTCAAAGCCAAGAAATATAGAGCCTTCAGCCTGTGCCTCTCTCTTTGTTAGTTACACGATATCATTTGAGCCTCTTATTAATGCTTCAAGGTAGATATTATTGTCCCCAATTTACAGATGGAGATATTAACTTTCTACAAGAGATCAAATAACTTGCCCAACTACATGCAGATGGTAAGTGTTACATCCATTATTGGAACCCAAACAATCTGACTGCAGAGTCCAAACAAGTTACCCCTATAAGAAACTGCCATCCTTCTTTTTTCATACTTATGTATGTGTGTATTTTATCTAAAGGCAGTATTGAAACTGTTGTCAAATGAAGTTAGCAACTGTTGGGGAATTTTTAATAGGGCATATACGCAAATGCGTAGACAATCTGCAAAGGGTGTTTTGATAAAATTGGGATGAGGGAGTCTATTTAAGTGTAGCTTAAGTAGAAAATGTTCAAACCCCAAGTTCTTCCATTTCTGCAACCTTTTCTTTAACACAAGATAAAATAAATGTCAGATAATGCTCCAAACTAAATGGAATGTATTTTCTAACAAAACATTGAAGTTTAATATTCTAAATAAAATAATAAACAGGGTTGGAAAGAGTGGTCATGTGAGAACTAACAGGCATAGGAGCAAAGCAACTCATGTGATTCTGAATTATGGTACCGGCTTAGGGCATAACATAATTATTTTCCTTAGTTTGTTCAAACGAAGTTAACTCAACTTGAAAGAAATTCTCTGGCTTCAAATACAAATGGGTGTCGCTTTTGTCACTTCCTCTGAAATAAACAGTATATTGACAGTTATTCCATGCATCCTTTACTTAGCATCTCCACCCACCCCACAGCACTAATCTTTGGTGAAAAAAGCAAATGCTTTGATGGAATGAAAGAGAAGCTTAATGAGTTTTACTCTGTTTCCTCTTGAAATCTCGCTTGTTTATTCTCTTGCTGTATGTGTCTGTCTAGATCCTCTAATAACCCAGACAGCTAGAAAGGTAAGATTTGAATACAGCATGCATCCATTCAACAAACACTTATTGAGTATCTTGTACATGCCAGACCCTCTTCTGGGGGTATACAGCAAACACAGTCCTAAGTACTCACATTCTAGAGGGAAGAGAAAGTCAACAAACAAATAGATCATTTGTCAACAACTGATAAGTTCTTTGACAAAAAGCAGATGAAGAGTTTATCAGTTTCAGCACTGTTGGCATTTTGATGGGGATCTTTTGCTGTTGGGGCTGACCCATGTATTGTAGGAAGTTTGGCAGCGTCCCTGGCCTCTACCCACTATATGTGCCAAAGCAGCTCCCTCCCCAAGTTGCAATAACAAAAAATGTTTGTAGACATTGTCAAATATCTCTTGGGGGGTATTATTGCCC
Source organism: Homo sapiens (assembly GCF_000001405.40). Lineage (NCBI taxonomy): Eukaryota > Metazoa > Chordata > Mammalia > Primates > Hominidae > Homo > Homo sapiens. The sequence goes on along the minus strand of NC_000003.12, from coordinate 64,171,269 downwards.
CCATTTGAGAAGTACTGGGTTGGAAGATAAGGGATAGAGGTGCTAATTTATTAGGATAGTCAAGGAAGGCAGCCAAGGTGGCCCTTGAGCAAAGACTGGAAGAAAGGAGGATGACACCATGTAAATATCTGGGGGAATAACCTTTCAGGCCGAGGGAATGGCTGGTGTAAAGGCCATGAGGTGAAAGGAACAGCAAGGAGGTCATTGTGAGCACAAGACCTGAACAAAAGGAATATGGTAAGAGACAGAGTCAGCCAGGTTGTAAGGAGTGGGGAGGTCATGGTGCTATAGTGAAGACTTTGGCTTTGCATTATAGAGGCATGGGAGATAATCCAGGGTTGTTGTTTTGGGGGTTTTGAGTTTTTTTGTTTTGTATTGTTTTGTTTTGTTTTTTTGAGATAGAATCTCACTCTGTCACCCAGGCTGGAGGGCAGTGGCGCATTCGCCACTCACTGCAGCCTCAACCTCCCAGACTCAAGTGATCCTCCCAGCTCAGCCTCCAGAGTAGCTGAGACCACAGGTGTGCACCACCACAGCCAGGCTGTTTTTTTTTTTTTTTTTTTTTTAATGTTTCTAGAGGCATGGTCTACCTTTGTTTCCCAGGCCAGTCTCGAACTCCTGGGCTCAAGCAATCATCCTCCCTTAGCCTCCCAAAGTGCTGGGATTGCAGGTATGAGCTACTGCACCCAGACCATCCAGGGTTTTGAGCAGAGCAGTGACACACCCTGGTTTATATTCCAATGGAGTTGTTATTGCTGCTGAATAGAGACTCGACTGCAGAGGCACAAAGGTGAAAGCCGGGTCCAGAAGTAGCCACAGCAATAGCTCAGGCGAGCACTTAGTCATAGCTAGACTGGTCCTGCAGGGGTGGTGGAAAATGACTGGATTCTGGATATGTTTTGAACCGACATCCAACAAGAATCACTGTTGAATTAGACATCAAGTGTGAACAAAAGAAAGGAGTCTTTGAAAGAGTCTTCTTTGAAAATACTGCAAATGAGCTTTTATTTCTGATTTTGATCCTAATCCTAGGGGAGTTCAACATGATGGAGACATTGTTTAGGCATTAGGCATTAGACTGTTGTTTCCTAAATTGCTTCCTGAGTAAACCAATTAAAATTATAATGTGGGTCTCCAGGAGAAAAGGGAAGGAGCCAAACTTGGTACAATTTCACCTCTTAAATGCCACTTAACGGCACTTTTCTCCTATTGCTTGGGTAATGAAATTCTGGCAAATAGGGGCAAAATGAACACAGGGGCCCTCATGAGCAGCCCATCCCTATTTACTCACAGCTGTAATGCTACCTGATGGTCCTCCAGGTCCCCATTTGGGAACCACTGTGTACTTTTTTAAAGACCACCACGTGCAGCAAATTCAGGCAGCATCTTTCCCTTCTCTGTACAACCTGCCTTCTGAGATGCTCAGGTGCATTTTAGATATTACCTCCCCGAATTGAGGTAGATTAAACAAGGTTCCAAGCTTCTCAAACTGCAGGTGAGGGGGCACGTGAAATAAAGGATCAGTGTTCGAATTAGTCCCTGGGTTAAGTTGGATTTTATAAAACCTTCCAAATGTATCAGCTCATGTCTGAGATTACACTTCAGGAGGGTTGGCCTTTACCTTGTGTTTGTGTTTGCCTTTTCCTTAAACTAGTGTTTCTCCTGGAGTGGTCTGAGGTGTTAAGAGTGCATAGTTCTGGCCTCCTTTTCAGACCCAGAGGGATGAAAATGGCCATCATCTTTAATAAAGGCCTCAGATGATTCTAAAGTATGCTACTGTTTGAAAACCACTGCTGTATCATTTAGGAATTGCATTCACTTCCTAGCAACAGAGACTGTAAATAAAGAAATAGCTTATTTCTCTCACTCAGAAGTTCAGAGAAACGCAATCCAGGGTTAGTCTGGTGGCTCCATGGTATAAAAATTTTAAAAATTTTTTGAAGTCCAGGCTCATAACTTTCCGTCCTACTATCCTCAGGTTACAGCTTCCATTCCCATTTGTAAGGTTACTTCATGACACAAGATGGCTGCTGGAGCTCTAGCCATTGTGTTTACATTCCAGACAGGAAGCAGGAAGAAGGGGGAATGGGCAAAAAAAGGTCTTGGCTAACAACTGTCTAGCCTCCTTTAAAAGAGCTTCCCAGAAGTCACACCCTTCCGTGTCATTGGCCAGAATGTGTAAGGCCACATGTAGCTACTAAGGAGCTGCAGAAATATTATTCTTAGCTGAGTATATTGATGCTCTCAGTCAAATGAGGGTATTGTTAAGGAAGAAAAAAAAAATGGATATGGCTGGGAAAACTCTGCCACAACTCTCTTACCATCATGCCATGGTGTTGTGGAAAGACTGTAATTTGGAGATTTTTCACTTACTGTCTGTTCATTTTGGCTTTATTTGGGAGCTGTGTGTTGGTTATGTTCTGGGTAATACCAAAGGAAAATGTGTTCATCGTTTCTGTGGTCAGCCACGCAGACCTATTGGGAATCTACTGTATCTGGGTATGATTTGGTTTTTTCTTCCTTCTTTCCCATCCATCTGCCAGTCTCTTCAGTCTCTTTTTTTCTTGATAAAGGAGAACAGAAGGAGAGGATGGGGAAGTCAAGCTCAAAGGTGGCTCTCTCACTTTGTAACTATGTGATATTCAATCTGATGAGTATGAAATACCCACCTCCAGAGTGTGCAGAAGGTTTATGAAATACTGTGTATAAAAACGCGTCAAGCCGTAGGGTCACTCAGTAAGTCAATAGTTCGATGACCGCTTCCTTCATTCAGATCAGGCTTGTCCAACCCGTGGTCCACAGGCTGCATGCAGCCCAGGATGGCTTTGAATGCGGCCCAACAGAAATGCACAAACTTTCTTAAAACATTATGAGATTTTTTTTTTGCAATTTTTTAAAGCTCATCAGCTATCATTAGTGTTACTGTATTTTATGTGTGGCTCAAGACAATTCTTCTTCTTCCAGTGTGGCCCAGGGAAGCCAAAATATTGGGCCCCCTCCGCATCTAGATGGTGAAGAACAATTGATTCTGAAATCGGCCAAGAAAGTCTAACTTCTCCTTTGTGGGTTCCTGCTCTAAGAAAATAAGGATGCTTTTGATAAGGAAAATGTTGCCACCCAAAAATGTGAGCACTTTGCCCTTAGGATTTCTTGTTCTTGCCAGAGCTGGTAGAATCCCCTGCTGAATCATATATCTAGGTGTGGAAGGAGACACCTGAAAAATTGGGTGAGGTCCAACAAGTTCTCTTCCCTTTTCTGGGCTTCCTAGATCTCTTGAAGAAAGTGGGAATCCTACCATTTGCCTGGCAACTGCATAATGTTGGTTGTTGAGGGAAAACAGTAGAAAGCTCTAAAACTCACAAAGTGTGTTCCCTGGACTAACAGCAGGACCTGAAGAGGAGTCAGAAATGCAAATGTCCCCATCCCGGGCCTACTAAATTAGAAATCTGTGTTTTAACAGGCCTTCCAGGTGATTCTGATGCAAGCTATAGTTTGAGAACCAGTGCTCTAAATAAAGTGCTTTGCACACTTCTTTATAAAAAAAAAATCAGCTTACTTTTCATACACTTTTCTCCCAAATGCAGAGTTATTGCTTCTCCAGCCTCCATCTTTCTGCCCAGGCAGAAATGCTATCAAACGTGCAGTTCCTTCCAACAAGCCTCATCTTTCCAGCTGGGCGAGGCTTTGCTTTGTAGACTTTATATGCGCACTGACTAAAGTGCTTGCGATCTGTCTGACACACACTGAAGTTGCTGCCAAACCTTTCCTGTTGCAGAGTTACACCTTAAAGGCCTTTGGCTATTTCATTTTCATAAGCCAGTTTATTGTGTTCAAAATGCTTTTGTTTAGGGGAAAGTTACCTAGTATGATTTCACCTGGGGTGGAATCACAGGGCACCTTTATCTGGGAATGTCTAAATGGAGCAAAGTCTTTAGCACATTCAACAGACGTGCTTTTGAATAAATATGTTCAATACACACAGAATGAAAAATACAGTTATCAGCATAATGGGTAATAGCTTGGTAATGATCATCATTGACAAAATTCTATTGGATTTGCTTATTTACTCCAAAAAAAATGAACAAGTGAAACATGTTTGGACTAAAATGAACAATCTGCAGGATTTTCAGGGATTGTGCCAAATTTAATTTTTGTAGTGCCAGAAAGTATACTCAGTATTTTCCCATTACCCTTGGTTCACTTGATGTTTGTTTTGGGCCATACAGTAGTTTCACTGTGGAGAATGCCAGAGGAAAATGCAGGCAGCATTCCTGTATCCAGCCAAAGAATTCAGGAGAGCTGTTTCTCCCTCCCTCCCATCCATCCGTTAATCCCCTTTGCTCAGTGAAAAATTTGGAAAGTCCAGCATCTAAACACCAGGAGGCGACACAAAGCTAACATTAGAGGGATGCGTTTTTCTCCTGGACTTCAATGGACTTCGAAGAGGATTGGAAGTCCTGAAAGGACTAAATCATTCTCCTTCCTCAGAGCAAGCCACATCACCTACCATGTGATATGGGAGTGATTTGGTAGGTTGTTAATTAATATTAACTTATTTATTTTAGAAATGGGGCATCTTGCTACCTAGGTAAGTTCTTAAGTCATCCATCAAATTATTAGTTACCTTGTGAGAAGATATTCTAGCATATTGTATATTTGAGGAATTACTGGAATAATTTTGAGTGGTTATCAGTAGGCTTGAATTATAAAAGTTGACAAAAGATGTCCAGGAAAGATAGAGCTGTGTTCCCAAAGAGTAGTCACTGCCTCTGTTGACTTCAGAATTCAGTCTTTAGGATGGATCTCAGCACACCAAGGGACTTATTTACTCCTAAGTTTCTCCAGAGTCCTCCATCACTGCTGGCTGCACCTTCACTCAGTCATGTCATGTTGGGATTCATTTATTCTCCAGTTTTCAAAGTACTGAATGTCTCTAATCTCATTTCTGGGTGTGGACGCTGCCCAAGACAGGGTAATCAGGGTCCTTCTCTGGGGAATTTGGAATTGAGAAAAGCGAGTCACTCTAGGACAGACTCTTGAAGTGATGCTGTGCAAACTCAAGTGCTGTGGGAAACCTTAACCTTTGAGAAGGTGAGAAGCAGATCTGCAGGAAGAGAAGAGAGCAGAGGTAAGAGGACACTGGGCTCAGAGAGAACAGAAACTTGGTACAATCACCTTCCAGTGGCATATTCTATTTCCTCATGAGACCCTTTTATATACATGGCTAAGTTTCTAAAAACAAAAACAAAACAAAACACACACACACACACACACACACACACACACACACACACACACACACACACCTTTATAACAGTTTGCCATTTTTCCCCTGAAGTCAAACTAGCTTTAATACCATTGTATTCCTTGCAACGTATTTTTCTTGCTTTGACTAATATAAGTGGCTTCAGGGTTTGGTCTCACTCTACAAGCCAGCAGTGTTGCTGCCCATTCAAAAGTGGGCCTGATGGGGTGGCTCACACCCGTAATCCCAGCACTTTGGAAGGCCAAGGCAGGAGAATAGCTTGAGCCCAGGAGTTCAAGACCAACTTGGTCAACATAGCAAGACCCTGTCTCTCCAAAATATTTTAAAAATTAGCCAGGCATGGTGGCATGCGCTGGTAGTTCCTGCTACTCTGAGGTGGGAAGAGTGCTTAAGCCCAGGAGGTCAAGGCTACAGTGAGCCATGACCGCGCCACTGTACTCCAGCCTGGGTGACAGAGCAAGACCTAGTCCAGGAAGCATCTGGATTGTTCCATTTAGAGTAGGCCAGGCTTGATAGTATAACTATTGTCATGTATTCGTGTTATTTATTTTTATTAAGAGCCACATGCTTGTGCCTACACTCTCATTTAATCATCACAGTCTTATGATGAGTATTTTGAACAGCCACATAACTTGCTCAGGAACCCAGAGATGGGAAACAACAGAGCCTTGACTCGGGGTCCAGATCTACTGGCCATGCCCTAGAGGGTGCAGGGAAGATTCCAACTTGGGCCAGCCTTAGACAGTATCAGAAAGGGCTTGGTTCAAAGTACCAGTTAAGAAGGGCTCTCAGGCCTGACTGTGCTCTAGGCAATGGACAGGGGGTATGTGAGTAATTAGAGGTGATTAAGAGGAGGGTCGATGGAACCGCAACTAGACTCTGCATTTTCAAGCATCCATAGTAATTCATCTCATATTAGCAATTGTCCCTAATGTTCCATAACGACAATGGAAGTTGGGAGAATGACAAAGTAATGATGGAACAAGGCCTTTCTACAAGCAGTCTTCTGACTTGGGAGTCAGAAGCCCATTCCCCAAGACATGAGACTGGGCGTGCTTTTTTATACCTGGCCTTTGTCTGATGAGGCATATGGCACAGGGACTTTTCTGAGGATGGAATGCTGTGCAAGTCTCTAATAGGCAAATTGCCAGCTTCTAATCCCAAACTAACTAGTGATCTGGGCTTTTACTTCTTCTCAGAGTACTGGTCAACAGTGGGCTCTCTTCAGAACCCGGCATCATTCATTATTGCCCCTGGGCATAGCTCTCTGCCAGCTGCCTATAGGGAGGGGCTTATACAGACCCTGCCTTTGGAAATCTAGCTAGTCTAGGACAAGAATTCTCTTTATAGTTGCCTCTGGGATTTGATTAAAAGGATGATAGGCACATGATGGTTAATGGTTACCATCATTAGTTATGAAAATAAAGATAGCTTTCACATTTTTTAAGGCCTTGTCATTACAAAGCCTTTTCACCCCCTCTTCTAACATTTATGACTTAGTTTCTGGAGATCAAAGTAGACAGAGCTTTCGCACCTCTTCACCCCAGCATTCCCAAAACATGTGTTCATACCCACGGCTCCCTAAATGCAAAGGAATTAGACCAAGTTTAGACCAAGTTTGTAGAATGTAACAAATTTTTTTTTTTTTATTTTTGTTGATGTTTTTTGAGAAAGAGTCTTGCTCTGTTGCCCAGGCTGTGGTGTGTTCAAGCAATTCTCCTGCCTTAGCCTCCTGAGTAGCTGGGATTACAGGCATGCACCACCAGGCCAGGCTAATTTTTGTACTTTTAGTAGAGGCGGGGTTTCACCGTGTTGGCCAGGCTGGTCTCAAACTGCCGCCCTCAGGTGGTTCTCCCGCCCGCCTCAGCCCCCCAAGGTGCTGGGATTTCAGGTGTGAGCCACCATGCCTGGCCAAATATGATGACTTTCAGAGCCCTCAGTCTTCCATCTTCTCCATTTGTTGAATGAATGCCTTGTTTCGCAAGAGGTGCTCATGTCGTTAAATAAGAGATACTTGAGAGTATTTTCCATGATGTCATCTGGGCTTGTGGGATTTTTTTTTTTTTTTTTTTGCCTCTCCTATATAATAACATACCTTCTGTATTAGCCAGTTTTTTCTCTCTAGTTTTGCATGTGGCTGAATGGTGGAATGTCTGTTTTCTTTTCTCAGGCAAAATTAGCTGCTTGGTGCTTTCCCCAGTTGTTAGGGTTGAATGAGCCTCATAAAGTACAAGAATATGTCCTAACAGTCGTAAACAGGAATGTTGTGGGATGTGCAAAAATCCTCATGTTAGTGACAATTTTTAATTACATGCTCTGCATCCCAGATTTAGTGAGTCTATTTCTGATGGATGTCAGCTGCTGCCTGCCTTACAAAAGTCTCGAAACCTGGAGGGCTTTAAATGTAGGTGGAGGCTGAGGTACCTAGGGGTTTGCCGAGTGCCAAAGACTGGCTTTAACTCCATTGCCGAGGCAGGTGCTGACATATCCCTTTGGCTAGGGAGGCACGTCATATGCTGGAGACTAACAGAGAAAATGGTAAAGCCAGCTCTCAGGGGAGTCTGCCGAGAAAGCCCTACCCTCTGGTTCACCAGCATGTCTGCTGAATTCTCTGTTTCTAGGAAAATTTACTAGCTTTATTTTTCCCTCACAGAGAGAGGGAAAAATCCCAGATATGGATGATTTGCCTGACTCTTGCTTTAAGGATGAATTTCTCTGCTTACCATAGGAAACTCATCTGCTGTTGACTTTCATAAAGAGTCAGGACTGCAGAAGTCAGTTACATCCTGCTGGGGGAATCATCTTCCCAGTAAGTGGGAATAGGCACATGGTTTGAGTAATGGGCAAGTCATCTATATGCTTTCTGTCCTTCAGGTACACCAGTACTATAGCTGTCTCCCAGAAGAGAAAGTCCCTTATGTCAACAGTCCTGGAGAGAAACTGCGAATCAAGCAGCTACTACACCAGCTGCCGCCACATGACAATGAGGTAAGGGGCTAGAGGGGGCTTATGCAGAATTTTCTTAGTGCCTTCTATGAATTGTTACCTTTTTCATAATCTGCCACCAATGAGGTAGCCGAAGAAGAACTCTGGCAATTTATTTTAGGTTTTAGCTTCCTTAATTAGGGCCAAAATAAACTGGCCAACAATTTACTTCTAGAGAGTATTACTAAAAAAGCAGAATCTCATTATAAACTGGATTGGCCTCTATGCCTGGCACTACTAGCTATTTGGGGGTAGCCAGGGAGCACTAAAATTCAAAAGCTATGATTCCAAGTTTTCTTACTTGAAGAATATGCCATGTGGGTTTCCTGTGTATTTTGGAGAGATGACTGAGATCCCCTGGACCACTTCAAGTCCTACAAAAGCTTTGTGACTCTCCTGAATTTTCGGCATCATTTCATATTAAATGAGCGTGCAAGTTTTCCACACTACACTGCAGGAGAATTACATGTCCAGATTTGTAGCTTCGAACGTCTGTGTTTTTGTCATGGTGAAGTCTGACTTGCTGAGGTTGTTCTTTGTACTCTTGAAAGTGTGGACTAGCAGACTGTCCTTTTTTCTGAACCCAGAAACATGGCACTGTAAGCGGGCATCTCTTATCCTCGAAATCTGATTGCTCATAAAGAGAAATTTGTAAACATGGTTTTCAAAGATCATTATGCTGGAAGGGAAGTCAGTTTACATGCTAGAAATTCATTTTTAGGTAACTGGTTTTTCAAAATAGTAATCCTATGGAACTGAACTGTCTACTTGACTCTGACTGCATTTAAAACAAAAATGTAATTTTTAATTGATAGGAGAAATAACCCCCTTAGAGAGCTGGGCACCAGCTTTCTACCAACTCTCCAACCCACGAGCTGAATCCCAGCAGCTCCGTCCCAGGGGAAATGAGTGCTTTTCAGTCTTATTTTCCCACATTAGAATGAAAGGGGATCATTTGAGAGCCTCAAAAATAAATTTGAGTAAGCAGGACAAAAACTTTAAAACTGAAGCAGTTCCCTAAAAAGAGAGCTATGATCCTCTTTACTGCTGCTTATTTCAGACATCATAAAGCAAATATAAATAATGCTTTCTCCTTTAAAGTTGAGAGCAAGCATTGTAACCTGATGCCTGGTTAACTAATTTGGAAGTGAAAATGCGGGTTTTTACAAGCAGGAAGGGTGTGCCTTCCTTTGAAAGCATGTCCCTAAAATGTCAGTGGTGTAACCATATATTCTGGGCTGTTCAGGTCACTGCAGTTCTCTCTGGGACGTTTACATGGAGACTTTTTTTTTTTTTTTTTTTTAACTCTTTTTATTTGACAGAGAGAAGGGATTGGCTCTTCTCTGATTTTAGTGGTTTGTTGTGTTTATGGTTAACTGTGCTTTTATGAAAAGAGACACCATTCAGATTACAATGTCCCATTGGTAGGAATTGTGTGTGTGTGACCCAGTGGGCAGATTTAGCCTATTTGAAATGGCTCTTTTGAAGACAAAGGGTGATTGTGATTCTAAAGTAAATATTTGACCATTTTCTTTTTTGCATAGATAAGACAATTTTGATATCCACAGCTGTCCTGGTTTTCAAATTAGGATGTGACAGTCCTAGTTCCAAGGTTTCCCTCTAACCATCTGTGTAACAAATCATCCAAGCAATTCACTTAACCTTTCTGATGTCCAGATTACTCCAAAGTATAACAGGAGACGGGATTAGGACCGTGTTTCCCAAAGTGTGGTATATACATGACTCTGAGTGTTATGTGGACATGGCAGTAAATGAAACGAAACCACATATTGAGAGAGTTACTATATTTTAAGTTGTATTGTATTCCTTGTGATAGAGTAGTTGAATAATCAAGGAGGAAATTTCAATTTAGTGCTAGCAGGTGTCTCATATCTCTCTAACTCACACTGGCCTCCACTTTTAAGTAGGAGCGTCAGGGATCTCTGTTTTAGGATTTCCTGCAAGCAAAGTGACCAGCTAGAATCTAACAACATGGTTCTGTTCCCAGTCTATTTAGGTTTCTTCTGGTTTTTTTGTTTGTTTGTTTGTTTGTTTGTTTGTTTTTGTTTTTGTTTTTACGGGTGATATTGGTTTTCCATTTATAGTTATACTTTCTTTTGAAATAAATGCATCCAAGTTTCCAAAAAACTGAGTCAGTATTAAAAACAGCATTGAGTAAATAACAGTGCAAGAATATAGCACAATTCCCAAGGTGTGCATAAGTAAGGGGAGATACTGGATTCAAATTATCTTTAATGTTCCTCCTTTAATTCTCTGAGTTTCTATATTTAACAAGAAGGAAAATGTCTCTTGCAAGTCGACTCAACTGAAGTCTAGCAGGCAGCTTGTTCCTCTCTCTACAAAGATAAACATGCAGAGACTTTTGTGCAGCATCACAGATGCCTGGTCCAACTCCTCAGGCTCACACCTTTGTTTCCCTGTTTTTCCAAAATGAGACGGGAGAACAGAAGCTGTGAGCACGTGGACACCTGCTCTGGCTCACTGACTTAGAGTCATTCTTGGTGTCAAGGATCACTTGCATGGGCACATGGAGATGAAAGTATCAGGTTCCTGCAGTTTGGAAGAAGGAGAACTTCTCAGCTCTTTCCTGGCAGCTGAGCCACCCCAGATGATTTGATCTTAACATGGTGAGCAGAGTGAGGCAGTCAGGATAAGGAGCAGGCACCTTTAGCCTGCCCAAGGCTTGGGATCCAGAATTCAGAGCCTTTGGTAAGCTCTTTTGGCTGTCCGCAATCTTAGTAGAGACTCACCTTAGTAGAGACTCACCTTAAATCTCTCCAAGGCTGTTGTGGTTAAAGTTCAGGCGAGGGCTATAAAACCAAATGAGAGTGTATTTAACGAGAAAACTCAGAGTCATGGGCTTCAGAAATCTTAAGGAGCAAGGGTGACTTTTTCCATGCCATTGTCTGTGTCTATTCAGGTTCGATATTGCAACTCCCTGGATGAGGAAGAGAAGAGGGAGCTGAAGCTTTTCAGCAGCCAGAGGAAACGCGAAAACTTGGGCCGCGGGAATGTCAGGCCTTTCCCAGTCACCATGACAGGAGCTATTTGTGAACAGGTAAGCATGGATTCAGGGGAGTGAAGAGGCATTGTTCTGGCATCTTTTCACCCATTCATTCATCCAACAATTGTTTTACTGAGTGCCTACTATGTGCCTGAGATACAGTAGTGAACAAAAGACGGGAAAGTTTCATCTTGCCCTTCTAAGGAGTTGGATTCTAGGGGAGGAAGTCAGACAATATATGTAATCAACAAAATAGAAAAAGATACAGCAAGGAAGGAGACTTGAATGTACTGGAAGTGTGGGGAGGCTGCAGTTTTAAGGAAGGTTGATGGGGAAGACCCCACTTAGAAGATCTGAGCAAAGATGTGCACAGATGTGCAAGAGGGAGAGAGTCTTGCAGATTTTAGGGCAGAGGGAATGCTAAGGCAGAAGGAATGACCGGCTTAGAGGCCCTGAGACAGGAGGGTGTCTATTATGTTCAACAGTGAGTTGGCCAATGGGCTGGGGCAGAGGGAGTGAAGGGAGATAATTCAGATAAAGTCAGAGTTCTGGGTGAGCCATTGGAAGAATTGAGCAGAGCAATGGCATGATGGATTTATGTTTTAAAAAGAGACCTTTAGAAAATGGAGTTGGCTTGGGCCATGGGTCAGCCTCCCTCCCAGGATCATCCCAGAACGAGAGCCATTTAAAGGGGAGGTAAATGATCTTCTCCTGAGAATTGAGAGTTCCTTATTGAAGTGCATGAAGCCCTTCCGAGTCATGTTGACAGGAGCTATTTGTGAACAGGTGAGAGTGGGTTCAGGGGAGTGAAGAGGCATTCTCCCTGGGACCTCACTGCGTTCAAGATTCTGGATTTCCTGTCTCCTCTGCTCCTGTTGAGTGCTCAGGGTGTGGTGAAGAAGAGTTTTAGAGACTGCAGGGTGGGAACACACCTTGCCCCACCTCTCAGCTGCCACAGGCTTTCCAGTGCTGATCGTCATTCTTGGTACTTCTCTAAGTCCTACAGCTTTTTGAACATTCCTATCTAACTCCTTAAGCTCTGCGTAGACCCCTTGAGAGCTGAAGATATGTTAACTGGATCAAAGAAGAGGAGGTGGGATGCTGCCCAAGGGAAGCAGATGTCATTTGAGGCCCTTTTTTGAGATTTCAGAGGGGTAGAGTGAGAAGGTTCAGTTATATGGGATGGGGTAGCTAATTGACCAGAGATTTGGCAGTGGGATCTTTATTCTTATGAAGTATATCTGGGACCCACCCTTAAGGTACAGGTGGTCAGTGGTTGTGATCTGAGATTCACTGTGCTCCATCCAGGCAAGGTGAAATCCTTGCTCCTCTCAGATCAGTCTCCTGGAACCAGGCAAGCTGAGTTTGCCTAAGGGAGAAGGAAGGTTGGGCATTTTGTGGGCAGGTGCCAAGAATTGTGTAGAATAGTGCCAAGAGTGTGAAGGCAGAAAGAGCTTTCATAAGTTTGACTCATGTTTCTTCCAGATGACCTTGACCGTGTTACTTTTCCTTGGTTTTGTCATCTATAGAATGGATGAATGATGACTCATGTGAGGGTTATATAGGATTATGTCTGCATGCTTTAGCTCTGCTAACATTATCACGGAAGGTAAGGATAACATGATGCCTTTCTTTTGTCCAGTCACACACGTGGATGAGTTCCCAGAGACTGTTTGTGAGGTCTTTACTTCATTTTCTAAGATACATTTCAACGCATAGCATGGGAAAGATTTGGTGGTAGCTTCTCTGCTCTTTAGACATTGTCCCCTGAGCTCAGCCACTCTTGTATGACCCTAGAACTATACTCAACCTGTGAACCTCAAGGCCCATGCCATGGTCAGCAGAAGCATCTCCCTAGACCTACTTTCCACATTTTATTCTTCCCTCAGAGTCCCTCAAACCATATTCTTTTTGTCCCAACCCCAACTGTAAGCATAGGTGGCCAGTGATTCTGCCTTGTTTCTTTTAGGATCAAGAGGGAACTTGAGAAAATGAGTGAGAAGGTAGGGAAGGGATAGGAAGAAACCCTTTCCATAGTTTGGCCTTAGAAGTGGTGCCGTGTCAATCAAGACTATGTAGAAAGATGTTAGAGGAAGCAGACTAAAAGCATGCCTGAAAGGCACACAGAGAAGGTAGTTAAAGGTGAGCGTGCTGTTATGTATCCACCCTCCCTCCCATATAAAAGTATAGGTCCCACCTCCTCCAAGCCCCGTCCTCCCACCCACCTCCCTCCCCAGCCACTCCTGGTGGTGTTAAACCTGGCTGTGTCTCTGCATGGAGTTTAAAGTATCTAAAAGATAATGAGGCTTTCCTCTGTGCCAGTTTGCCTCCTGCCTGCAGAGCCCCTGTACGTTATTGTGCTAAAAGAGCTTTTCTTTCTTTCCCACCTTTGTGATTCCTCATTCTCCCAATGACTTTCTCTCTACATTATTTGTAAGCCTTAGGAAAGGAGAGTTCAGGGAGGACAAGAAAAACCTGCCCTGCTGCCTGTGTAAAGCAGGAAGCATAGTGACTGCTTTGAACATAAGCACTCAGTAGCCAGCTAATGGTGGTTGTCCTTTATCATTTATGCACAGCACTGGGAGATGGGGGCTAGTGTGACTACTGATGTTTCTGTTTGCCTCACAGTGCGGAGGCCAGATCAATGGTGGAGACATCGCTGTGTTTGCGTCACGCGCTGGCCACGGCGTTTGCTGGCACCCGCCGTGCTTCGTATGCACTGTCTGCAATGAGCTCCTGGTGGATCTGATCTACTTTTACCAAGATGGGAAGATATACTGTGGCAGGCACCATGCTGAGTGCCTGAAGCCGCGCTGTGCTGCCTGCGATGAGGTTAGAGCAAACTCCAGCAGGTTTACCTGCCCATCACCCCTTCATTGCACCATAGCCAACACATGGTCTTCTGGCTTTCTGCACTGAAGAAAGCCATAGGCAACTTCATTTTCTTGCATTAACCCTTTTGGGAGAGAAGCCCCACCCATCCCTGGTTTCTAGAATGTCTGGGGTTGCGGCCTGCTTTACTGAGCGTGGAGGTCTCATAGCTTCCTGTTGGGAAGGCAGTTTCTGTATCCATGAAGATCCCCAAGTGACATATAACTGGCCCTAAGTAAGTTCAGAACCCTAAAAACAAAACAAAACAAAATTGCATTGTGCATCTTTAGATATTAACCCTAATCTCATGGAATAATCAGTAATGGAGTGCCACTTATATCTTAAAATTGTTTCATTTTCCAAGATTCACTGCTGCAAAATGATTAGAAAAGAGAAAATAGGTAGCATTATTTGATTTTTCTACAGTTTATAAAAGTTCTGAGTGAAAAAAAAATTCAGGAGGCAGATGGATACTTCATTTGGATGTCTCTGCCCCATGCTCTAAGAAGTACCCTATGTAAGAAAGCAGGATAGAACGCAAAACCTCTGCCTGGCCTTCTTCCCCTACTAGAAGCACACCCTACCGTGTAAGCTGACAGAATAGAAAACCTGGTTTAGCTTTATAAGTTGGGAGCAGAAAAAAGAATGTTCTAAATCTGACCACTTTTATGGGAATAATTTGGGTAAAAGTCCTAGACAGAGGTTTCCTCCTGTGCAAAGGAGTTTTTTGCATCTATCTTTCTCTGTAAATAGCAGTGTGGGAGGTAAGTAACACTCCCCTTTTTCAGCCAGACAGCCTACTGTTACATGGGCATTTCTTTCTTACAAACTACCTACGAGGGACTCACTTTCTAGGAGGAAGCTGATCAGGCTCAACTAATTTGAATTCTAACACTAATGGTGATGTTCTGGAGAGACCTTCTAGAAAGATAGCTGGAAAACTAAATTCAGGTCCAACTCTGTGGTTCTAGAACACCTTTTGACCTTCATGCCTCAGTTTCCACATCTGAAAATTGGTGCTCAGAATACAGCTTTGTGTTGTCTAATGGCAATTAGAATATGATTGAAGCACACACTTTGAAATTTGTTTATTGAGATATAATTTGCATAGCATTAAGGACCCTTTTAAAGTAAATAATTCAGTGGATTTTAGTATATTCACAAAGCTGTGCAACCATCACTGCTGATTCCAGACCATTTTCATCAACTAAAGAGAAACTCTTTATCCATTAGCAGTCACTCCTCATTTCCCCCTTTCCCTAGCCCCTGGCAACTTCTAATCTATTTCTGTCTCTGTGGATTTACATGTTCTGGACATTTCATATAAGTGAAATCATATGTGACCTTTCAAGTCTGGTTTCTTTCGTTTAGCGTGTTTCCAATGTTAATCCATATAGTAGTATATGTAAGTACTTCATTCCTTCTCGTGGCTGAATAATATTCAGTTGTATGTATGTATCACATTTTGTCTAGCCATGTATCAATTGATGGACATTTAAGTTGTTTCCACTTTTTGGCTACTCTAAACAACGCTGCTATGAACATTTCTGTGTGTACATATATTTTTAGTTCTCTTGAGTGTATACCCAGGAGTGGAATTGCTGGGTCATATGATAATTCTAAGTTTAACTTTTTGAGGGAATGCCAAATTGTCTTCCAAAACAAGTATAACATTTTACATTCCTGCTATCAATGAATGAGGATTCCAATTTGTCCACTTTCTCACTAATACTTGTTATTATCTGTTTTTTTTTTTCATTATAGCTATCGTAATGGGTATGAAGTAGTATCACATTGAGGTTTTGATTCATATTTCCCCAACAGCTAATAATGTTGAGCATCTTTTCATGTGTTTATTAGATATTTGTGTATCTTCTTTTTCAGAGAAATGTCTGAAAAAATTTTTTTAATTTAAATTTTTTGACTACCTTTTCAATTGGGTTATTTTTCCCTTTTTTTTTTTTTTTTTTTTTTAAGACAGAGTCTCACTCTGTCACCCAGGCTGGAGTGCAGTGGCATGATCTTGGCTCACTGCAGCCTCTACCTCCCAGGTTCAAGCAATTCTCCTGACCGAACCTCCTGAGTAGCTGGGATTAGAAGCATGCACCACCATGCCCAGCTGATTTTTGTATTTTTAGTAGAGATGGCGTTTCACCATATTGGTGAGGCTCATCTCAAACTTCTGGCCTCATGTGATCCACACACCTCAGCCTCTCAAAGCACTGGGATTACAGGTGTGAGCCACTGTACTTGGCCTATTTTTCTCATTATTGAGTTGTAAGAGTGATTTGTATATATTCTGTATACTAGTCCATCATCAGATAGATGATTGGCAAATATTTTCTCCCATTCTATAGCTGTGTTTTCACTTACTCGATGATGTCCTTTGAAGCATAAAGTTTTTAATTTTGATGAAGTCTACGTTATTTTTTGTTGTTTATGCTTTTAGCATCATATCTAAGAAACCATTGCCTAGTTCAAGATCATAAAGATTTACACCTGTGTTTTCTTCTAAGCGTTTTATTGTTTTTTTGCCCCTAGCTCTTTAAACCCATTTGAATTAATTTTTTTTTCTTCGAGATGGAGTTTCACCCTGTCACCCAGGCTAGAGTGCAGTGGCACGATCTCAGCTCACTGCAAGCTCCGCCTCCCAGGTTCACGCCATTCTCCTGCCTCAGCCTCCCAAGTAGCTGGGACTGCAGGTGCCCGCCACCACACCTGGCTATTTTTTTTTTTTTTGTATTTTTAATAGAGACAGGGTTTCACTGTGTTAGCCAGGATAGTCTCAATCTCCTGACTTTGTGATCCACCCACCTCGGCCTCCCAAAGTGCTGGGATTATAGGTGTGAGCCACCGCACCCAGCCTTGAGTTAATTTTTATGTATGATGTAAGGTAGGGGTTTGAATTCATTATTTTACATGAGGCTCTCCTGTTGTCCCAGCTCTGTTTGTTGAGAAAACTATTCTTTTCCCCATGGAATGGTCTTGGCCTCCTTTTCAACAATTAATTGACCATGTATGTATGAGTTTAAATCTGGATACCTATTCATCTATATGCCCAGCCTTATGCCAGTGCCATGCTGGCTTGATTACTGTAGCTTTATAGTAAATTTTGAAATCTGTGCTTTGAAATTTTAAAAACTCTATATTGGGGGAAAATGCAAACACTTGTGAGGGCCTGGCAGGTGCTGTAAATGAAGGTGACTTATTTTAAGGCAATAGGGAAGGGTGAAGAATATGACAAACTGGAGAACTTGCCACTCATTGGAAAGCAGCAGCCTCTCTTCTTAGCTCTAGTTTATTACTGCCATGTAGGAATGTGCACTGAGCATTGCAAATGTTGTGTTTTCAAAAGATAAACCAGGATTACAAGTGTTAATATGATATTTTCCATTTAAAAAAATAATATGGCCAGGCCAAATGAAGCAGATATGTATGTCCAATGTGCCTGTGAGCTGTCAGTTTTTGATCCTGCCTTATATTCTCCAGGGTAGAACATTCTTTCTCTTATTAAATGTGGTTAAGTTAATTACTGGCTAGGCCAGAAATCATGTTTAATTATGCTTTAGGTAAATCCATGTATAGGAACTGATATACATACAGAATAAACATATCCATATGGATTTTTGTTTAATTATTTGTGAGTAGGATCTGCTTTCTTACCCTTCTAGTTCAAGGACCCCATAGCTTTCTTCCTTTAAAATATGTTCTGGATGGGTTTTACACACTGACCATTTGGCTTCCCCATCTCCAGATCATCTTTGCAGATGAATGCACAGAAGCTGAGGGGCGACACTGGCACATGAAACACTTTTGCTGCTTCGAGTGTGAGACAGTGCTGGGCGGCCAGCGCTACATCATGAAGGAGGGAAGACCCTACTGTTGCCACTGCTTCGAGTCCTTGTATGCAGAATATTGTGACACCTGTGCCCAACATATAGGTGAGGCAATATTTGGCAGTCAGCTTGGTCCTTCTGTGATGCGGTCACCTTTGTTTTGGGTGTAGTTAAAGTATCTTTGATTGCAAGTGTTAGAAACCCAACTCATGCTAACTTAACTGAAAAAGGGAATTTCTTGATTCATGACACTAGAAAGGCCAAGAAGTATACTAGCTTCAGATAGGGGTGGATCAAGGGTTCAGACAAAACCGATTTTTTTCTCTGTATCTCAGCTTAATTTGCCTTCTGTTAACATCATTTGGGAGAAGCTGTCTTCACCTAATGGTCGAGATGACTCACTAGTGATACTAGTCTTAGTATTTGCATTCTCAAAAGGAGAGGAACTGTGTCTCTTCCAGTTTTCAGGTCAGTTCTTCCAAATAAGAATCTTTTCAGCCTTGCTTTGGTCAAGGGCCCACCTCCAAGTGGGGACTATGTGCCATACAGTCCCACAACCGAGGCTCAGGGCAGTGGGGGAAGCTCAGAAGGAAAATCTAAACAGATATCTTCCATAGCCTCCTTGGGACAAGTTGGGGATTTGCAGAGGAGGAACCAAAGTGGTCTCTTGGTGGAGAGGGATTGTCAAGGAAACCCAGTGGCTTCTGGCAAGTATGTCTTTAAAAAAAAAAAAATAGCAAAAGCTACTCCAGCCAAATGCAAAGCAAATGAACTTCAAATAGTCCATAAACTATTAACTCCCCCAATAAGTGGCAGATCTGAGATGGTGAAAATCATTTTCCCTCTGCAAATACCCAATTTGTTCAACCCTTTAACGCTGTTCCAGATCATACTGCATTGTGGCTTCTTCATTCAACTTGCCTTTTCTGGCACCTTGGGAAGGAGCCAACCTTGGAGGGAATAAAAAAGTTGGCAGTGGCTGAATGTCTGTGAGATCACAGCCAGATCATCCAGTGGCTTGTGCAATCCCAAGAAGTCTGTTCAGAAGCTGCCGATTTCTTACCTAGAGTGAGGAGATACAGAGATAATCCATTTTGGAGCCCATTTTGCCCCACTTAAAAGGTTTTATCAGGACCAAAAAAAGTGGCTTTGTTTTCTTGGTTCATAAGAAGTGATGTATTCAAATAAAAAAATTAGCTAGTATTTGGAGAGCTCTGTGTGCTGATAAAAACCCTGGCTTTGTGGACAAGACAGCTAGCGTGTGCTCAACGGTGCTTTGTCATTGGGCATTCTTGTCCCACATGCTCAGGCCTGGGCTTAAGCTCTGCTGTGAAGACCTCTGTTCAGCTGCATTTCCTTCTGGGGGCTTAGGTGATGGCAAATTTCCCATCCCCTAACCCCTAAAAACCTCACCCCTCTCACAGCCTGTTGCTTCAACTCAGTACCCAGGAGCTTTCATGTCTCACAAGATCAAAGTAGTCAAACAGATAAACCTTCTTTTTGCTAAGAGTTAGGAAATGCGAAGATCAGTTGTGACAAGTGACAAGACGTGTGTGGAAGGGGAGAGGTAGGACAGTGTCAGGGAAAATGGTGCAATGTCTTGACTCAGTATTGCCCAACCGAGGATTCAAGTCTGCAAGTGCACACTTGCTCAGATGAGAGGGGCCATGTGTGCAGAATACCAGCCCATGGCAACAATACCCCTTCCCATCCATATTTCTGTTTTTCCTGTTTCTGTCCTTGGAGGCTAAGAGCCTCTCCAGAAACTGCCACTTAGAATTTTTGCTCAGTACTTGGCAGAGAGAAAAAATCTCTCTGTTGCTGCAGCATGTACACCTCAGATGGCCCCTCGGTTTTCTTCTCTTTCTTTCGCCCTTTGGCTGCCCAGCACATTTATTGGCATTCTCTCCTCCTTTCCTATTAAATCCATTAAAGGGTGTCAGTGTTTTATCAGAAAAGGTGACCATGGTGGCCTGCAGTATTATTGCTGCTGTAGTTAAAATGCTGTCCCTAATGTTTGTTTTAAATCCACTTTTTTACCAAACATAATTTTCCTGTGACAGTGAAAGAGCACACTCTATATAGCATGCATACCTCAGTCACTGGGTGCTTTACCTCTGACCATACTGTACAAATATTCCATATTTATACAGCCGCTCAGAGCAGGCCCTGCGTCAGGCAGCCGTTGCTAGGGCAACGGTACTTTTGCCTGTGCACAGCAGAGTAAACAGTCCTATAAACAGACCGAGGCTGTGGCAGCAGTAGACACACACACCCTCCAAGAAGTACTTAAAGGGCTTAGAGAAGGAATAAAAAAAGAACGCTTAGATGTCGAACAGCAGAGCCCTTTTCCAGATGTTTAGAGTTCAGGAGCAGTTCAGAGGACCATCTGACATCGATGTTTATCGGGGACCACGTTCTGCTGCCTGCCAGGCCGCTTTATGATATGCCTCCCCTCCACTCTCCCAAACTGAGCCCTTCCTTCCATGAGGCCCCCATCCCGAGGAACTAGGCCCTTGCTGCTGCATCTGAGCATGTGTGCTTGCCAAAGCTTGGAGAAGCAGCTGGTGGCAGACAGACCAGAGGGACTGGACTTCCTGTGTACCTCTAACAGGGAGTGGGGATAGCCGCAGCTGCTCTGGATGCTGTGCTGATTAGAGCTCACCAAAGGACCCAGGGATGCCATCATGAGCTCTCTGCACTCTTGGCATTTGAGAAAGGGAGTGAGAAGAAGGAGGAGGAAGAAGGAGGGTGGGAGAGGGCAGGAGAGACAGAGCAGCCTCCTAGTTATTTCTTGGAATGCATCTGGGCAGTGACCCTCAGCGAAGAGAGAGGCAGGCTTTCAGACCTAACGCAATAAAAGAAGAGTGGTCAGTAGGCCCAGTTCTCAGCACTCCATGCATGTTAACTCCATTACCAAGTACTATGATTATCCCCATTGTACTGATGGGGAGACCAAAACAAAGAGAAATGAAGCAATTTGCCTAGGGTCACACAGCTGGAATGCAGCAGAGTCAAGATTTGAACCCAAGCAGATGGCCGTCAGCATCTTTACAACCAGCTGCTGTGGGATGGAGCTGGGATTTGAACCTGTGTTCATCAGAGTCCTGAAGGCTTATGCTTAACTACTACAGAGTCCCATGTCCCTGTGATGTCTGCCTCAGCTTTCTCCCAAGGGTCTGGGGAGGAAGTGTCCACGGCGCTCGGGGTTGTCTGTTTCTAGCCCCGCCCCAGCTGGTTATTTCTCACTCTGCTGGGGAGCACTGGTGCTGTAAGAGATGGAGTTGATCCGTCTCAAAAAAAAAAAAAAAAAAAAAGATGGAGTTGATTCAGTTGATTCACACAGTTTCCTGTCTCCCACTTGGGGTGACCCTTGTGGCTGCTCCTATCCCTATAAAAAAAAATCCCCTCTTAGTCTCTAAGGCCAGGTTTCAAAATGAAAAGAGAACCCCATAGTTTGGGAAAGAGCTAATACGAGAAGAATTGCCCTCATTCCTCTCTCCCTGGGCTCCATTGACACAAAAGTGAGTCAGGGAGGAGAAAGGTAGGCTGCTTGGGCCGGTGGCCTTTTGTTCTTGCAATTCTCTTCTTCTCCCTAATTTCTGGTTCATTGCCTCTTTAGACAAGTCTCCAGAAGTTCTTCCTTGAAAGTCCAGGCTCAGGAACTCTCAGCCACTGAAGATAAAGGCCACATTAGTCCCTTTTTCTGGGAAGCCGTGTATCATTACGCATCAGGAGAATGCAGGGGTCCTGGTCCACCCTACAGTCATAGCTTGAGGCTATATTCCCAGCAGGCTCTCCCCACGGGAAGGGGCCCCAGCAGCTCCCAGTTTCCATTCTGCCAGTTTTACTGCTGCTATAAAAAGAGCCTGCTGTGTGACTGCCTTAGCAAAAGTCCTGCCTTAGAAAAAGCAATGAGAGGTGTTGGCTTAGTGCAGGTCACTTGCCCACCCCTGAATCAGTCCCTGGGTGCCAGGAGAGCAGATTTTTTTTGCTGGCCTATGTTGGGCCCCAGATCAGCTTTTGCCCCACCCAAAGCTCACGGCCTGAAGATGGCAGGGAAATGGTGTCCCACAGGGAGAGGAAGTCCTATAACCAGAAGAGGGCAGAGATGATGAGAAGGCAGAACCCCTGGGGCTGTGGGAGGCTCCCTTAGTACGCAGTGTGGCCAGGCTATATAAACCTGGCGCAGGCCTGTCACAGGGAGGAATCGTACCTCTTCCTTCCCTGATGAAATTAAGCAAAGGGTACTTACGCTCCCAGAGGGGCAGTAGCTTTGGCAATACCGTGTCTAGGTTTTTCTTTACCGAAAGCAGATTTTTCCTTAACAAGAGTTGAAATCCACATTTTTATTTCCCACTAAGTCTGTTGAGACTGCTTTAACGGAATAGCACAGACTGGGTGGCCTCTGAGTAACAGAAATGTATTGCTGACAGTTCTGAAAGCTGGGAAGTTCAAACTCAAGGCACCAGCAAATGCAGTGTCTGCTGAGGGCCTGTTTTTTGTTTCCTGGATGATACTTTCTGGCAGAGTCATCATATAGTGGAAGGAGCAAACAGGCTCCCTTGGGCCTCTGTTATAAGGGCACTAATCTCATTCATGAGGTATCCACTCTCATGACCTAGTCACCTCCCAAAAAGCTCCATCTCCTAATGCCATCACTTTAGGATTTAGGTGTTAAACTTAGGAGTTCTGAAGAAAACATTCACCATAGCATCCACTGAGTTGCTGCTGTGACTTACCCATTGGAATAGCATATGCTAGTAATGGGATTCACTCGATCTATCTACACACAAAGAGCCCTGTCATACACCAGGCCATGTTCCAGGTCCTGGAGATGCTGTAGAAACTCAATGAGTCTGTCCTCATAGAGCTTCACTTTTAGCGGGGGAGAGAAATAATAAACAGATGCATGTATATACTGTTGTAATGTAAAGCGGTATTAATGCTATCAAGAAAACTCCAGCAGGTAAGGGTGGAGAGTAATGGAGAATCACTATTTAGTGTGGATAGGAAGACTTCTCAGAGGAGTTGGCTTTTGAGCAGATGCCTAACTAGAGTGAAGGAGATAGTGTCAATGTCATGGTTGAGAATAAGACTTCCTGGGTACAGATCTCGTCTCTGGTTCCTAGTTATGTTACCCTGCCAAGTTACTTAGCCTCATCTGCCTCTACTTTCTCATGTGAAAACTGCAAATAATATTAGAAAGCTAGCTCAAGGAGCTGAGTGATTAAATGAGTTTACATATATAAAGCTCTTAAAGCAGTACATGATCATACGTTAATATTACTATTGCTATTTGTCAGGGGGAAATGTGTCCCAGGCAGAAGGATTCATAGACAAGCCATTTTAACCTAGAGTCTTTGTGCTTGGAGCAAATGAGTTAAGGCGCATACTGGTACAACAAGGACTTCTCGTAATAGGACGTGAATACCATTTACATAAGGGTCTGATTGTTGATTTATTGACAGTTTATCCTGCCGCACCTGGAATCCTGAGACAAACCAAGGTGCTATGTGTTTCACGTCCCAGTGCAGAGCTCTGAGCAGCTCATCAGCCTCTCCAATGTCTCTCATTTTTTTAGGTATCGACCAAGGTCAAATGACCTATGATGGCCAACACTGGCATGCCACTGAGACCTGTTTCTGCTGTGCTCACTGCAAGAAATCCCTCCTGGGGCGGCCATTCCTCCCGAAGCAGGGCCAGATATTCTGCTCACGGGCCTGCAGTGCTGGGGAAGACCCCAATGGTTCTGACTCCTCTGATTCCGCCTTCCAGAACGCCAGGGCCAAGGAGTCCCGGCGCAGTGCCAAAATTGGCAAGAACAAGGGCAAGACGGAGGAGCCCATGCTGAACCAGCACAGCCAGCTGCAAGTGAGTTCTAACCGGCTGTCAGCCGACGTAGACCCCCTGTCACTGCAGATGGACATGCTCAGCCTGTCCAGCCAGACACCCAGCCTCAACCGGGACCCCATCTGGAGGAGCCGGGAAGAGCCCTACCATTATGGGAACAAGATGGAGCAGAACCAGACCCAGAGCCCTCTGCAGCTCCTCAGCCAGTGCAACATCAGAACTTCCTACAGTCCAGGAGGGCAAGGGGCTGGGGCCCAGCCCGAAATGTGGGGCAAGCACTTCAGCAACCCCAAAAGGAGCTCGTCACTGGCCATGACAGGACATGCTGGCAGCTTCATCAAGGAATGCCGAGAAGACTATTACCCGGGGAGGCTGAGATCTCAGGAGAGCTACAGTGATATGTCTAGTCAGAGTTTCAGTGAGACCCGAGGCAGCATCCAAGTCCCCAAATATGAGGAGGAAGAGGAAGAGGAAGGGGGCTTGTCCACTCAGCAGTGTCGGACCCGTCATCCCATCAGTTCCCTGAAATACACAGAGGACATGACGCCCACAGAGCAGACCCCTCGGGGCTCCATGGAATCCCTGGCCCTGTCTAATGCAACAGGTAGGTTCTGTTCACCTTGAAAACAGATAGAAAGGGGGTAGTCTCTGGGTGACTGGATGCTGGTCCCCAGGAATTTTTTTTTTTTTTGAAATGGAGTCTCGCTCTGTCCCCCAGGCTGGAGTGCAGTGGCACGATCTCCGCTCACTGCAAGCTCCACCTCCCGGGTTCACGCCATTCTCCTGCCTCAGCCTCACGAGTAGTTGGGACTACAGGTGCCCGCCACCATGCCTGGCTAATTTTTTTGTATTTTTAGTACACACGTGTTTCACCGTGTTAGCCGGGATGTTCTCGATCTCCTGACCTCGTGATCCACCTGCCTCGGCCTCCCAAAGTGGTAGGATTACAGGCGTGAGCCACCGTGCCCAGCCTGGTCCTCCGGATTTTAATGTTGTTTCTGCCACGTGCCCTCTTCTAATAGGCTGCTGAGGAAGGTAAACCCAAGTTTGAGATGGCTTCTATCTTTGATGGGCTTCCCTGTAAACAAAGCCTGAGACAGGTCCAGATGCCTGTGATGTACTGAGGGAGTGCTCTCAGGAGAAGGGGAGTGAGAGAAAGAGGACAGAGCATGGGGAGGAGCCAAGTGAGGAATGGTGTCTTCACTGGGGTCTGGCTTCTGCCTGATCCCACAGGGGACTCTGATGGATGAGTTGCACTATAGAATCAATTGCTTCTTGTGACGAAGGGGCTGATGTTTTGTACCATCGTGTTAGTTGGTCATCAGCTTTGGGCTGCTGAGGAGTGACAAAGGGATGAGATAGTGGATGTGGGCTTGGGGCAAGGCAGCTCCTGTTGGCCAAAGGCAGCATTAAAGAAAGAAAATACTATGGTCTGAATGTTTTCCCCAAAATTCTTAAATTAAGATCCTAAATCCCAAGGTGATGGCATTAGGAGAAGGGGCCTTTTGGGAGGTGATTAAGTCATGAGAGTGGAGACCTCATGAATGGGATTAATGCCCTTATAAAAGAGGTCCAAGGGAACTTGTTTGCCCCTTGTACCATATGAAGGTGGAGAAGGTGTAGCTGTGAGCTGATGGCAGTACTCACAGCACCTGGAGCCCAGTTGCCCCAGCGTGGTGCTGCCTGGGGCACCAAAGCATCCATGACAGCTTCTGAGACTGTTCTGAACCTGTTTCTCACCAGGGAACTGGCTTCAAAGTGCAGATAAAGACATAAGAAATGTTTGGCTAGACAAGGAGAAGACAGGCAGGCTGAAAAGAACAGAAGTAGAGAGAGAGAGATAATGGCATGCTTCTCTCTCCAGTGAAGTTGTCCAGCTGGTTTTGTGTGCGTGGGAAGACTGATGTTGGCCAGGCATGGTGGCTCATGCCTGTAATTCCAGCACTTTGGGAGGCCAAGGCAGGAGGATCACTTGAGGCCAGGAGTTGGAGACCAGCCTGGGCAACATAGTGAGACTCTGTCTCTACAAACATATATGTGTGTGTATATATATAAAATATATAGCGTGTGTATATATATATCATATATAATATATATTGTGTGTATATATAATATATAAATATATATGATATAATATATACAAATATATTATATATATATATATAAATTAGCTGGACTTGGTGGCACATGCTCATAGTCCCAGCTACTTAGGAGACTAAAGCAGGAGGATCACTTGAGCCCAGGAAGTTGAGGCTGAACTAAGCAATGATCCCACCTCTGCACTCCAGCCTGGGCAGCAGAGTGACAACCTGTCTCTAGAAAAAAAAAAAAAAAAATTTAATATTATTGATTTAATATTTTAAACATTATTTAAAAAATATTTTTAAATGTGGGAAAAAATAGAGTAACGTAGATTTTCTCTGTGATAGTGCTACTTAAAGCAGAATCTGAGGATAACACTGGCTGAGAACTATCACCCATCAGCAGTGAGATTAGTACTTAACACCTATCAGCAGCGAGATTAGTACTGAAACTGGAAGTGTTAGAAACTTATAGCAGTTCGATGTTGCGGTGCCATCCAAGTGCGTTTTCAGCAGGCTTGTCTTATTGATCAGGTTATAGACCCATCAGGGTGTTATAGAACTCACATACTGAGCTCTTTGTGCTTTGTGCTGTGTCTCAGACATGCTCAGCAGGGCCATATGTCGGTCCACAAGGGATTGAAAATGAAAACAAACTGGTCCTTCACCACTGATAGCTTGAGAAGAGTAGCGCTCTAAGATGTGCTAAGTATATCTGCCCCTTTGTGGGCAAGGTACCAGAGGAGGGAGATATACGTCTGCCCCTTACAGCAAGGATTCCATAGCCGATGGTGTCTGGATAGAGACTGTGATAATGTTAGCCCCATTTGAAGGGGACGGCCACTGCTCAGCTCCAGCTGCTTGTTGCCATGTGCTGGGATATTTATGTATCCACCTAACCTTTATATAGCTCTTGCAATGTGTCAAACATTGTTCTGAGCACGTCATAAATATTAGCTTGCTTAATTACATTGTCATAACACTGTGAGGGAGGAATATTGTTATGATTCTCATTTCAGAGTTGAAGAAACAGAAATGGAGAGGTTGAGGGACTCACCCAAAGTCACTCAGCTTTCAGAGTGGTAGAGCAGGGATTTGAACCTGTGCATATGATTTCAGAACCTTGCTCTTAATCACACCAGGCTGCCAGTCTAATACAAGCCCCATCCTGTCAGATCTTCCAGTTTTTCCAGAGAAGTTAAAAATGTGGATTTTTAAAAATATGAAATCTATTTCAACACTGCTAGACAAACAAAATGAGGCTCTGAGTTGTAGCTTGTCCATGCAGTGGGTTTTACTTTCTATCCTCCTCAAATACATCCACATCTGTGTTCCCATTTGTCCAAGAACAAAGAGTAGATATCCTCATCCCCATGTTTCAGATGGAAAAAAAAAAAAAAAATGAGGCCTTGGTGACTAAGCGCCTTGCCTGATGTCTTAGAAGGGAGCAATTAGTGCAGAGTGATGACTGCCTGGCTTCCAGCCCAGGTTATGTTATTCTCGAAAGATTTATGTGCTATAATTATTTAAGAGGACAGCAGATAAATATATACTTCAGCCTCTGAAGAAGAGTTTCTCAAAGCTAGACCACCTGCATTAGAATCATGGGTGTGCTTGATTCAAACATAGGCTCCTGGGCCTCCCCCTAACCCCTTGCATCAGAACTCTACAGAGGTGGGGCCCAGGAATCTGCATGTTAAGCAGATCTCTGCTGAGGCTGATGTGCACCATTGTCTGAGGGGAGATGTGCCTGGGTTTGTCTGCTCTGACTGTATCATCCTCACGTTGTGGCTCATGAGGAAATCAGAAGGGCTAGAGGTTGAGGAATGCTGGAAAGGGCAAGTGAGGAAGACACTCAATTTCCATTCCTAAGGAGGGAGTGGACGCGGTTTCCATTCCTAAAGAAGACATCATGGGAGATTTACTCTCATGATTTTCTAGGATCCTTGGGCAAAGCAACTAATGCCCCTTTGCCTCAGATTTTTGGGAAGCAACCCTGGCCATGCCTGATAAAACTGAGGGAAAAAAACTCCTGAGATCAGCACTGTCTAATATGGCAGCCATATGGGGCTGTGGAAATTTAAACGAATTAAAATTAAATGAAATTAAAATTTCAGGCCATTAGTTGCACTAGACACATTTTAAGTACTCAACAGCAATGGCCTGAAGTTTAAATTTTATTTAATTTTAATTCTTTTAAATTTCAATAGCCTCCTGTGGCTAGAGGTGACCCTGCTAGAAGGTGCAGATGACAGAGTGAACTGATAAGATGGGCACGATATTAAGCCATCATTAGTCTCTGAAGTTCTTACATGAGCCCTAATTTTTTGTCTTTCTAATTAATTAATAGTTAGGATTACTGGTTCTGGAGTCACACTTGCTGGGATGAGATCAAGCCTTCATCATTTAGGAGTTGTGTGGCCTTGAACAAGTCACTTAAACTCTGCAAAACTCAATTTCCTCATCCATGGAATTTTGTGAATAAGTGGATAAAGGTGTTCCTGTAGTACTTCCTTTGTATAGCTTTGGTGAGGGTTAAATGATAATTGCGTTTAAAATCATTAATATAGTCTTTGACACATATGACCTTCTATAATGGTTACCTGCGACTTTTTATTATTATTAATTCTTTCTCCTCCCAAACACACTGATTCAAGTTTTGACCTGTTGTGGCTACTAACTTCTCCCACCATCCACCAGCTGTGCAGGTTTGCATTTTAGATTTGAAAATACTCCTGCATGGGCCAGGCGTGGTGGCTCACACCTGTAATCTCAACACTTTGGGAGGCCAAGGCAGGTGGATCACTTGAGGCCAGAAGTTCAAGACCAGCCTTGCCAACGTGGCAAAACCCCGTCTCTACTAAAAATACAGAAATTAGCCAGGCATGGTGGTGCATGACTGTAGTTCCAGCTTTTTGGGAGGCTGAGGCACAAGAATCACTTGAACCCAGGAGGCGGAGGTTTCAGTGAGCCAGGATCACACCACTGCACCCCAGCCTTTTGACAGAGCAAAACTCTGTCTAAAAAAAAAAAAAAAAAGAAAGAAAGAAAGAAAATACTCCTGCAGGCTCCTTTTTTCCTAACCAGCCTGAGAAAACCATGAAAAACAGGGAATTAAAGAAAGTCATTTTGTGTGCGTTTCTATGGTTCTGTCAGATATGACAGTGTCAGAAGAAAGATGGTGGCTAATATTCTAAGCACAGCTTCATCATTCCTCATTGGAGCAGACCCTACATAGCCTTTCACATCCTACTCTGCACACCCATACACCGAGGACTAGACTTGGAAAGTTGGTGTTTTTGCTGCTGTCCCTCACTGTTTACATTTGAATTTTGCTAGAAAATTCAGTAGTTTTTTTTTTAATAGCATTCTAAACTATCTGCATATCTTTAAATCCTAGAATCACAGTCTGAATACCAGGTACGTGCCACAAAAGGCTTAGTGAAAGCACCTTGATCCTTCAGATAAAGCTAGATTTCAAGATGATGGATTCTTTTTTCTTCCATGGTCAGTAACTTATGTTATTGAATAAGTCTGTAGTGTTTAATCTGGCATGAAGTGTGATCTTTCTGTGGGCAGCATTTTTCCTCAGAACAGATCTGAAAAAACAGATAGCTGCACTGGCTTGTCAGCCTCAGATCTGGGCTTTGGCCTCTCCCAATGTGTTTAGAACTGGGAGTGTACAGTCCCTTCTCCTTGGAAAACACAATTCATCCCTTATGCTTACACGGAGTGACTCAGGCTGGCACAGCCACCATTTATACCACTGCAATGCAGAAGCCTTGCAGAAGCGCTTTAACTTTGCCAGCCCCTAAACATGCCTCTAAAGCAGCTTGCAGCCTGCGTAATCATAGCATTAGAAGTAGAAATAATAACAACATCAAGAACAACTGACATTATTGAGTGTTTATATGGACTGGATGTTTTTCTAAGTACTTTCCATAAACTAAACTCACTCAGTCCTCACAACAACCCTATGAGGTAGGCATGGTTGTTATTCCCATTTTACAGATGGTGTACATGAGGCACTGAGAGGCTGAATAGCCCAAGGCCACATTGCTTGGAAGTAGAAAAGCAGAATTTAAACTTGGGCATTCTAGCTACAGAGCTTGTGCCCTTAAACACTGTGCTATGGCTGATGTGAATGACCATGGTAAATGTACTGCTGCTTCTGATGTTGATTGTAACCAATGATAATCATAATAGACCACTGGCTATGACCTGACATGCTAATGGCTTCATGTAGAATGCTTCTTTAAATGCTGTGAGATAAATCTGATCATTATACCCATTTTACATATGGGTACACTAAGGTTTATAGAAGTAACCCTTTTGTAGTCGCCACAGATGGCGAGGACTTGATCCCAGGTGTGATCAACTGCAAAGCCATGCACTTAACTGGCCTGATATTCCTCACAAGAAGGGTCATAATCACAGTCAGAAGACTTGCACAACGGCTTTAGCTGAAGGGATAGGCATTTTCTCTCCTGTGACAGCTGGCTTGTTGATTTGTCTGTTTGCCAATGCTAAAGAGAAGCATGCGAGCACAGCTGTGAATGCCAGAAGTCAGAGGTGGCAGTCCAAGATGATGTGCCAAGGTCAGAGGTAGGAAAGACAAGGCAGACAAGCAGAGATGGTCCAGGGGCTGGTGCCTGGGCAAGAGACACCAAGGGCAGAGTGGGGGACCAAGGCATTAGTTGCAAATTAGAGGTCAGGGCTCAAGCCACACACTGGGACCAGGTATATAGTAGAGCTGGAATTGGAACTGGCTGCCTTAGGCAGAGGCCACACCACAGGACAACTGGAGACTGTGAGCTGGTCCCTGGTGAAGGATGCTGGTGTGGAATGATGAGGCTGGGAACATGACCATTCCTTGAGGATCAGCCACATTCTGTAAGGGGTGGCTGTTCATAGAGAGCTGGGTCCCATAGGAAGGACCTCTAGGTAAGGATGGGAGTGAGGGAAGGGGAAACAACGTTTCTGTTTATTTTTTTGATTCACTTAGCAAATATGACATGAGCGCCTACCCTGTGAGTTATAGCAGAATAGTATGAGAGCATGGGCTGTAGACCAGTATGCCAGAGCTGGAAACTGGACTTATAGTTTAATAGCTCTGTGACCTTGGGCAACGGATTTATCTATTCTGCACCTCACTATCCTCATCTTTGAAATGGAATGACCCTACTTTTCAGGGTTGTAATGTGAATTAAATGAGTGAGTTCATAGAAAGAATTTAGAACAGTGTCTAACACCCTCTAAGTGCTCATTGAATACTGGTTGGTATTAGTATTTGTAGGTGCCACCTATGCAAGGTGCTGGGAATGCAATGCTGAGCTGAATTGGACATGGGCCTTGCCCTCTTGTACCTCACAGTCTAGTGAAGTTGATACACAGTAACCATCCAATTGTATGATATAAGTAAGTGTGAGGCTAGGAGGCCTTACAAAGAGGGATGTGGCTGAGTCAAAGGACATCCTGAAAAAGTGATGCTTCAGGGATAGGGGAAGGGTCATTCTAGGCAGCAGGAGCAGCATGTGTAAAGGCCCTGTGGTAGGAATGTATGAAGAGTTGTCAGAAGGTCCTATGGCTGGGTGAGCACTTAGAGTAATAAGACTTGGAAGGAAAGCAAGGGCCAGATGGTGCAGAGCCATTTAGGGCTATATTAATGGTGTAGGCCTTTCTAATAAGGGCAACGGAAAACCCTTAAAATGTCAGGCCCTGCAGTGAGGGAGGTGACATGATCCAATTTGCATTTTGAAAAGATGGCTTCAGCTGCTGTGTGGGGAATTGATTGGAAAAGGGCAAGTGCTGATGCAGGGAGTCCTGTTAGGAGGCAATCTGGGGCTGTGTAGCCCAGGCTAGAGGTGAAGGTTAATGGCAAAGTCCAAAATAAGTGGATGGATATGACAGTGACTTAGGAGAGGAAATTGGCAGAGGTTTACAGTGTCCCAAGGGGAGTGGGTCCTGGGAGACAGAGGAAAATAGATATGAAAACATTAGCAATAGTTAAAGGTTGGTCTACTCTGTGTTTTTTTTACTCAGGCCAGCATCAAATGCAAGTGCATGTTTTATTGGCCTGAATAAGTGGAGACACGGAGCAGGAATCTGAAAGGGCTTCCTACCTTCTTTGATCAGTGTTGCATTGTTGTGTCAAGGCCATGCCTTTTACACACCTCATCTACACACCTTGGCAAGGGAAACTTAGTTGTGCAATGCCAGAAGGTAACAGGGTAATTTTTCAGCATTGCTGACAAACTGGGAAAGAACCAGAAAACAACAACATGAGGATATAAAGCAACAACTGGAACCACTCACTTTACCAAGAATGTCTGAGATGTTTTTTAATCCTTGCAATGCAAAACATTTCTATATTTAATTTAAGGAAGGGCCAGGTCTATTCTTCTGCATAACTTGGATAACCATCCTCTAACCCAATTTCTTTATTTAAATATTGGGTAGAACCTCTTAACCAGCTGGCACCCATTACTTCATTGGCCACACCTCAGATGTGCTTATGTATTGTGTGGCCCAGATCTTTTTGTTCATTCCCGTCACTGGGGAAGATGTGTGGTCCAGTCTGGAATCACAACCTTGAGTCCTATCCATTGACCACAGGGCCCTGGGATATACTTGGGAAATGCATAGAGATTGCCTTTGTTCATTGGTATTGCAGAACTCTTTTGTTTGGAAGTGTCAGAATTCTAACTCCAATGGGTGTAAACAAAATTTTTTTGATCAAGTAACTTCATACTTCACAGATCTTTAGTTCCAGGGGCCCAAATGATGTCATCAGGACTCGGTTTCTTTCTGTCTCTGAGTTCTTGTTCCCTGTACACTGGCTTCAGTCTCAGGCAGCCTCTTCCCTGGGATAGCCAGGAGGGCTGTCAGTCACTGCAGACCAATGTCCATCAACATCAGGTGAAGGGGAAAAAGTATTGATCTTCCCTATTAGTGTCACCAAAAGTACCAGAATTGAGTCTTCTCATTTGCCTGACTTTGGTCATCCAACAATTCTTAAACTAACCACTGTGGCCAGGAGAATGATAGCTCTGGTATGTCAGACCTGAGTCATGTCCCATCCCAGGAACTAGGCAATGAGGTCAAACCCATCAAAACTTCAGGACTGACAATGGAGAAGGAAGAATGTTCAAAGGGAAATCAAGGTCATGTTTTCAAAGGAAGAGGGATTAAGCTGCAAGGAGGTAAAACCACAGGCACCATAGGTATCCCATCCATCCAGGACTGACGTTTTTATCTGATCCCCTCCTCTAAAAGCCCCACCATATTTGAATTTAACATCAAACACCCATTATGTATTTCAGCTATGGTTTTCTGGAGACAAAGCTCTGGTCTTTGGGGTGTGGCCTGTGGTGATTTTAACGTAGGGGTTTCAGGCTATGAGGAGATATTTTGGAGGGAGAGATTAGATGGAGCCCAGCCTTCTCACTCAATGGTTAGTACATCCTAAGGAGCACCTTCTGACTGGTCCCATAGATCCCCAAGGAAGCTGTGCCCTGTTGTTGGCATTTCATGACTCTGAACATCACCCCTAGCTCACAGACCAGGGGCCAGATGAAAACCAGCAGAGTGAAAGTCCCAGGAGAATCCATCCCTCGTTTCTTTTTCTGCTTTGCTTTCCTGGCATGTGGGAAGCCGAGGACAATGTCAGAGCAAGGTGGGACAACAGGGAATCAGTGGGCAGTTGGAAGAGAGCTCAGCCCAGAGCAGGCGATATACCCCTGCTACAATGTTGTGGTCTCCCTGACATTTTCTGGGCCCGGAGAACCTTTTCCAGTGTCCTGGTTTTTGATAACTGTTCAAAAGTCTTATTTATAACCTCCTTGGGCGTGAGCAGTCATCTATACCCACAGTCAGTAACCATGGCTGCTGACAGGGAGAAAAGATTGCTGATTTTATTCTCTTTGTTACTGAAAAGGCAACACTGGAAAATTCGTCCAGGGTGGAGGCCAGCAGTGGTGGGGTTGGGGCGTGGTGTGTCGTGATGGGTTCCCCAGACTGGTGCAAGATTTTATAGAGTGATTTTTTTTAAGAATGTGTGAACATTTCATTTCTCTTGGAACTTTTGAGTTTGTTAATCTCACAAAGGGAAATGAGAAAGCTCTTATCCACTTGGAAATGGCTTTAAAACTCAAGCCATTTAGTTTTTAAAATATGGAGAGTAAGGAAAACACAGAAAAGAAAAATTCTGGAAAAAGATAGAAATAGTGAAAATATAGCCCAAATCTCACCACTTGACCAGTGTTCATATTTTCATGAATTTTCAAGTTTCTTCCCTACGTATTAGTTCACTATTTTTCTCTAACTTGGTTATAAACATAGTGAATAGTTTGTGGCCTGCATTTCTTCATTTGCATTCTATCTTTAGCTTATCTGTGTGGCATTTGTAACCATCATTTTTAATGACTGCATTAATATTCAATTGAATGGGTGTTACCACACCTCCAGAATTGGACATATAGGCAGTTTTTTTAAATGATCTGTATTTAAATCCTGATTTCCTTTGTCTGCCATCAACAAAATATTCTGTTTTGACTTCCTTTTTTATTGACTTGACCTTGACCTTCCTACCTTGACCTTCCTACCTGGCCACTTGGCAAAACTTCTTTAGCATCTCCCTCCCACAGTGTTCTAGTGGTCATATGAGACTTATGGGTGATTCTGCACCGACCATCACCTTCCTTAACCTCCCCTCCTCTGCCTATACGTAAAGTGCCTCCCAGAGCAGTGGAAAACTAACATGACTAAAACCCTACTTCCTAGTACAAGCAGCCTAAGCTAGCTTTGGGGAGTCTATTTCTCCATGTAAACAATAAACTATCCACTCCATCAATTTGAGTATTCCAGGGATCACTTACACTACGTTCATCTAGGATGCTTGTCAATTGTGCAAATTCTTGGGCCACATCCCACACCCACAAACAGAATCTCTCAGGGCTCAGACTCAGCAATCAGCATTTCGAACACACACCCCCAGAGAACTCATAGGTTCACTAAGTTTGAGGACCACTGAGCTAAGGAAACCCAGACTCTTCGTCTTACATATGGGTGAGGTACCATACTCATGAGCTCGCCTGTAGTTAGAACTTGCATCTGTCTACACTGCCTCTTCTCTTAGCCCTGAGTCTAGCCTCCTGCTGAGACAAAAGAAAAAGTGGATTATATCTCCTCTCAAAATTTCTGAAGATGTCCTTGACATCAAATCACTCTTGGTGTAGTAAATAGCACCTTAGTAAGTTAAGAGCACATTATCTGAAGCATGTGGATGATACATATCTTAATTACATAGTATGGATTAAATAGGAAAGAGGGTAATACTTGCCAAGAGCATTTGATGGTTTTGGAATCATCACGGACTGCATCAGAAAAGGTGGACAACAAAACACTCTAATCTTGAAATAGGACCTGTTTCCGCTCTAGAATCAATGTGAAAATCAAGAGATCATGAGCCGAAAGTTGCGTAAAAAATTTCAAGATAGCTTGGTTTGTTGTGTGTTTGATTGTTTAACCTAGAATAGTTTCCACCAATAAGTTTCACTCTCCCCAGTTTTCTACCAGCATCACCTTGAGCACCCAGATAGCTCTGTGTGTGTGCACGCAGGTGTGTGTGCGTGTGTGTGTGTGTGTGTGTGTGTGTGTGATCTGTGATCGTTCCTCGTCCTGTTCTGCCAGGAATCTCCTTCAGCCTGCCCACCCCAAATCAAAATCAGACCATCACACATCTCTGGGAGGCAGCTATCACAAATCAGGCTGAGCAAACAGGCAGGGCACCATTTAGAAGATAAAGTCTGGGTCTTCCACTTCAAAGTCACTAAGAAAACACGTAGTGTTTTCCTTGGTGCAAAGACTTTTAATGGCTTAAAAATGTCATCCAGAATTCCCCCATCCATTTAGCTAAGGCAGGTGTATTTCTCCCATTCTTTCTCTCCTAGAAAATTGCCTTTCTCAACTCTTTGTTACCCAAGGATTTAGTGTTCTACTT
This sequence comes from Homo sapiens, assembly GCF_000001405.40. Taxonomy (NCBI): domain Eukaryota; kingdom Metazoa; phylum Chordata; class Mammalia; order Primates; family Hominidae; genus Homo; species Homo sapiens. The sequence continues at coordinate 64,135,352 of NC_000003.12, read as the reverse complement.
TGCAGATTATTCAGACCCTGTCTTCTCTTTTCTCTCTTATTTTTCCCATGCACAAGGAATGGAGGAAAATACTCATTCATTTTGCTTCTTACCCAGCAGAGTAGAGACTGTACCTCTGTGCGTTTCTGTTATCTGAGTCTTTCCTTGGAATAAATCCTTGACTCTCAGCTGTGCTAAGTCTGAGGGATTCTTGCATATTCTTGCTTCTTCGAGTCATTTATCCAACCCACTCAAATCTGCCCCCACCGAGGGTGTTATCAGTCCAAGAACACCTGCAGGGATTTGTTTCTGATTCTGACATTGAGCTTTTGGTGAGACCATCCCTAGCAGTGACTCTGCTGCCTAGGAGTGAGCAGCTCATACCTTGCTAGGGTTTCTCATCCTGGCAGCAGCAGACTTCCCAGTGGCTGCCTTTGAAATCAAAGGTGCCAATTTTAGAAGGCAGAAAAGTCCAGTTCAGTCTTTACTTTGGGAAACAGATTGAGCTCATAGCTGGAAATGAGAGAGGAGAGGAAACTGACTGGAATAACTCACCCTTTTTCTTTCTTTATACTCAAATAATGGGTCCTAGGTAAAAAGATGAAGGAGGAAATTCCCTTTGCCTAAGGTACACACTCATACACAAACACTACCCCAGGGGAAACAGGGTGGTCTAGATGAATGATTCTCAACAGAGATGGGTGGGGGTAGTTACTAGGGGTGGTGGTTTTTCCCACCCAGGGAACACTTCGAAGTTTGGAGGCATTTTTGGTTGTAATAACTGGGGGTGCAGGACACTACAGGCGTCTGGTAGGTAGAGATCAGGGGTGCCGCTAAACCTCCTACAGTGCACAAAATGTCATCCATCCCCCTATACCCAGTCAACAAAGAATTATCCAGCTCCATAAGCCAGCAGTGCCGAGACTGAGAAAGCCTGGCCTAGACACAGGGAATTCCAATGAAAATCATTAGTCCCAATCTAAGTCATTCTGAACCACATCTGAGGGGAGTATGATGTCACGGGAAGGGACCTCCTCAGCTGGATGCTTCGGAAGCCCCGTCTGCAGCTGAGAGAGCTTTTTTTACTTCTTGCTCTGTCCCTAGCTGCAACACACATTCACACTTAGTGTTTAAGGGCCCAGTTGACCTGGTTGAAACCGTACCACCTCTCTAGCTGTGTGACTCAGGCAAGTGGCTTAAATCTCTCAATCCCTCAGCTTCCTGAGTAAATGTAATGTCTGCTGCAGTGGGGCTGCTGGGTGGTGTGGGGTAACATGCGTGGAGCACTTCACCGCCTGCCCAGTACATGGAAAATTCATTATTTGAGAGTAACTATTACTTGTATTATTTGGTACCCTGATCTCCTGCCACCTTCCTCTTAACTCTGTCTCGGCCAGTTGCTCACTTAACAGGGAGAGGGAAGATTGACCAGAACTCAGGAATCATTCTAATAGAAAGGGATAGAAGGCAAGAACCAGCATCAATGGATGAGTGTGAGATTTGGCGATTCTGTACATGTCAATGATCCAGACCCATGTTGACCCCCGTAACTGGGGAGCACTTTGCTTGCATTTCTAGGAATGCTTGCAGCCAGAAAGATGAGCCTTGTCTCCTTGAATCTGATTTACAGCCTTGTCTGAGTCAAAAGAGGCTACCAGAATCTGTGGCCTAATTATGCCCATGTTACCCCTATTAATGCTAATAGAGCCCAGCCTTCACATGTGAGAAAGTAGACTGTCAGTTCACAGAGCTCAGCCTTCCTGCACTGATCCCCCTGGCCCCCCACCCCAGTATCAATTAACTTCACAGAGAATTCCCATTTGCCACAGCTTAGAGGAGTTAATTTGTTCTCTGAGTCTGTGGATGAGAAACAGGCCCAGCTTTGGTCCCTAAGTGAGGAAGACAATGAGGAGAGTACAGTAATGGAAGTTTTCCACTGAGATCATTATCAGCTCCTGGAACAAGCCCAGCCAGGCCCTTGGCTGCAGATCTGTTTCCAGCTCTGGCTCCTCTTCCAGGAGAAAAATTCGAACCCGGCCTGAGCTTCCCATCAAGCTCCCCTTTATACAACCCAAGGCTCAGCATCCCTGAGTGAACCATGAGCCGTACATGTCCAGGTCCTCTGTCACCCATTGTGCCTCTCTTTCTATTCAGGAGTTAGGACTACCTAAGAAGCAGGTGGCTTCCTCTGTCACTTTCTGCCTTCTGAAGCGGTTTAATATAGGGGCACGTTAGGGTAGGGGAATCTGGATGACACACCTTTATCTGGCAATACTGGATGAAGCACATCAAATCAGAGGACATCTTTTATTCCAGCTTCCTCTGAGCCCAGGGACTGCTACAAAAGAAGAATTTTGAATCCTCTTAGTGGGTTCATAAAGCACCATTTCCATTCCCACTCCTACCCCTGTTGTCTTCCAGAGATGAACTCAAAGTCTTCCTGGAAACATGGAGTTGTAAATATCATTTAGTCTGAACTCAGCCCCTAATATTGTGTACCTCAATTAAAGAAACTGTGTAAGGTGCCACATCCTCCCACACGGCATCTGCCCAAAATATATCTCTAATGTACTGGGTTTCTAGAGTAGCAATTTAAGAGGGGGCCATGCTGGTGGGCTACCCCATCTACCCTCAACCCCAGCCACACTGTTTTATCTATTCTCTATACCAGAGTTTGATCAAGATCTTTGTGGAAACAAAAAGAATGGGGAAGAGAAAGATGTTTTAAATTTTTGATTCTGAGTTGTTTTATATTCATGTTTTCAACAAATATTTATTGAGTGTCTACCATGTGCCAGGCACTCTGCTAGTTGCCCAGTGTACGTTGGTGAATAAATCAGACTAGTCCTTCTGTGGGTCAGGCCCCAGCAGGAAGCAGATGGCATATTCAAGGGGTAATTAAAGAAAACCTAATGAAGGAGATAGATAGAAACTGAGGCCTTAGGTAGAATGCTGCAGCCAAGCTGCAGCCTAGCAGGAGGGAGCCAGGACAATAAATACTTTCTACCCTCTGATCTTTTCCCATTGGTCAAACCCAACCAGCAGCCAGAGAGCAAGAGAGCCATTCAGGGCAGAGTAGGGTGGAGAATGGCTTATAATGTAGGAGGGGACCTACAAACACACAGAGAAGGACAGATTGTGATAAGTTGCAAAGAAAAAAATGAGCAAAGAAAAGAAGAGCGAATATTGAGGGTTAACTGCATTGAAAGGATGGTCAAGGAAGCTCTCTGAAGTGATGGGTGAGCTAAGACTTGGATGAGAAGGACTTGGCCTTGCAAAGGAAAGAATTGGCAAGGAAGAAGGTTATCTTATATGCAAAGGCCCTGAGGCAAGAGAGAACTTGTCCAGTTCTAGGAGCTTAAAGGAGGCCAGTGTGTTGAGATTATAGTTGTCAAGAGGAAAGAGCTATATTTGGAGTGGTAAAGCACTCACATTTTATTGCTGGCTCAAATTCCACCTCCTGGTATCCCTCTGAGAACACTGCCCTGGTCCCCTTTTTTTAGTGGGATGTCTTAAAGTAGAAAAAGTCAGATGATTTACAGAGGGGATTGAGAAAGCAAATGCAAGACTACAAAGAGGCAGTAGGTCGGGAATACCATGTGCATTGAGAAGTACAGGGTGGAGAACTTTCCATTTATAACAGAAGAAAAAATATCTGTGAACTCTTACTACTGTTCTTTCTATTGCTATAGCTTATTTTTCCTTTCAGGGCTGATTTCTCTCTTGGTTATGTCCTGGATTTCATATACACAGTACATTTGAATTTTACCCCAGGTGTCCTGGCTTAGCCAAGTAACTAATATACAAATCTGATTAAAGCACAAAACCTTTCCTTAAGTAAACAGTAAGCCTTGAAAACATATGGCTAAACAGAAGTTGATTCACAAATCCCCTTATTTTTCTTCTCTTGCACCAGTTAGCCAGTATTAGCCATGGCAGATTGTTATCAGGGCTCTTTGGATATTTCTGTTGGTCCTTAAGAAGAAAGACTGAGCAGTTGTCATTTTTCCCAGGTGGGTGTTGCCACAGTTACAGAAGGCTTTCTCCTGTCTCTCAAAGATCTGGATCCCTCCATCCTACCTCAAAAATCCCTTTCTAAGGCTGAGGTCCAGGAGTTCAGCAGGAAGAGTTTCCATTATTGGGGGGAAATCATATGGAATATTGTCCTCCTACGGTCTTATCGCTTGTGATGAAACAGATGAGGCCAAATAGGCTCACAATTTGGGGCAAATTCAGCGACTGGGACCAAGGCTCAGCCTTACAAATCTCAAGAGCCATCTCAGGTTTGAGGCCTTTTACCACACTCAGCTTTGCTCTGGTTAACATGGAAAAGGGAGACAGTATCTCACTGGAACTCCAACCTCAACCTCAACAGGTTTAGAGTGAATACTTCACACTTACTCTAAACAGTCCGCAGGCCTTCTCCATCTCTTGTAAGAGAGAATTAGATTGGGTACCCACTGGAAAGATGTAAGGCAGAGGCTAAAATACCCAGGCACTGGTTGTCAACTTTGGCCACACTTGGAGTCATCTGGGGAGCTTTAAAGAAATACTGATACCTGGACCCCACCCCCAAGATTCCAATTTAACTGGTCTGGTATTTGGCCTGGGTGAGGGACTGTTTTAAAATTGTCCAATAATTCTACCAGTCAGACAATATTGAGAACCATAGTGTTAAGACCAAACTAAATTCTTCATCAGGTGCCTGTGTTTCCAGCTTCTGGGATAATTCGTGGGTGGTTCTGCTCCTAGTGCCCTAGTTTGGTTCTGGGTGTACATGTGTGAGACAGAATTAGCACTCATCCTAAGAGATAGAGAGCTCATATATGAGCACACAAAATGCTCTCTTCTAGTAACCTTTGCCCTACCAAAATCTACCCAAAACTCCTAGAAATTGCAGAGAGTCTAGCATTACATTGCCTCTCTCAAGAGGATCTTGAGCGTTAGATAGACCACTTTTCACCCTTGGCTCTGTCCATTACTGGCTCTGTGGCCGCGGGCAAGTTATCTAAACTCTGAACCTGAATTTCCCCACCTATAAAAACTTTTTCATGGGATTAAATGAGAAAAAATACAACACCTAGATCACAGTAAACACTCAAAAGTATTTGCCATAATTAGCATCAACAGAGATGTGGAATACTCTCAGGACATCCAGATGTTAACGTTGTGATAGCTAAGGGCTGAAGTGGAAAAGTCAAGTGAACTACAGTAAACATCAACCACATTGATAGTGATTATCCCCATCTTGGAGATGAGCGAACAAAGGATCACAGAGTTTAAGGTCACACAGCTAGTGAATGGATGAGTGAGGATTAGAGCAGTTTGCCAGTGTGTAGTTTGAACCACTACTCCACATTTCTGTCCATAAAATAAAAACTCTTGGTGACATCAGCCCTTAATCTTGGCTGATAAAAGGGGCTTGACACAAAGCTCAAGTCTTTCTGATGGGAAGGGGTTCCCCAGAAAGGGATCAGCAGATAAAGCCAAAATGAGCTGGGTCCACTGACTGCCACAGACACCTCAAAAATCATCTTCCCTCCCTTTCATTGTTTGTTTCCTTTCCTCACACCTCTCCAGCCCCTGTGGCACCCCCCAGCAGCCAGGACACAGCCCTTGACTAATACGTAAATCTGATTATACATTAAAGCCGAGTCTCAGCCCAAACAACCTCAGTAGCTGCCAGTGTAAGATTAAACTCCTAGGCTCAATGGGTCTCTCTTCTCCTTGTTCCTTCTGTCACTCCAGGTAGAAGCAAGATCCTCTGCAATTCTGCTTTCAACAGCCATGGTTCAGACCGGTGTTTCTCAAGTTTTTTTTAATGCCCTTTTTTTAACTAAACATGAGACTCCCACCCCCCAGCATTCCCGAATTTTTTATTCTTTGCATTCCCGATCTCTTGTCCAGAGACTGTCCTCTTTTCATCCCCAAGGTGACAAAGATCTGCTGTCATACATAGAGCTAACAGCTGTGAAGCCTTCCAAGTGGGACACTGTGTTAACTACTAATATATTGTTATCTTGGTTAATCTTTACATTAATGCTGTGAAGCATATACATGATGTCATCTGATGTCATCTCCGTTTTATAGATAAGAAAACCAAGACTGGGAGAGCATAAGTAACATGTTCAGGATCACAGATTAGCAAGTGGTTAAACTAGGCATCTCAACACTTGAGTCTTGTATTTTTACAACACTTGAGTCTTGTATTTTTAACCATAATCCCATGGTTCTCAACCTGGATGATTTTACGCCCTGATCCCTGCCCCAAGGGACATTTGACAGTATCTGTAGACATTGTTGGTTGTCACAAGAGAGAATTGGATGCTACTGGCTTGTGATCTGGTGGGTAGAGGCCAAGGATGCTGCTAAACATCCCACAATGCACAGGACAGCCTCCACATCAAGGAATTATCCTGCCCCAAATATCAACAGTGTCGAAGTTAAAAAAAAAATAAAAAATCCCTGCCATAACCCCAAACTACTAAGGTTTTTGTTTGTTTGTTTGTTTGTTTCTTTGGTGGAGGAGAGAGGGAGGGGATATGTACTGTGAAAATAACACTTTTTTTTCTTTTAAAATGTAATATGGTATCATAACATTGAATATGCCTTTTTTTTTTTTTTTTTTTTGAGACAGTCTTACACTGTTGCCCAGGCTGGAGTACAATGGTGTGATCTTGGCTCACTACAACCTCTCCCTCCCGGGTTCACATTATTCTCCTGCCTCAGCCTCCTGAGTAGCTGGATTACAGGTGCATACCACCACACCCGGCTAATTTTTTGTATTTTTAGTAGAGATGGGGTTTCACTCTGTTGGCCAGACTGGTCTCGAACTCCTGACCTTGTGATCCGCCCGCTGTGAGCTCCCAAAGTGTTAGGATTACAGGCGTTGGCCACCGCACCTGGCCAAATACGCTTTTTAAATTGCCCATGCCCCTCCCCTTGCTCTACAGTTCTCTTCTAGGCAGGGAAGCATTAGCCATTCCACTCCCCACTTTGAGAATCCCTGGCTTTGTCTTTGGCAAAATCACTGCATCCTGTTAACAGCTAAAGTTGAATCTGTTTTCAGAAATTTCTTTTTGCTTGCAGAGACATTCAGTTGCTATGCTTTCCCAGCTCCAGTAATTCAGTTGTTCCACGTGTGGAGAAAGCGATGGGTGCCTGTCACCCTCTGAATCCGCTGTGGGCACTCTTAGACCAGGCCAGCCCTTCCTGCCCACACTGTGACTCCTCCTGCCACCTCTAACGCCCCCAACGCTACCTCCTCTCCTTAAGCCTGGGAGCTCCTTCCATGGGAGCAACCCCCAACTGCTGCAAAGGGCAGTGAACAGAAGTGGAACTTTTTTTGATCATATAAAATATGAGGAAATCCTCTGGTTGCTTGACCTCAGCTGTTCAATAAATCTGCCCTGCTCAAGCCCCACTCTCTTTTCAAGGGTTCTGGTTTAATCAGTGCCTGCTGCCCTCTTCCTGTAGGGGAAAACGTTCAAGATAGGCAGCTGAGTCTCTTTGGGAGATCCAAAATCACAAAATGGGACCAAGAGAGAGAAGACAAGTCAGGATTCCAAGTTTGCCTTTACAGGTTATCTTGAGCATCGGGGCCTAGCATAGCTCACCAAGCAGGAGATGACGCTGGAGGGCACCGTGGGCTGACGGCTCAGGTCCTCAGGAAGGGCTGAGGATGCCCTGAGATGGACGCTGGGTACAGTCTTGCTTTTGCACCTGGGAGGCAGAAGAGCTCCCCAGCTGAGACCTTAAGCCTTCAGTCAGGCTAATCAGGATTTGAATGTTCCCTGTGTGATCAGGGCAGCCCCCAACCTCTTTGAGTCTCAGATTCCTCTTTTGAAAAAATGAGAATGATGATACCTGCTCTTAGGGGGTTCATGAGAGTCAGATGAGGTTGGATATGTAAAATTGCCCAGCACCATGCCTTGCCCATGGAAGATACTCACAATGGTACCTCTCATTAAATACCAATAGAGGAAAACTTACAGAGGACCAGCGTTGGCTGCAGGAGGGAGAGTGACCGTGGACAAAGGTGGTAGTAATAGTAGTGGTGGTAGTCATGGCATGAGTTATAGAGTGGTGACTACAGGATGGGGGTTCTCCCTGGAGCATTATGTTGCACATTATCTTATTGGGTAAGGCTGAGCTTGTATTGCCTGGATGTTGTCCTCCATGAACTGCTCTTCTTATTCCTTTCCTGCCTTATTTTCTCTATAACACTCAGCACCATTTGACATAGTGTATATTTTACTTATTTGTTCTGTTTATTGCCTGTCTGCCCTACTGGAATGAGTGCTCCTTAAGGGCAGGAACTTTATCTGATTTTATTTTGCTGGTGTTGCCCCAGCAGCTGGAGCACTGCCTGATGCATAGTAGGCATTTGATAAACCTGACAAATGAGTGGGCATTCACGAACTATTTGCGAATGAATGAGCCTCCATTTTACAGAGGACAAAACAGAGGCTTAGTGAGGTTAAGAAACCTGCCCACAAGGCCGGGCACAGTGGCTCACACCTGTAATCTCAGCACTTTGGGAGGCCGAGGCGGGCAGATCACAATGCCAGGAGTTCGAGACCAGTCTGGCCAACGTGGTGAAACCCCGTCTCCACTAAAAATACAAAAATTAGCCAGGTGCAGTGGTGTGCACCTGTAGTCCCAGCTACTCAAGAGGCTGAGGCAGGAGAATAGCTTGTACCTGGGAGGCGGAGGTTGCAGTGAGCTGAGATCATGCAACTGCACTCCAGCCTGGGCAACAGAGCAAGACTCCGTCTAAAAAAAGAAAAATAAAAAGAAACCTGCCCACAGTCACATGGCTAATGAGAGGCAGCCCGACTCCAGAGCCTTTAACCATCATGCAGTGTTGTTTGGTCAGTCTCGATGACCATTTAAAACCAGCTGCAGAGGCAGTGGATCCTTTCTTTGGGTTTTGAGCTTTGAGGTAGAGGTGTGGGTTGAGATGGTATGGTTTAAGATGCCTGCAAGATTTGAAACTACCTGCCGTGGTTTCTCATACCTGCCATGACTTCTAGATTTTCTGTTGTAAAACAGCTGTGAATAACTTAGCACAAGATTTGTGGAGGAATTTTTCTTTGCTGCATCTCCTAGTGTTTCAGAAATGATAAATATTGGGCTAAAAATTCTTGTCCCAGACTGTTTCAGCCCCAGAAAAAGCTTCAGATTCTCTTGGGAGATAGGCCAAGATGGTAAAGGGTAGGCCCCCCAAGTTTTTCATGAAATTTTACTGTTTTCTCTAATTACAAGCAAAAATAGCTTTTAAAAAATTACAAACTACAGAAATATATAATGTATAAATTAAAATTGTCCACGATTACTCTCCCCCCATTGACTATTCCTTTGGTATTTGTTGTTAGGCATATGCTGACACATAGATAACTAAAAACAAACAAAAAAAAAAGACTCATGATAATGTTTTGTAATTTGTTTTTTCACTTAACGTTATACAGGTTAGGCATCCCTTATCTGAAATGCTAGGGGCCAGAAGTGTTTTGTATTTCAGGTTCTTTGTCAGATTTTGGAATACACACATACCTCAGAGATATTTCATGTTCAGTTCTAAAACACCTCAATAGAGCAGATATCACAATAAAGTGAGTCATGCAAATTTTTTGGTTTCCCAATGCATATAAAAGTTTTGTTTACATTATACTGTAGTCTATTAAGTGTGCGATACTATTCTGTCTAAAAAGTGTACATTAATTTAAAAATACTTTATTACTAGAAAGTGCTGTTGATCCTCTGAGCCTTCAGTGAATAATGTTTTTGCTGGTGGAGAGTGTTGCCTCCATATTGTTGGCTGCTGACTGATCAGAGTAGTGGTTGCTGAAGGTTGGCTTGGCTGTGGCAATTTCCAAAGATAAGACAACAATGAAGTTTGACACATTGATTGACTCTTCCTTTCACAAAAGATTTCTCTGTAGTATGTGATGCTGTTTGATAGCATTTTACCCACAGTAGAACTTATTACAAAATTGGACTCAATCCTCTTCAACCCTGCCACTGCTTTATCCACTAGGTTTATGTAATATTCTACATCTTTTGTTGTCATTTCAACAATGTTCGTAGCATCTTCACCAGGAGTAGAATCTATTTCAAGAAACCACTTTCTTCTCTCATCCATAAAAAGCAACAATTCATCCATTCAAGTTCGATCATGAGATGGCCCCATCTTCAGGCTCCACTCTTAATTCTAGTTTTCTTGCTATTTCCACTATACCTGCAATCTAGAACCCCTCAAAGTTATCCATGAGGGTTAGAATCAACTTTGTCCAAACTCCTATTATTATGTATATTTTAACCTCCTCTCATGAATCACGAGTGTTCTTAATGGCATCTAGAATGGTGAATTCTTTCCAGAAGATTTTCAGTTTATTTTGCCCAGATCCATCAGAGGAATCACTATTGATGCAGCCCTGTGAGATTTATTTCTTAATTAAGAAGACTTGAAAGCTGAAATCATTCCTTGATCCATAGGCTAAAGAAGGGGTGCTGTGTTAGCAGGCATGAAAACAACATTCATATTCTTGTACATCTCCGTCATACCTCTTGGGTGACCAAGTGCATTGTCAATAAGTGGTAACATTTTGAAATGAATTTTTTCTTCTGAACAGTAGGTCTCAACAGTGGGCTTATAATATTCAGTAAGCCATGCTATAAGCTTATTTGCTGTCATCCAGGCTTGTTGTTTCATATATACAGCACAATCAGAGTGGACTTAGCATTATTATTAAGGGCCCTAAGATTTTTGAACTGGTCAATGAGCATTAGCTTCAACTTAAAGTCACCAGCTGCATTAGCCCCTAACTGAAGAGTCAGCCTGTCCTTTGAAGCTTTGAGGTCAGGCATTGAGTTCTCCTCTTTAGCTAGTAAGGTACTAGATGGTATCTTCTCTGTTGAAGACTGTTTCACCTACATTGAAAATCTGTTTAGTGTAGCTATCGTCATCAGTGATCTTATGTAGACCTTCTGGACAACTTGTTGCAGCTTTTCCATTAGCACTTGCTGCTTCACCTTGCACTTTTATGTTATGGCGATGGCTTCTTTCCTTAAACCTCATGAACCAACCTCTGTTAGTTTCTAACTTTTCTTCTGCAATTTCCTCACCTCACTCAGCCTTCATAGACCTGAAGAGTTAGGGTCTTGCTCTGGATTAGGCTTTGACTTAAAGGAATGTTGTGGGCTGGTTTGTTTTTCTGTCCAGCCCACTTAAACTTTCCCTGTGTCAGCAATAAGGCTAGGTCACTTTATTTTCATGCATGTGTTGGAGTATCCCTTTAAATTCCTTCAAGAACTTTTTATTTGCATTCACAATTTGGCTAACTGGTGCAAGAGGCCTAGCTTTTGGCCTGTCTTGACTTTCAACGTGTCTTCCTCACTAAGCTTAGTCATCTCCAGCTTTTGATCTAAAGTGAGAGGTGCACGACTCTTCCTTTCACTTGAACACCTAGAAGACATTATACGGTTATTAATTGGCCTAATTTCAATATTGTTTGGTCTCAGGAAATAGACCTGAGAACAGGGAAAAAGATGGGGGAATGGTGGGTCAGTGGAGCAGTTAGAACACACACACATACAACATTTAATGATATTATTTACCATCTTATATGGGTGCAATTCATGATATCCCAAAACAATTACAATAGTAATATCAAAGATTACTGACCATAGATGACCATAATAGATATAATAATAATGAGAAAGTTTGAAATATTGTGAGAATTACCACAATGTGACAGAGACACAAAGTGAGCACAGGCTGTTGGAAAAATGGTGCTGATAGTCTTGCCTAATGAAGGATTGCTATGAACCTTCCATTCGTAAGCATCACAGTATCTGCAAGATGCAATAAGGTGATGCTCAATAAAACATGGTATCTATATTTGCATATGGCTTACCAGTTGAGCATCACTAATCTAAAAATCCAAAACTTGAAATGCTCCCTTGAGCATTTGAGTATCATATTGTCACCCAAAAGTTTTCAGATTTTAGAACATTTTGCATTTTCAGATTGGAGATACTCAACTTGTACCTTGTTCATCCTTCACTGTTGGTCCATATAGCTCACAGTCATCTGAAGTTGTGCTTTATTCCATTGTGTCCTAATTATTTTAACCCACCTCTTCTTGTTGGATACTTTGATTTTTCCATAGCATAAATTCCTAGAAATAAGACTGTTGGATCAAGGAGTGTGCACATTATAAATTTGTACAGTTAATAGCAAATGGTCCTTCTAATGGCTGGATCAGTTGCACTTCCATCAAAAGGGTAGGAGCTCTGAGCTGGGTGCTTGACAGAACCACAAATCCTGCTGAGGACAGGAGCCACATAGCATTCCCAGAGTGTTCACACACCTGCTCTGATATTTTGGGGTTGTAAGTGCTCACAGAGCAGCGAACAGCTCTGATGGCCAAGAGTTGGAGGCAAACCAAGCAAAGTTCCTCCCTCTCTTCCAGGTCTCTAGCATCCTGTTGGGTTTCTCAGGTGCTGACCTTCTGAAGAGTTTCCAGGGGGAGCTGGGTCACCATCTACCCTGGCTGGGTTGGCACAGGGACCACATTTAGTGACAGGAGCAGGGAATTAAGTCATCAGTCTTCACCAGCCAGGATTTGGCGGGAGGAGTAACACAAATTGTCCTGGAAAGCCTGCGTCTGACAGTGGCCCGGGGCTTTGGCAGGTCACAGAATCCTCACACCTTGCTTGGCACTGACAAGGCAGAGTTACCTAACAGGCAGTTTTTCAGAGTCTGAATTCTAGGGTCACCCACAAGTGAGGGCAGCCAGTGCTGGGAAACCTGATCATTTGTTCACACCCACATGACTTCAAAGCAGTCATTTTTTGGATCTTTAAAGGCATCAAAATCAACTGAAGAACTGGCTGAAAATGCAGATTCTTGGGCCTCCCAGAAGTTCTGGTTCACTAGGTCTGGGACAGGACTGGGGAACTTGCAGGTGATTCTGTGATTCTGACACAGCAGTGGTTCCCAGACAACACCCTGAAGTGAGCCTTGGCTGTTGGGTTATGAATTTTTGGGGGCAAAGGGTGGGCTAGTGGGGACATCTACTTGAGACCTGTTAGCAGGTTTTGACTAATGACAGATGATGAGGTAGACAAATCTTGGGTTTAGGTTTCTCTTTCTCTCATTTATGTTCCTTTCTGTCAACAAACTACCCCCTGGTTATCTAGGAACCTCCTAAGTGTTTTCCATTCTGACCTCTCTGGCAGCATTCCATAACTCTTCTTTCCCTCCCTTTTACCCCCTTTATGAAAACTTACTTTGCTAGATAACATTCCCTTTGCAAAGATACTCTGCAGATATTCCTCAACCATAATCCACACTGATCTGATAATGGGTGGTATCTGGAATCAAAATCACAGACTCAGCTGGGAGGAGCTTGGAGCGTCTCTGCTAGAAGTTCAGAAGAAAGCCAAGGTTCAGAGGAGAGAAGTGATTTATTCAGTATCTCACTGGTATTTATGGCAGTGTGCTCTACTTTCCGAGCCAGTCATTCTTTTCTGCTACCCTGGAAAGCACCGTTTATAGCAAATATACAACACATGGAACTTCACAAATGAAAATCAAAGATTTGACTAAGGTGTAAGGTGAGTGGCCTGTCTGCCCAGCATGGGACTAGGGGGCGGCAAGAAACACCCTCCCCCATGGCTACATAATTTAAAGGGGTGCCAAAAAACTTAGCCATCAAGATAAGGAATATTTTAAGCATTAAAATTCATACAAAAAAAATTGTGACTAACAAAAGAATACAATTTGTAAATAAAGACAGGATCTGTTTCACTGATTTTTTTTTTTTCTTTTGCCTTAGGCTCCAGTTTGGCTGAACACAGCCGAGTTACAATAACTGAGACAGAAATTATAAGCAGATATGTTTGGATTTTAACAGGAATCAATGTTGGTAAACCACTATTTCTCAAAACATGTTTATGAGTCAGGGTGGGGCTGGGTAGAGAAGGGGTTCTGTTTCCAAAGTATGGAAAACAATGCATTTTCTATCTTCTTTCTGAAAATTCCTACTGCACTGAAGCCTGTTTTTGAGAAGTGCCGTAGAAATTCCCAAACCTAATTTCCCACCCAATCGTTTTTTTGCATAATCCAGAGAGGATAGTTTGGAAAGGCTTCCTTTAGCTCACGAGCTGGATTGATATAAAGATTTGCAAGGTGGGAGGAAAGAGATTTGAGGGCCCTGGAGGACTCTCCAGGTACTCAGCTCCTACCAGGTAAGCAGCTGCTTATTCCATCTGTGCAGAGGGGGAGCCCAGCCAAACCCACGTTGCCTCAGGAAGCCAGACGAAGGGCACAGGCTGGCTGAGACAGAGATTGGAGACCAAGAGCAGGAAAAGAAGTTTTCATGGCCCTGTTCAAGGTCTTTATGCTTTCCAAGAATTCAGTCCTGGCTTTGTTGTTTGTTGGCAGAGACAGGATAATGGGTTCGTGGCAGCTTCACTTTTGCTGAAGGGAGAAGTAGGACACGGCATAGTGCAAAGCCGTGCTTTCTCTCCCTATTCCTGAGGTTCCCTAGCTGCCTGGCCAGAAGCCTGGGAGTGTGGCATGCTCAGGTACAGCCCCTGGTTGGTCTCTATGATATATGCCTTCCTGGATATGTTATGAGAAACAAGGGGAGCTAGGCTTTCTTTCCACACTCATGAGATAAAGGAAAGCACCCCAGACCCTTTGCTGTTCCAAATGTGGTCTGTGGACCAGTATCTTCTAGAAGCTTGTCAGAGATTCAGAATCTCAGACTTAGTGGATTCAGATTTTCATTTTAAGAAGATCCCTGGGCGACTTGCATGCTTCTGAAGCTTGAGAAGAGGTTGCCTTAGAGTCTGGAGACCTGCTTTGATTCTTGCCTCCATCACTGACTCCTACCCTCACCCATGACCTTGGGCAAGGTGCTCATCTTTTTTCTGTTTTCAGTTCCTTATCTGCCAAACGAAGGTCCATCTGCTGTCTTTCCAGATTTCCGGAAGCACCAGTGCATTTTATGCTCTTAAAAAGTATAAAGAGCTCTATAAATGCAAGTTAATAATACAAGCAGTAATGATTATCTGAAAACTTAATTCTTACCTAAGACCTTTATTCCATAGCTTCTATTTTATTAGAAGTTGACTTTTTCTTATAATTTCAACTTTTATTTTAGATTCAGGGGGTACATGTGCAGGTTACCTGGGTGTAGTACGTGATGCTGAGGTTTGGGGTATGATTCCTCCTGTCACCCAGGTACTGAGCATAGTACCCAATAGTTAGATTTTCAAACCTTGCTTCCTTCCCTCCTTCCCCTCTAGTAGCCCCCATGTCTCTTGTTGCCATCTTTACATCCGTTGAGTACCCAGTGTTTACCTCCCACTTACAAGTGAGAACATGTGGTAATTCGTTTTTTGTTCCCACCTTAATTCACTTGGGAAAATGGCCTCCAGCTGTATCGATGCTGCCACAAAGGACATGATCTCATACTTTTTTATGGCTGCATCATATTCCATGGTGTACATGCCCCACATTTTCTTTATCCAGTCCACCATTGATGAGCATCTAGGTTGATACCATGTCTTTGCTATTGTAAACAGTGCTGTGATGAACATATGAGTGCATGTGTCTTTTTGACAGAATGTTTTATTTTCTTTTGGATATATACCCGGTAATGGGATTGCTGGGTTGAATGGTAGTTTGGTTTAAGTTCTTTGAGAAATCTCCAAGCTGCTTTTCACAGTGGCTGAACTCACTTACATTTGCACCAATCGTACATAAGTGTTCTCTTTTCTCCACAGCCTCACCAGCATCTGTTGTTTTTTGACTTTTTAATAGTAGCCATTCTGACTGGTATGAGATAGTATCTCATTGTGCTTTTGACTTGCATTTCTGTGATGATTAGTGACGTTGAGAATTTTTTCCTATGTGTGTTGGTAGCTCGTATGTGTTCTTTTGAGAAGTGTCTTTTCATGTTTTTTGCCCATTTCTTTCAACTTTTATTTTAAGTTCACAAAGTTACATGCAAACATTTGTTATGTAGGTAAACTTGTGTTATGGGGGTTTGTTGTACAGATTATTTCATCACCCAGCTATTAAGCCTAGTACCCGTTAGTTATTTTTCATGATCTTCCTCCTTCTACCCTCCACCCTCCAATAGATCCCAGTGTGTGTTGTTCCCCTCCATGTGTCCATGTGTTCTCATCATTTAGCTCCCACTTATAAGTAAGAACATGTAGTATTTGATTTCCTGTTTCTGTCTTAGTTTGCTAAGAATAATGGCCTCCAGCTCCATCCATGTCTCTGTAAGGGACGTGATCTCATTCTTTTTTATGGCTGCATAGTATTCTATGGTGTATATGTACCACATTTTCTTTATCCAGTCTATCATTGATGGTTATGCAGATTGATTCCATGTCTTCGCTAGTGTGAATAGTGCTCAATAGACATAAACACCTGCATCTTTCTTTATAATAGAACAATTTATATTTATTTGGATATAATATTTATTTGCTGGGTTGAATGGTATTTCTGTTATTAGGTCTCTGAGGAATTACCACACTGTCTTCCACAGTGGTTGAACTAATCGACACCCTCACCAAGAGTGTACAAGCATTCTTTTCCTCTGCAACCATAATCCATATTTTTTTTGCCTTTTTAAGAATAGCCAGCATCAGTAATTTTTTGCCTTTTTAGTAATAGTCATTCTGATGGGTATGAGATAGTTATCTCATCATGGTTTTGAGTTGCATTTCTCTAATTATCAGTGATGTTGAGTTTTTTGCATGATTACTGGCCACATATATGCCTTCTTTTGAAAAGTATGTGTTCATGTTCTTTGCCCACTTTTTAATGGGGTGGTTTGGTTTTTTTCTTGCAAATTTGTTTAAGTTCCTTATAGATGTTGGATATTAGACCTTTGTGAGATGCTTAGTTTGCAGAAATGTTCTCCTTTTCTGTAGGTTGTCTGTTTACTCCATTGATAGTTTCTTTTTGCTGTGCAGAAGCTCTTTAGTTTAATTAGATCCCATTTGTCAATTTTTGCTTTTGTCGCAATTGCTTTTGGTGTCTTCATCATGAAATCTTTGCCCGTGCCCATGTCCTGAATGATATTGCCTAGGTTTTCTTCAAGGTTTTTATAGTTTAGGTTTTTACAGTTAAGTCTTTAATCCATCTTGAGTTAATTTTTGTGTAAGGAAGGAGTCCAGTTTCAATTTTCAGCATATGGCTAGCCAGTTATCCCAGCACCATTTATTTAGCAGGCAATCCTTTCCCCATTACTTGTTTTTGTCAGGTTTGTCTAAGATCAGATAGCTATAGGTGTGTGGCCTTACTTCTGTGTTTCCTATTCTGTTCCATTGGTCTATGTGTCTGTTTTTCTACCAGTACCATCCTGCCTTGGTTACTGTAGCCCTGTAATATAGTTTGAAGTTGGGAAATGTGATGCCTTCTGCTTTGTTCTTTTTTGCTTAGGATTGTCTTGGCTATTTGGGCTCTTTTTTGTTTCCATATGAATTTTCAAGTAGTATTTTCTAGTTCTGTGAAGAATCTCAGTGGTAGTTTAATAGAAATAGCATTGAGTCTATAAATTACTTTGGGCAGTATGGCCATTTTCATGATGTTGATTCTTCCTGTCAATGAGCATGGAATGTGTTTTCACTTGTTTGTGTCATCTCTAATTTATTTGAACAGTGGTTTGAAGTTCTCCATGTAGAGATCTTTCACCTCCCTAGTCAGCTGTATTCCTAGGTAATGTATTCTTTTTGTGGCAATTGTGAATGGGAGTTCATTTCCGATCTGGCTTTTGGCTTGACTATTGTTGGTATATAGGAATGCTAGTGATTTTTCCACATTGATTTTTGATCCTGAGACTTTGCTGAAGTTGTTTATCAATTTAAGAAGCTTGTGGGCTGGGACTGTGGGATGTTTTAGATATAGGATCATGTCATCTGCAAACAGGGATGATTTGACTTTCCCTCTTCCTATTTGGAGTGCCTTTTATTTCTTTCTCTTGCCTGATTGCCCTGGCCAGGACTCCTAATACTATGTTGAATAGGACTGGTGAGAGAGGGCATCCTTGTCTTATGCTGGTTTTCAAGGGAATGCTTCCAGCTTTTGCCCATTCAGTATGGTGGTGGCTATGGGTTTGTCATGGATGGCTCTTATTATTTTGAGGTATGTTCATTAAGTACCTAGTTTATTGAAAGTTTTTTACATGAGAAGATGTTGAATTTTATCAAAATCCTTTTCCACATCTATTGTGATAATCATATGGTTTTCGTCTTTAGTTCTGTTTATGTGAGGCATCACATTTATTGATTTACATATGATGAATCAAACTTGTTCCCAAGGATAAATAAAGTCTACTTGTTTGTGGTGGATAAGCTTTTTGATGTGCTGCTGGATTCGGGTTGCCAGTAATTTTTTAAGAATTTTTGCATCAATGTTCATCAAGGATGTTGGCCTGACTTTTTGTTGTTGTTGTTGTATCTCTACCAGGTTTTGGTATCAGGATGATGCTGGCCTCATAGAATAAGTTAGGGAGGAGTCACTCCTCCTCAGTGTTTTGGAATAGTTTCAGTAGGAATGATACCAGCTCTTCTTTGGACACCTGACAGAATTCAGCTGTGAATCCATCTGATCCTGGGCTTTTTTTGGTTGGTAGGCTATTTATTACTGCCTCAATTTCAGAGCTCATTATTGGTCTGTTCAGGGATTCAATTTCTTCCTGGTTCATTCTTGGAAGGGTGTATGTGTCCAGACATTTATCCATTTCTCCTAGATTTTCTAGTTTATGTACATAGAGGTGTTCATAATATTCTCTGATGGTTGTTTATATTTCTGTAGGGTAAGTGATAATATCCTTCTTGTCATTTCTGATTGTGTTTATTTTAATCTTCTCTCTTTTCTTATTAGTCTAGCTAGTGGTCTATCTATTTTATTATTTTTTTCAAGAAAACCAGCTCCTGGATTCATTGATCTTTTGAATGGCTTTTTTGTGTCTCAGTCTCCTTCAGTTCAGCCCTAATTTTGATTATTTTGTGTCTTCGGCTAGTTTTGGGATTTCTTTGCACTTGATTCTCTAGTTCTTTTAGTTTTTATATTAAGTTGTTAACTTGAGATCTTTCTAACTTTTTGATGTGAACATTTCAGTGCTATAAGTTTCCTGCTTAACACTGCCTTAGCTGCATCCCAAAGATTCTGATATGTTGTATCTTTGTTGTCATTACTTTCTAAGTACTTCTTCATTTCTGCCTTAATTTCATTATTTACCCAAAAGTCATTCAGCAGCAGGTTATCCAATTTCCATGTAATTGTATGGTTTTGAGTGAATTTCTTAGTCTTGATTTCTAATTTGATTGTGCTGTGGTCTGAGAGATTGTTTGTTATGATTTCAGTTCTTTTGCATTTGATGAGGAGAATTTTACTTCTGATTGTGTGATCTATTTTAGAATATATGCCATGTGGTGATGAGAAGAATGTGTATTCTGTTTTTTTGGGTGGAGAGTTCTATAGATATCTATCAGGTCTGCTTGATCCAGAGCGGAGTTCAGGTCCTGAACATCTTTGTTAATTTTTTCTTGATGATCTGTCTAATATTGTCAGTGGGGCTGTAAATCCTGCCACTATTATTGTGTGGGAGTCTAAATCTCTTTGAAGGTCTCTAAGAACTTGCTTTTTGAATCTGGGTGCTCCTGTGTTGGGAACATATATATTTAGGATAGTGAGATTTTCTTGCTGAATTCCACCCTTTACCATTACATAATGCCCTTCTTTGTCTTTTTTGATCTTTGTTGGCTTAAACTCTGTTTTGTCAGAAACTAGGATTGCAACTCCTGCTTTTTTCTGTTTTCCATTTGCTTGGTAGGTTTTTCTCTATCTCTTTATTTTGAGCCTGTGTGTGTCTGCATGGGAGATGGGTCTCTTGAAGACAGCATAATAATGGGTCTTGGTTCTTCATGCAGCTTGCCACACTGTGTCTTTTAATTGGGTCATTCAGCCCATTTACATTTAAGGTTAGTACTGATATGTGTAGATTTAATCCTGTCATCATTATGTTAGCTGGTTATTTTGCAAACTTGTTTATGTAGTTTCTTTACAGTGACACTGGTCTGGGTACTTCAGTGTGTTTTTACAGAGGCTGGTAATGGTCTTTCCTTTGCAAATTAAGTACTTCCTTCAGGAGCTCTTGTAAGGCAGGTCTAGTGGGAACAAATTCCCTCAGCATTTGCTTGTCTGAAAAGGATCTTATTTCTCCTTTGCTTATGAATCTTAGTTTGGCCGGATATGAAATTCTGGGTTGGAATTTCTTTTCTTTAAGAATGTTGAATATTGGCCCCCATTCTTTTCTGGCTTACAGGGTTTCAGCTGAGAAGTCTGCTGTCAGTCTGATGGGCTTCCTTTTGTAGATGACCTGATCTTTCCCTCTAGCTGCCTTTAACATTTTTTTCTTTTATTTTGACCTCAGAAAATCTTATGATTATGTGTACTGGGGATAATCTTCTTTTGAAGTATCTTAAGAATGTTGGCCTCTCTAGCTAGGTTGGGGAAGTTCTCATGAATGATATCTTGAAGTATGTTTACTAAGTTGGTTCCATTCTCCCCATCTCTTTCAAGGACACCAATCAGTCATAGATTTGGTCCCTTTACATAATCCCATATTTCTCAAAGGTTTTGTTTATTCCTTTTCATTCTTTTTTTTTTCTATTCTTGTCTGCCTGTCTTATTTCAAAAAGCCAGTCTTCAAGCTCTGAGATTCTTTTCTCCAGTTACTCTATTCTATTAATACTTGTGATTGTGTTGTGAAATTCTTGTAATGGGTTTTTTTAGCTCTCTAAGGTCAGTTATGTTTTTCTCTATATTGGCTATTTTGTCTGTCAGCTCCTGCATTGTTTTATCATCATTTTTAGCTTCCTTGCATTGGGTTTCAGTGTACTGAGCTCAATGATCTTCATTCCTATCCATATTCTGAATTTCATTTCTGTTATTTTAGCTATCTTAGCCTCAGCCCAGTTATGATTCCTTGCTGGAAAGGTGATGCGGTTGTTTGGAGGAAAGAAGGCACTCTGGCTTTTCGTATTTTCAGCATTCTTGCCCTGATTCTTTCTCAAATTTGTGGGCTTATCTACCTTCAATCTTTGAGGTTGCTGACCTTTGCATGGTTTTTTTTTTTTTCTTAATCCTATTTGATGACTTTGAGGGTTTGATTTTGGTATGAGATGGATTCAGCTGACTGGCTTCATTTTGGGGAGATTTTAGGGGGCCAACACCCAGCTCCCAACTGCTAGACTGTGCTCTTACTCTGGGGGACTTGTATTGGGCCCCAGCTTTGTTATCTGGCTCTGCGACATTTGGAGTCCACTGCACTGGAGGTGCCAAGGTGTGGCAGCTGTAACAGTGCTAGCAGATGCAGGGGTGCCTACCTCCCTGTGGGTGTTCACCACAATGACAGAGGCAGCATAGCTGGGTGGAGTGGGGGGCCCCTGCTGGAGATTATGTGTGTGGTTGTACTGGATATGGTATTGGCTTGGGGCAGGGTGCTGGCTGGGGCAGGTTTGGGTGCCTTCTCTGTGCCCTGCAAGCAGGAGTGATCCCTGAGGGTGTGGGGGTGTCCGCTGTTCTCTGTGCAGTATTAGTATAAGGGCAGGGTGCTGGCAGGGGCAGGGCTTGCTGGCTTTATGCCCACCAAAGCTCCATCTGCAGTGGTGGCTGGGGGCTGGGTGGGTGCAGACTACACTCCAGTGTGCTGGCAGGGCAAGGAAAGCAAAACCTATCTGTGCAGACATGTGCCAGCAAAGTGATGTAGGGCATTGCCATGGGCCCCGGGGAAGCTGCAGTATGGGGAGGGAGCATGTGCATGGCTGTATAGGCCACACCTCACTGGACTTCTCCACCAGTCAGGCAAGGTTCACTGGCACAGAAGCTATGCTGTGGGCCCCCAAGGTACCCAAGACTGCCCTCTAAGCAGGTGTGGCCAGGCTGGGGCCCCAGAAGAGGCCAACAGACTAAGGGGTGCACAGGTCAGACCAGCCCCATCTGATGTGCAAGACCACCCTTCAGCGATCAGGTCCAACAGTTCTTCTAGGGCTAAAGTCTCTTATGGGAACAAGTTGAGTCTAGGGGAATGGCCACCCCTGCCCGTGCTGCACTGCAGACACCCCCACAGCAAACCCTCTGGGCTACACATCAGCTGGCTTGTTGCCCCAACACTTCCCTAAGCAGCCCTCCCTGCCACCTCAAGTGTCCATGGTGGTCAAGGGGTCCCCCTCCTTCTAGGGTTCCCAAGGCCTGTGACAAGAGCAGGTTGCTCCTTGCCAGTTCAACTCACCCATTCCCCCTGAGCTGTTGTTGTTCAAAAGTGAGTCCTGCTGCAGGGTAGCCCATGCAGGGTTCCCAGATTTCTATGTCTTGCCTCCATCCATTCTCAGTGCCCTCCTTCTGAAGATCTGTTAAAAGCATGCCAGTCATCTCAGTCCCTCCTTGGGAGCTGTTCCACTTGTCTCCGTCTAGTCAGCCATCTTGCCTTCTCCCCCTTTGCTCATTTTTTAATGGAGCTGTTTTTTGCTTATTCAGTTAAGTTCTTTATAGATTCTGTATATTAGGCCTTGTCTGATGCACAGTTTGAAAATATTTCCTCCCATTCTGTGGGTTGTCTATTTACTCTGTTGGTAGTTTATTTTGCTGTGCAGAAGCTCTTTAGTTTAATTAGGTCCCACTTGGAGGTTAACTTTTTTTGAGAGCCCAAAACTTTGTCTGTCCTGTAACTACATCACATTTGCACCCATTCATTGATTAATTCAGTTATCCTTCCATTTATTTATCCCCACCCTTTATTATCCTTCATACCATACACCCATCCATTTAAAAATTATTCCATCTTCTTGTCCATTGTACCCATTTATCCATCTGTCAGCCAATCTAGTAATTGGTTCTGTTGTACATGAGGTCATGAACTGCTGTCCCACAAATGGCACTTTATCAACCCCCACCTGTAGAGAAGGGAGATCTTGAGAAGCAAAGATCCCAAGCCTAAAGGAGTACATTGTATTTTGCCTCTTAAATCCATAAACCACTTTTATCCAAACATCTAACCCACCTCATCAAGTTGGCTGAGACCAGTGGGAAATGCATATGTCTAATGGGGAAAGGAGGGGTGTGGACAGGCAGGTATAATAAATGTGTAAATTTGGCCAAGGGTAAGAGCATAGGTGATAAAGGTCCTGGTGTATCCCAACTTAAAAAGGCAAAAGGAAATTTAACCCTTGAGATTAAATAAAAAAGCTTAGTGTGTTGGCCACCAGGTGGAACCATGTGTGCCAGCCATACAAGTCTAGTGTATGAGACGTGCCGTTGAGGAAGTGTGTGTGTGTTGGGATAGGGGATTGTGAGTTCTGCATGTTTACCTTTTACATTGTCATGAGTGCATTCTTGCCTCTCAGTTATAATTTCTCATAAACATTATATAGCTGTATAACAAATAGAAATATGCAAAAATCACAAGTGACACCTCAGTGAATTATTACACTGATGGTACCATCTCCCAAGTCAAGCAATAGGCAGTGCCAGTAACCTAGAAGCTCCCTCATGCCCCCTCCCAGCCGCTGCTCTTCCTTCCTCTCCAAAGTAAGCACTATTCTGACATCTAACAGCATAGATGATTTGGGGTGGATTTTAACTTTCTATAAATGGGATATACTGTACATGTTATTTTATATCTGGTATCTTTTACTTTATGAGATTCATCCATGTTGTTGCATGTAATTCATATTTATACAATAGAAAACTATACATTAATAAAAAGGACTGTTTTCATTGCAGCTGCTGGTTAGAAGCTGGGGAGTGTCACTGGATCTGTACTTCTCTCTGCCTCCTGCCCCCTCAAATCTCTGACTGCTAGCACTCTGGCCACATTCCTTTTACTTTTTGTATTCACAGTAATAAAAGGCAGGAGGTGGGAGAAGAGTTCTCAAGTAGCTTCTGTATGACCTTGGGCAAATCATCCAAACTCCCTTTTCCCACTTAGAAAGATTGTATAACAATGCCCAGCAATTTCATATATGACAACATGCGTAAAAGTGCTTTAAAAGTGACAGATAAATATGGAGTAAAGGACAGTAAGAAGATTGAACATTTCATTGGTGTCCCCGCACCAGCACTGTTCTAAGTACTTTGTGTTTTAACCCATTTAATACCTTCTCCCTTAGGTTGTATGATTATTCCCATTTCACAGATGAGGGAACTGAGCACAAAAGAGTCCAGGCCTGCCTGAGAAGGCACAGCTTCAAGGGACAGAACTGGAAGGTGAACTCCAAAGCCAATGCTTTCACCAGTCCCCTGTGCTGCCTCTCAGTTACTTTTTATAATTTTGCCAGCAGCACATGAAAGACACTTTTTTTTTTTTTTTTTTTTTTTTTGAGATGGAGTCTGTCTGTCTCCCAGGCTGGAGTGCAGTGGCACGATCTCGGCTTACTGCAAGCTCCGCCTCCTGGATTCACGCCATTCTCCTGCCTCAGCCTCCCGACACTTTTAAAACCCAGAGTGGACTAGGAAGAACCTCCGTGTGGCTCCTTTTCACCTTCTGAGCCTCATTCCTGCTGCTGTCCTCCTTGCTCACAATGTTCCAGTGTCATTGCCCCTCTGCTACATCTTAGAGCTCGTGGCACCTTCTCTAGTACAAAATATTCTTGCTCCCTCTGCCTGGAACACTTTTCCCTGCCCTTGGCTGGGTGGGCTCCTTCTCATCCTTTAGGTCTCCCCATAGTCATCACCAACACAGAGTTCTTTTCCAGCACTCAAAGTAGGTCCAGTCTTTATTCTCTGCCATAGCATCCCCTTTATTTCCTTCCTAGTGATTATTATCTGTAACGGTCACCTTGCTATGCTGACTTGGTTATCTGTTCTCCCTGCACTAGGTCATATCCTTCTACGTTGTCCTCTTAAAGGGCCTTGTTCACAGTTGTGCTCCCAGTGCCTGGCAATAGCAGGGCTTTGTCAAAGATCTTTGAAGCAACTCAGTGGGTCCCCAGGTTCTTGGCTGCCCACTCTCTACCACTTGGGAGCCATTTAGCTTTTGTCCTCCTGTAGTCAAGTGTTTCCCAAGTAAATACAGCATGGTCTGCTTGTTGACCCAGACTAATGGGTTCTAGAAAGCAGCATGGGGTCAGTGTAAACCCAGAGCAAACTCTGGCAAAAAAATCTTCAACTGGTCTGAATTTGTTGTGTATCCTTTCAATTAGCAATATGCTTTGTGGCAATACAACCAGAATCCCCCATGGAGCTGAGTGGTACTAGTTAAAACTGACTCCACATGATTCTGGAAGATGTCCCTTCCTGGTTTCCTCCTTCACTTTTACAAGTGGTTTTAGTTAAAATTGACTCCATCTTTATTGGGGTCACTGATTTATCCGGAAGTTAATAGGATGAGCAAGGAAAGGGATAGAAGGTAAGAAACCTCCAATCCACACTCAAGTTTTTATCTGACTTGTCCTTGTAACTGTACTGGGTCTGTCAGAGAAGTGATTCTAGTCCCATTATAATGCTTGTCACTCCCCAACCTCCAGTTCAAAGGCAAGTCCCTAGAATGAATGCTGCTAAAAAACAAAGCCGCTATTGTTGGGAAAACCAAGATCAGTCCATGACCCTCTTTGGAAGCAGCTGGTTGTAAAGAGGCTGTTATTTAGTTTGGGCCTAAACAGCCCATGCCTGACTGAGAGGGAAGGCAGGCCAAGCCTGGGGGTGGGAGTGTGAAGTAAGAAGTTATGCACACTCCCCTCCTCCCCCACCCCTGCCCCAGGGCTTGGCCTCCCCTTTCCCTTTCCCTTCCCCAGTGCAGCTGGCAGAGGAAATCATTCCTTAGACTACCAGCACTGATCCTGGTAGCACCAGAGCAGATGACAGATGTGTAACTGACTGCAAGCCAACTTGTGATCTGCTGATCACCTGAGACCTGCTAGATAGGCCAGTGGCTGGAGTAAGGAAGTAAAAGAGATACATCAAAAACTCAGGATTTCAAAAGCTTCAAACCTGCCAGGAAAATTAGACAGCAAAGGCCTTAACTGGGGAGTTCTTGATAGCCACTGAGAGAAAGGAATGTGAATTTTCTGAGAAGAGTTTAGAGAGAAAATAACTTTTAGAGTTCCCCAGTTTTGGGGACATACCACACCCAACCAGGCAGAGCCCTGATAATCCTTCTCTAGAAAGAAGGAGCGGCAACCCCCATCGTGACGAGGCTCCTGTCTGCAGGATGGGGTAGAGCAGGTTTAACTCACTCCAACAACTGGGTGGACAGGAACAGAGCTCCCCTTGGGCTATGGTCAAGCAGCAGGTGGAGGACAGGATCTGTTAGAGCAGCGGTCCTCAGTTGGGGGCGATTTTGCCCTCCAGGGACATTTGGCACTGTTTGGAGACATTTCGGGGCTGTCACAACCAGAGGGATGTGTGACTGGCATCTAGTGGGTAGAGTCCAGAGATACTGCTGAACATCCTGAAGTGCACAGGACAGCCCACCAAACAAAGAATTATCCAGCCCGAAATGTCAGTAGTACTGAGGTTGGGAAACCCTGAATTAGAGTCTCTGAGAGTGTGAGGGTCTTGTTTCCTGGAGTAGAAGCACCCTTGTGTTGCAAAGAAAATCGTCCTTGAAACTCCCATCATCTTGGTGTTCCTCTAACTCTCATGAACATGAGAATCACCAGGGATCTCGTTCAAATGTGGATTTGAATTCTGCAAGTCCGGTGAGGGCCTGAGAGTCTGCAACCAGCTCCCAAGGGATGGCATCGTGGCTGGTCCACAGATCACACTTTCGAGTGCATTCATATTGTCCCACTCTCCTCTTTCTGTCCCCACCCCCAGCCTTCTTTGTCATACTCTGTTTGAGCCATTCCATGCCCTGTCACCAAGAAACATGTGGTGGCGTTTAAGCTCCACTGCCCAGATGACAGTATCTCTCCAGCTGTTGCCAATTTGAAGTTCGGGATGTTGAGGAAATCGATTGACTTAGTTGGAGAAAGGATCCCAAGGGACCTGATCAAGCTACCGCCACACATGCTTCAAACAAACAAATATGTACCTTGGGACACTTTTTGCACGGTCTGAGAGGCTTCAACTGTGTAGCGCCCATGACTTCGGGGCTGTTCAGGCTTGCCGCAGCATGCTAAACCAGAGGTTGACAACCTGTGTCTATAAAGGGCCAGAAAGTAAATATTTGAGGCTTTGCAGGTCATACAGTCTGTCACAACTCCCCAAATCTGGAAAGCAATCACCAACAACATGCAAATGAATAGGTGTAGTTGTGTTTGAATACAAATTTATTTACAAAAACAGGCAGTAAGCTGGATTTGGCCCATTGCCACTGTAGTTTGCAAACCGCTGTTCTAAACAATTCCATTTTCTCCATGTTTCTATCTCAGCAAAAAAGAAAATAAAAATCATATAGGAAAGACCCTAATGAAAGGGAGCTACGTCATCAGTATAAGTTGTAAATGTCTGGAGGACATGGTTGAATAGATACTATTTCCTTTACTGCACAGAAATGTGAAATATGAATGCTTAAAAAAGTTATTTTTTGAAAGGCTCTGGAGTGCAGTGGTGTCATCATAGCTCACTGTAACCGTGATCCTACTGCCTCAGCCTCCCCAGTAGCTGGGACTATAGGTGCACACCACTATGCCTGGCTAATTTTCTGTTTTTTGTTTTTGTAGTTAGGGGGTCTTAGTATGTTTCCAGGGCTGGTCTCATACTCCTGGGCTCAGGAGCTCCTCCCACCTCAGCTTCCCAAAGCGCTGGGCTTATAGGAGTGAGCCACCGTGCCTGGTAATGTATCTTTGAAGTTGGCAGAAACACAGCTCTCTGTCTTCTGGTGCGGAGTGGGATAAGACAGGACAATAAATAAGGAACAGAAAGATGTGCCTAAAGTCTGCCGTTCAATCTTAGTCTTTTTCTTCTTTCTGGACTTGCATGCATACATTTTGCCCACAAAGACATGTGGGGGAGGGGAGCCAGCAAATATTTTCTTTCCGTTCCATCAGACCTTGAGCATTCTTTGAAGAACATTGATTTTCTCGCAGAGGCCAGTTTCTGTGAGACCTCCTATTTGTAGAGAGGGAAACATTTCTCAGACAGAAATGCCAGTGTACCATAGAATGCCCCAAATGCACCTTCATGCTGGCAGTTAAACCACAGAGAACCACAGGCTGAATTGGATGCTGACCTCTCTTTGTAGAAGCACAGCCAAGGATCTTAAGGGAACCTGCACCCCTGTGGTGCATGGACATTTGCGTAGCTCCCAGTCACACTGACCCTTGGGATATGGATAAATCACTGCGTTTAACTCTATCATCACCCTGAGCACCTCTCATAAAGCCTGCATTATTTGGCAGGGAAAAACCCTCTCTGTTAATTAAGAAAACAGAGCTCTGCTTGAGAGGGAAATGACCTGATATCTGTGTCTCCTTGCCATCAGGTGGGATTCTTCTGCCAGATCCTCCAGAGGATGTAGGGGTACTGATACTGCCCTGGACTATGTGCTGCAGCCAGAGTTCTCTGGCAAATTTAGCTTGCAGCTCCCACCTCCCTATCACACATGTGCTTGAGCACGCACACACAGACACACACACACCCCATGGCTTAAACAACAAGAAAAGAAAAATGTGTTTATTACAGGAGAGTAAGGGCATGTTAGAGCCCCATTAGGTTGGATTCTATTGATTTGCATTATTTTGACACTGTGTCGTGTTCAGCACAGACAAATGGAGTGAAGAGTTGAGCTTCGTCTGTGTAGAGGAGGAATCCCAGCCACGGTTTGGAGGCACAGATAATTTACAACAGTGGCTGGCGTTCAAGTGGATATCAGTGCATCAGGCCCTGTTTCTCAAATTCATTAATCCATACAATCATGCATTCAATGATATTTGTTTGCCTGTAACATATTTGAGTCTTTGCAGGTCATACAGTCTGTCACAACTCCCAACTCCAGAAAGCAACCCTCGACAATATGCAAATGAATAGGTGTGGTTGTGTTCCAATACAACTTTATTTAGAAAAACAGGCAGTGAGCGGTGAGCTGGATTTGGTTCACTGGCCATTGCAGTTTGCAAACTCCTGTTCTAAACAGCTCCATTTTCTTCATGTCTCTGCCCCAGCACATAAATAATAAATAATATAGGAAAGACCCTACTGAAAGGGAGCTAAATCATCAGTATGAGTTGTAAATGTCTGGAGGGCATTCACAGTCTTGAGGCATGCTTTCTTTCCTTGGGGAATTTTAGGCCTTACTAAACCTTCTTCCTGCATACTGAATACCAGGTATGAGGTCAGGGCTAGCAAACAGGAGCACAGTTTCTGCCCTCTTGGAGCTGCTGATCTGTCAAGAAGACAGAGATGAAACAACAACTACACAGATGCACCATAGTCATGATGAACCTTAAAAAGGAAAGATATATTTTTCCTCATCTAATCATCACTACAGCTTTAGTACTCACTTCCTGTCATTATGCCCATCTTACTGATGCATCTCAAGAGGTTTACAAATTTCCCCAAGTCACCCAGCCAGAAAGTAGCTCTCCAGTTCTGTTCGTAGTTAGAGGGGAAAGGAGTGCTTCTCAAGTTGGAGTGTGACCTGTGACAGTACAGTTCCATCTTGGGGACAGTATCAGCTGCTAATTTAAACACATCAACAGAGCTGTGATTAGTAAGGAGAAAACATTTCTGCAGTGCAGGGAGCTCATTATAAATCACGTGTACTTTGACTTTAAAATTGGAGAAACCCCAGATGGTGGGCTATATAATGAATCACCAGAGATGGAGATTGACAGGTGTGATCATGGTATTTTTTTCTGGATGTTTGGAATCCCACCCATGTGGATCACAGCACTGACCCACTCCAGGTTGGAGGGTGGTTGCTTTTTTCCAAGCTGTGGGTAACATGAGAATCCATTTACGTTTATTCCATGAGTATGTATTGAGCACCAAAGGGTACTGGGCACTGCTAGCTCTGCAAGAATACAGTGAAGAGTAGGGAGAAGATCCTGGCTCCCAGGGGATTCATTCAGCTACAAACTTACATATGACCTTAATAAGTCAGGGTGAGTAGTTTAAAAAAGGGTCAAGTGCAATAGTGAGTGGTTGGCCAGAAGACAACTAACTTTGCTACTTTAGAAGGAGTGTTCAGAAATGACACTGCTGAGGAGGTGACATCTACACGAGGACTTTAACAAACAGAAGTCAGGCATGCAAAGGGAAGAGTTTTCCAAGGCCTGCTGGAATAAGCTTATTGTTGTGTTTGGGGAGACAGGGAGGAATGTAAGCACAGCTGAAGCAGAGTTAAGCGAGGAGGAGTGTTTAGTTGATTATCTTGGAGAAAGAGAAGAGAGCCAAGTCACGTAGGGCCTTAAGGTCTGCGTAAGGATTCTAGATTTTGCCAGTAATGAAAGTAACCACAGAACTACCCTTTCTAGAGGCAAGTACACAGTTATTGCTCATCTTTGGTCAACATTGGCCTTTCTGTTCATGCCCTGCATGCAAGAAGACCCTGGAGGAAAATCTGAGTTAATGAATCAGAAGAGAGGCATTTCTCCTCTCTAGAGTGAGCAGGTAGTATTTCCAGTCCCACCCACACATAGTCCAGGGGAATGAATGGCTTACATTTAGGTGAAACTGATAGTAGATGCTGGGCTTGTGCAACAGGACCCTCCTGCTCTGATCAAGCTCTTTTGTTTTTCAAGGGGGTGCCTCAGGTTATCCCGAGCTTTCCCGGGATGCAGAAGCCTGATACCAGAAGGCAGTACACCTCCCAGCAGAATAGAAGCTGCTCTTCTTCGAGGTCACCTCCTCACGGAAATAGGAATCTGTTCACAAGCAGGATGCTCTCAAAAACATTTCACTTCTGGGCTTATGAAAGACAGGTTCGGGAAAACAGCATGCTGGGGAATTAATAGTATTTGCTAAGTTATTTATGCTGACCCTAATTCTACTCAAGAGCTAGGTTGGAAAGCCCTGCAAAGATCATTGTGTCCACCTTTTGTTTCTAGACATGAGTTTGAAGATGTTTTCTTTCCTTTCTTACTAGAGTTCATCCACTCAAACCACTCATTCATCATCTTAGGTTGTTATCCTCTCCTCTCTGCTTTCATATTGGGGAGGCTCTGGAAGTGATTAGGCTGTTGTAAATCGGCTTTTATGATTTGTATGTAAGAGATAAGCAGCAGAGTAAGCAAGCGATTGGAGGCCCCAGCTGCTATTGCCCTGACAGTTATCCCAGGAACGAAATTGAAACAAAAAATTACTGGAGTATATGATATTTAGCTGATTAATTTCTTTATAGGCATATCCAATGTTAAAATTTGACCCTTTAACAAACATTGTTTTATTTTTTATTTATTTATTTGTTTATTTTTTGGAGACAGGGGCTCGCTCTGTTGCCCAGGCTGGAGCACAGTTGCACAATCTCGGCTCACTGCAGCCTCCACCTCCTGGGCTCAGGTGATACTGCCACCTCAGTCTCCCAAGTAGCTGGGACTACAGGCACGCACCACCATGCCCAGCTAATTTTTGTATTTTTAGTAGAGACAGGGTTTCACCATGTTGCCCAGGTTTGTCTTGAACTCCTGAGCTCAAGCAGTCCACCCTCCTTGGCCTCCCAAAGTGCTGGGATTACAGGCATGAGCCACCACACCTGGCCAAACGTTGCTTTACTTTTACTCCATTTTATTGAGATATAATTTACACAGAATAAAGCAAACCAATATTAAAACTACATCTCAGTGAATTTTTACACATGTGTATTGTTTTACAGCCACCATCCAGATTTAGTTATAGAACAATTGCAGTGCCCTAGAAGCCTTCTTCATACCCCCTCCTCCCACTGCCCTGACCTGTATCACTATAGATAGCCTCAGCCTGTTCTTGAACTTCATATAAATGGAATCATACAGCACATATTCTTTTTGCATGTCCAAGCATTTTCTATGAGATACATCCATGTTCTTGGGTGTAGTTATTCGTTCTCATTATTGTGTAATATTCCATTTTATCAGGGTTTCTTCTGAGACTGTTGACAGTTTGGTTTGGAAAATTCTGTGTGGAGGCAAGGAAGCCATCCTTCACACTGTAGGATGTTTAGCAACATCTCTGGCCTCTACCTACTAGACGCCAGGAGAATCCCATCCTAATAGTGACAACCAAAAATGTGTCCAGATGTTTCCAAATTTCCTTCAGAATTAAAAACCATCATATCAGATGAATATATTCTAATGTTAAAGAAACTTTTTATTTGGAAATAATTTCAGACTTAAAAAAAGTTATAAAAATAGAACAAACAACACCTGTAATGTACTCTTTACGTAGATTGATCCATTGTTAACCTTTTGCCACATTTGTTCTTTCATGTTCACATGCATGCACACACACGCACACACACACACATTTTATTTATAAACCATTTGAGAGCAAATTGCATCCATCTGGGCCATTTACCACCATATCCTTCCATATATATTTCCCAAGAGTAAAGATCTTCTCCCACATTATCACCATTATTAATTGACCACAGTAAATTTAGCATAATACTTTTATCTATTGCCCATGTTCCATTTTTTTTTCAGTTGACCAAAAGTTATCCTTTATAGAGGCAGTCCCCAACCTTTTTGGCACCAGGGACCGGTTTTATGGAAGATAATTTTTCCACAGACTGGGGCCAGGGGGTGGGGATGGCTTTGGGATGGTTCAAGTGCATTACATTTATTATGTACTTTATTTCTATTATTACTACATTGTAATATATACTGAAATAATTACACAACTCACTTTAAGGTAGAGTCAGTGGGAGACCTGAGCTTGTTTTCCTGCAACTAGACAGTCCCATCTAGGGGTAATGGGAGACAGTTATGGATCATCAGGCATGAGATTCTCGTAAGGAGCACACAACCTAGATCCTGCATGAGCAGTTCACAACAGGGTTTACACTCCTATGAGAGTCTAATGCTGCTGCTGATCTGTCAGGAGGCAGAGGTCAGGCAGTAGTTGGAGCAATGGGGAGTGGCTGTACATGCAGATGAAGCTTCCCTTACTGACCACTCACCTCCTTCTGTGTGGCCCTGCTCCTAACCAGTCTGTAGCCTGAGGTCTGGGAACCCCTACTTTATAGCATTTAGTTTCCCTAAAGAGCAGGTTCCAGTCCAGGATCAGGTATTATATGTAATTGCCATGTTTCCCTCGTACCCTTTCATCTAGAACATTCTCTCAGTCTTGTCTGGTCTTAAGACTACAGTCCCTTTTTTCATAACAAATGTCCCTCCTTTTGGCATCTGTCTAATGTTTCCTCCTGAATGCATTCGGGTAATACATTCTTGACTGGAATACTACATAAGGGATAGTGTGCCCTTCTGAGTACATCTCAACTGGAGGCATGCAGGGTGCAGTTGCATCTCACCAGGGATGTTAAGTTTGAACTTAAGGTCAAGGTGTTGTCTGATTTTACCTTTGTTTAGTTACTAATTCTTCCCTTGCAACTAATAAGCAATGTGTAGGGAAACACTTTAAAACAATGCTCTCCCCCATCAAATTTTACCCCCTAAATTTAGCACACTTTTTGATTCTTGTGTGAAGCACTCTACCTCCAATGGTTATAAAATGACTTTCCAAATCTGGCACCCCCTTCCTTCTTGTGAACTTACTCTACTGACAGCGGTTGGCATTCCACTATACATAGAGCCCTCTCTTTTCCCTGTTTGTGTATTTATTTATGTTTTTATTTATCTGCTATCAGCATGGACTTGTGAATTCCTATTTGTTTCAGTGGTTTATAAATCATTACTTCACTTAAATATTTGAGTGCTCAAATTGTTCAGATTTGGCCAGTGGGGGCCCCTTCAAGTTAGGCCCTGTGTCCTTCTGACAAACCCCTGCCATATCTTATTTTTAATACTTTCTCACTTTATGGCATAACAAGATCCTGGTTCTTTTAATTTCCTTGCCTTTATCCTGGAATTGGCCATCTTTCTAAAGAGCCTGGATTCCTTTTAGTGGGGAATGGTAGAAAAAACCACAATATATTTATCCATTTTCCTGATAATTGACATTTGAGTTGTTTCCGTTTCTGGGCTATTACAAGAAAGCTTCTCTGAGTACCCTTGTCCATTTCTTGGACCTTCTTACTAACTTCTGATGAATATATAATCAAGAGTGAAGATGGAGAATTGTGGAATTTCTACTCTTGGTCGTACACCCAACAGAAATTCATAAGTCCACAAAAAATGGCCAAGGATATTCAGAGCGGCTTTATTTATAATTCATATACGTATATGTGTATTTAGCTTTAGTAAATATTGCCAAGTAATTTTGCAAAGTGCTCGTAACACTGCTTTAGGTTTTGTCACGGAAGAGGAAGTTGGAGGCCCCAGTAGGAGACAGGAATAATCAGTAGCAGGGGTGATAATGGGCCATTGCAATCCAAAGGCATGTTGTCTATGACCAGGAATGGCAAATTGCTGATCCTTGCAATATGTAATGAGTGGAAAATGCTGAGACTTTGCCACCTGGCCCATTCTTAAACATCTCCTTAGAGAGCTCTGCCTGAAAATGAGCAAAATGGAAGTTACTGCAGTCAGTATCTCCCACTACCTTCAAAATGGTTTTCATCTCAGGGATGCCAAGAGCTCATTTGACAGCAGTTAAGAAATGGAGGTCCATTGCTGGGGCACCCACTGTTTGAGAGCATCAAACCCACTGCTTTACTTTTGAAAGTCCCTCCCCGTGCGACCGAGAGGTCCCTTGGGGTCCCACACACATCTTCTGGCTGCTAGAGACCCATTTACAACCTTGGAGCATTCACTGAATGGTCTGAGAGAGTAAATATTTCTCTATCTATATCTAGGGAGTCACTTAGTGTCCAAGACACTTTTGATAGGGAGCCACCTGCCACTTAGGGACAGCAGGCAAAGCAGGAAACTGCTGCGGGCTAACAGAGAAGTGAACTGGCCCAATATTGTGGAACCAGTGTTTGGTATTGCCAGAAACAGCTTGGGCATGATCCAGCCTCTAGAGCTTAAAGTTTGCTCATCCAAAATATCTGTCCTACAGAGCTTATAGTGCATGATTAGAATCAAAAATGTAATTAAAGTACTTTGCAAAGTGAAACTCCAAATAGAGGAAGCATCATACATAGGATACACAGTGGGCTCTTAGTAACTTTGATGAGCCTTTGGAGGAACTAGTAACTGGTAAAATACATCTCTGGAAGCATTTTAAGTAAGTGCCCCCTCTAGGTAGATAGTGACCTACTGTGGAGTGGAGAGAACCCCCTCACAGGCACATGTGCCCCCTGAGAGGGCCTTTGTGCAGTACACAACTTCACAACGGTATATAATGACCCTAGATAGATGACCAGCAGTGACAGTGATACCCATTGCTGCACATCTGTATTAATCTCTGTGGTCCCCTCCTCTCTTCCCCAGGCCTCTCTGCTGATGGTGGTGCCAAGCGCCAGGAGCACCTATCCCGATTTTCCATGCCTGACCTCAGCAAAGACTCTGGAATGAATGTGTCTGAGAAGCTGAGCAACATGGGCACTCTTAACTCGTCCATGCAGTTCCGGAGCGCAGAGTCAGTTCGCAGCCTGCTCTCTGCCCAGCAGTACCAGGAGATGGAGGGAAACCTCCACCAGCTCAGCAACCCCATTGGCTACAGAGACCTGCAGTCCCACGGAAGGATGCATCAGAGCTTTGATTTTGATGGAGGGATGGCGGGCAGCAAGCTGCCAGGGCAGGAGGGCGTGAGGATCCAGCCCATGAGTGAACGCACCCGGAGAAGAGCTACTTCACGCGACGACAACCGCCGTTTCCGACCTCACAGGTCCAGGCGTTCCCGACGCTCTCGCTCCGACAACGCCCTCCACCTGGCCAGCGAACGCGAGGCCATCTCCCGGTTAAAAGATAGGCCCCCTCTGAGAGCCAGGGAGGACTATGACCAATTTATGCGCCAGCGGAGCTTCCAGGAGAGCATGGGGCATGGGTCCCGGAGGGACCTGTACGGCCAGTGCCCTAGGACTGTGTCGGACCTGGCTTTGCAGAATGCCTTTGGGGACCGCTGGGGACCCTACTTCGCCGAGTATGATTGGTGTTCCACCTGCTCCTCCTCTTCAGAGTCTGACAACGAGGGCTATTTCCTAGGAGAACCCATCCCCCAGCCAGCGCGCCTGCGATACGTCACAAGCGATGAGCTGCTGCACAAATACAGCTCCTACGGCCTCCCCAAATCTTCCACATTAGGTGGCAGAGGACAGTTGCACAGCAGGAAAAGACAGAAGAGCAAAAACTGTATCATTTCTTAATATGATTGGGATCAGGGAATGGGAGAAGATGGGAGCTAAGAATGTAAAGTCAGAAACTTGCACTGTTTTAAATGTTAAAGCGCTTTTGGGGGTGGCTTATGGGGGAGAAAAGGGAAAATGCTGTCAGTAGATGGAGGCAAGGTTACAGGTTGACTCAATAGGTAGTCACAGTTCTTGGCATGTTGAATATTATTTGCACATTTCACTTTGGAAACACAGTAGACTCTATCGAGGCCAGGCTTGGTCACTTCCTTCCCATCAGTTCTGTGTTGAGTTGCCATCTCTCAAGATGGTAAATTGTTTCCTGCTCGCTTTTATCCTCTCTGGTTCTCTTACTTTTAGGACCCTTTTTTCAGTAAGTAATTTGTTTATTAGCCAGGACCCAAGACTAAGTTATTTACATGTCCATTGTAAATGCAATGTAAATGAGAGTTCTGATAAAATATTTTTGTATTTTGTAATATCAAAGGAATTTCTATATCGTAGGACTCAGTGGGGACTTGCATGCACATCCACCATTGTCTCTGAGTAGTATTGAAATGTGGCCCGGTACCACCTTTTTTTTTTTTTTTTTTTTTTCTATACAAATTTGTTACATGTCAGTGAGACCTTTTTCAAAGGAACATATTCAATTTGGCTTTTTGTGGCTGAAAAAACATAACTGTTAGACCCAAAGCATTTTATGCTCCGTTCCATCTTAAGGAGCCATCCTTAAGTCTGCTCCCACCCTCAGTAGAATTTATTTTCTACAAAGTGGTAGTAATTTTTTTTTAAATTGCAAATGTAATTTTTGCCAATTAGAGAAACCAACCGGTGTCAGTAAAATTCTGTGAGAAATGCCATCCCTGCTGGGAATGTTGAAGTTACTTAATGTTGATCTATCCCTTGGGGAAAGTAAAAGTGACTGTGAGTGGTGCCATTGTGTGATGTCAGCATGACGTTGTTTTGAATGTGGCATTATGTTCTGGTGCTCATGTTTCCTGGATTGTATTATCTGCTTTCCTTTACCAAGGCAGACAGAACTGCTGCCTTAGCCTGACAACCGGTTGTCCTCAAAGCAAATGAACTTAAGCATTTGGGATTGAGGGACAGAAGGATTCTGAGGGGGCTCTGCGAGGGACGGTGTGTGACATGTCATGCCTGGAGAAGGAACAAGGCTATTTGAAAACAGAAGGCAGGTCAAGGGTAGAAGTTAAAGGAGAATCTGAAGGCAGGTCAGGGAAAAGAAGAACTGGAAATGAAACAGAGGACAGGTGACAACCACCTCGAAGAGCTCCCAGAGATTGTAGAAAGAGTCCAGTGTAACCAGCTTAGTAACCAGAGTATCTGGATTACCCAGGAAGGTTGAGCTGCTGAGATTTCAGTGGTGCAATGTCTTTAAAAAAACAGGCTTTGTTGGGAGGGTATTTCCATTTTGAACTTTGAGGACTGTTGGTCAGAAAATGGGCTCAAAAGTGAGTTTGCTTAATGAAGACATTTAACGGTTGTGCTGTTTATAGTAAAATAAAACTCCCTACCTTGCTTCAGTTAAAAATGAAGCACTTGGTTTCTTCCATCCTCCTCCTCCCCTTAATGGATTGTGGCAGTTGAAATAATCCATCGGATGACCCACCTGTAGTGAGATGTACTGTCGATGTAGTGCCCGGTGTATCTCAGTGGCCATCTGCCATGGTGAGGTGAGCGTGATCTCTTTTCAGTATAGTAGTTAACATTTTCTAGTATTTTTTATGGAGAGAATGTCAAAAGTGGCATTTCAGACCCCGTCCCAGATGGGTCTGAGGAAAGGAAGGCTGTAAAGGACATGGTAATGGCACTCCATTCGGGATGTATTAAAATAATTTGCTTTTCAGGTATTAATATGACATTTGTCATTGTCACTGATTTTTTTAAAAAAGCAATGCACATGTTGGTTGTGGCTGTTTTCCGCATGCTATCTTCATATCTAAATGCTTCATTAATTATCCGAGCCTCCGGAGAATTAACTCTATTACGTTTGTATAGTAAGTTTGTAAACTGCTTGGCAAACTGATTAAGAAATAATTTGCAATACCGTGCTACTAAAGTGGCAGGTTTCTGGTAGAAATTGTGCGAGTCCAATTTGGAGTTTTAAGTTCCTTGATTGATGAAACTAAAAAGGCAATTTTGGAAAAAGAGAGGGGGAAAAGTAGATCACTTATCTTAGCAAACGGTTGAAAATATGTCTGTCCTCTGTGGCCCCAAATCCAGTGAAAGAAATTCTCCCAGTAAAAGTTGCTTCCTAACTCTGTTTTTCTCAGAATACCTCTTACCTTTCTCAAAGAAAGCTTCAACCACCATCATCAGAAAGAAGGTGGCCTAAAAACTGACACATGGCCAGTGCCCGGAGGGGTCTGGAGGCATAAGTCTAGATGCCCAGAGAGCATCCAGGCACTGAACTGCTCAGAGCTTGAGATGAAATGACATACAAGCTTCAGGGTAAAACTGTCTACTAGCAAGATTACCTCCCTCAATTCTACCATTGCAGATTTCTTCTGACCCCAAATGCAACCTTACAGAGAATGCTGAATGAGGAAGGCCAATTCCTTACAATGATGGCAGAACCCCCAAGCGAATGCCCTATTGAGGAGAAGGACATCACTGTATTTGGAATTCTGCCTGCTAGTGATAGCTCACACATCACATCCCAGAATCCCACTCCCAATGCATTATTTCCTGAGGCAAGAACTTAAGGTCCTCACCTAATTCCTCCATCACAACCATTAACTCTTATTGGACAAGCTCCTCCTGTGAGTAGGGCCTGTACTCACTTCCTCTTAGATCATAATTCCATCTTCAAGAGACTGATTTCCAGAATAGTAATCTTTTTCCAGCGTTCTCTCTTCTCCAATGCCCTGGTTGTTATTTTTCCCACCTCTCCTAATATTGATCTTCTTGTCTTTTGGTTAGAACTGCAACTTCGGAGTTGAGTTCATTTCCTATTGCTGCTCAATTCAGTAGCAACATAGCTGGCTTGTTCCCAGACCCAGGAAGTATAAGTCATTGACAGTTTCCTGAGTGGCTCTGCCAATCCATACCACCCTTGGTACTGTGAAAAGGCTTCTTGGCAGCCAGGTGGCATTGAGGATGGTATTCAGGGCGCTTTCCTTCTGTCATATAGTTGTGGGATCTCTACCAAGTGTGAAGGTGAATGAGGTAAGGGAGATCAGAACCATGCTTCCTGGTTTTTCATACATCCAAGGAAGAAGTCCTGGTGTGGGTTGTTTGACACCTTCTTTCCACTTTCACCTTTTATTTTTTATTCCTTCCTTTCTACCCCCAACCAGTCGAGCAAATGAGCAATTTTGTGTTTCTAATACAGGATCTGGAAGTAGTGCTTTCTAATCCTCATTTCCTGTAGGATGTTCCTGCACTATAACAAGATTATGTTTTCTTCCTTCTGCAGCAGCTTTCTGCTTCTTGGGTACTACTAGCTATTGTTCAATTCAGGTGAGGCCTGTGATGACATATATGTAGCATGTGCTCTGCGCTCCCTGCAAGCTGAGCAGATACAACCAATGCATCACTGTATACTCTTGCTGAGAATGTGGATGCAGCCTCACAGATCTTTGCAACACTCCAACCAGCCAGGACCAGTTGATCAGAACTGATCTTATTGGTCTGATAACCAATCTTATTTGTGAACTGATTCATATCTGTCTTTCCACTCTTGGTTCTCTTGCCGTAGAACAAAAACAGTTTAGGAAGCATAATTACGAACATTTAGGAACCAATATGTATAAGTAATTCGGAGACTCCAATTCACCTGCCCCTCCCCCATCCCAGGTTGTGGAGGCTCGAGGAAGCTGACTTCTTAGGCTAAAGGACAAAAAAATCTCTTTACCTCCTTGGCCATTTTCATGTTCTCTGCCAATTACTATAGGCAGTCTTCATTTTGCAGAGGTGAGGTAAGACTTCATCTTATTCTTCATGTAATCCCACCTTCTAACAAAAAATAAATAAATATTTAAATTCCAAGGAGAAGTGTTCTTTGTGTATTTCTAGCAGAAAACAGATGCTTAAGCCTAAGAAGGAAGATCCGTCCATGACAAAGGAAAGTGGAAAACTGAACCAGTTATCTGAATACTTCATGCCAGGACAGTTGCTATTAGCAACTGTTTTGCACCTTCAGGGCTTTAAAATGGGCTCTGCAGACAGCATTTGCATATGCAAGACTCAGTAGCCAAGCCTCCACTGCCAATTGTTGAAGGCAGTTTCAGATCGCCACCTTTTGAGGTACATTTCTTTAAGCACAAGAGAAGTAGAAATGGCCTTTGCCTTGTCTCCAGTGGTTTGTCCCTCTGGTGCCTCAGCAGATACCAGAGCTTATTCTTATGACCATTTGGAAGTAGTCCTCAAAGTAAAGATCAAGAAAAAATTGGATTCTTTTTCCATTTTCTCATAATAGTAGCCTAGTCAACACAAGACTCCCATAAAATATGACTCACTATTGGGAGCCATACTATTTTATAAGCTTACTTCCTGCTGACAAAACTAGCTTTCCTCAAGGAAATATAAAGGAGGGGAAAGTCACATAGTGTTAGGAAAACATTCCTGTGTTTTGAATACGATGAATCCATAGGATAGAGAAAAATCTGCTTGTTCTATTCTGAGAGTTCTCTGAGATATCCCTTCACTCTGCTTGGCATTTGGCCATTGATATTCAACAGGTCACTGACCAAGCTTTTCTAAATTTTTCAGAGAGAGTTACTTACCAGTAAGGTCTGTTCTTAAACCTACCTAGTTGATTTTCATATCTTTCCATAAAGTGTCATGATTCTGTCATAGACCCTGACTTAACATTGTAAGGACTATGAGTCCTCCATTTTTTAATTAATTTTTTTTTAGCAAATTAGGACTTCGGCAGGTTTTCCTCTCCTAAACTCATTCTTTCCTCCACAGGATTGCTTTGTCCATCTCCTGCTTTCATTTCAAGTGCATAAACAAAACCTCAAAGGGCCTGGGAAGGTGAGGCAGGCCAGAGTCTGTGTTCTGTGTTGAGTGTCAAGCTATTTGTTAAGAAGGTCTGCAACAGGCCTTTGGTGTGGGCTCTGCCAGAGACTGTTCTGAACACTTTGCTTGAGATCCGTGCCCTGTAAAATGGATATGATGTTTTACTGATGTCTGTAATACATTTGTAAACTTCCAATAAAATTTGAATAAAAGAAATGTTGCCATTCTTCTCAGCCCTCCCTCACTTTCCAGATTTTAGGGGTGGTCTCTGCCTTTGAGCATTTCAACAAAGAAAAGAAAGGACACAGGTATGGAGGGATGAGTTTTACTATGAAATATTAACCTGATTGTTTAAATCAGGGTTTCTAAGCCTCAGCAATATTGACGTCTTGTGCTAGTTAATTCTCGGTTGCAGAGGGCTGTCCTGTGCATTGTAGGATGTTTAGCAACATCGCTGACTTCTACTCACTAGATGCCAGTAGCAGCCCCCAGAAACTGTGACAACTAAAAATGTCTCCCATCACAACCATTAGGATGGCAGTTATTAAAAATAACAACAAATGTGGGTGAGGATGTGGAGCAATTGGAACACTTGTACACTGTTGGTGGGAATGTAAAATGATGTAGTGCTGTGGAAAACAGTATGGCAGTTCCTCAAAAAAAATTAAAAATAGAATTACTACCATATGCTACTTCTGGGCTATACCCAAAAGAATTGACAGCAGGGTCTCCAAAGAGATACTTGTACACCCATATTCATAAAAGCAGCATTCACAATATCCAAAAAGTGGGAGCAACCCAAATGTCCACTGATGGATGAATGTGTAAACAAGGTGTGGTGTATACATACAATGGAATATTATTCAGCCTTAAAACGGAAGGAAATTCTGACACATGCTACAACATGGATGAACCTTGAGGACATTTTGCTAAGTGAGATAAGCCAGTCACAAAAAGACAAGTGTATGATTCCATTTATCTGAGGCACCTAGAGTCAAATTCATAGAGACAGAATGTAGAAGAGTGGTTGGTTGTCAGGGACTGAAGGGAGGAGGGAATGGGGAGTTACTATTTAATGGGTATAGAGTTTCATTATGGCAAGATGAAAAGAGTTCTGGAGACGGGTTGCAGAACAATGCAGATGAACTTAATACTACTGAACTGTACACTTAAAAGTGGTTAAGATGGTAAATTTTATATTATGTTTATTTAACCACAATTAAAAATGTCTCCACACATTGTCAATGTCTCCCTGTTGAGAACCACTGGTTTCAATGCATTGCCTTCTTAGTGTCTTTGTTCCTTGAGAATTCTTGAAACTGATTCCTACCCAGGCCACACAGTTAATTTTCAGTTATTAGCAAGAATTGAAAGCAGCAGATGACCCAAAAATATTTGTGTTTGCTTTTAAGCAAATAATAAGTGGTCTGTCTGGAGAATTACATCCATGTCTGTGTTCTGGTTAGGGCAGCATTAACACTGACTGGGAGCCAGGACCAAGGCAGCATGTAAATTCAATTTCCCCGTGTCTGATCCACAACATTAGGGACTTGCTGGATGCTATAATATCATCTATTCATTCATTCAACAAATATTTATCAAAAGGCTTTCTCTAGCCAGGAACCGTTCTAGGTGCTTGGAATACAATAATGTGCAAAACAAACAAAAATCCCTACCTTAAAGGAGTTTACAAACTTTACTTTCAACTAGGCAAGACATTCGGAATAGTAAGTAGTCTTACCCACCCTAGCTAATCACAAGGACTTGGGAGTGGCAGACAACAAGAGTTGTTTCATTGTAAGACATTCTAAGAGCTTTTGAATAAAAACTTGAACTGGAAATGGCAATTGTGCCTGTTCTGCTTACAGACATGCCATAGAGCATGGCCTGCAGGCAACCATGGTTTTTAATATACAGCCTCCCTGTTTCCCCTCTTCAGCCAAAATGATTGTAGTCAGGTATAGCACCCTACCAGCAATCTTATAAGCATGATAAGCTGGACTTATCAGATTCGCTCTCTCAAGAATACAGGCTGGGCACAGTGGTTCATGTCTATAATCCCAGCACTTTGGGAGGCTGAGGTGGGAGGATCACTTGAGGCCAGGAGTTCAAGACCAGCCTGAGCAACATAGCAAGACCCGCCCCCGCCCCCATCGCCTCCGTCTCTATGGAAAAAGAACAAAAACAAAAACCAGTAGCTGGCATAATGGTGCAAACCTGTAGTCCCAGGTACTGAGGAGGCTGAAGCAGGAAGATAACTTGAGGCCGCAATGACTTATGACTGTGCCACTGCACTCCAGTTTGGGTGACACAGTAAGAGACTTTGTCTCTAATAAGATTAAATAAGATTATAAACCAAGAAATTCTGAGAGAATGAGGCAGCTGGCAGTGGGAGTGGAAGCTAAGAGAATGTATGGGGAGGAACCAGGAGGTGGAGTCCAGCACAGGAGCAACAAGGTAAGAGGAAGGATGAGGAAGCAGATGCAACAAATAAGCAAAAGTCTAGGCTGAGAGCAGATCTAAGAGCAAAGACAAGAGATCAGAATGGACCCAGAGGAGCTGGTCCTCAGGACTTCCTCACCTCCAAACAGATCCTAGTTCCTGCCCTGGAGGTACCCCTCTAGGGTTACCATTTGATTTTGGTCCTTCACATACCCCTCCCCACTGTGCCTATGTATTGTGACAATACATACCTATGTAACCTCTTTGGGCTCAAGAGTTCCTTGCAATCCCAATTAAAACATATGAAGGATCCCATATGCACTAAATGCCAGTTGTGCACCTTTTATTTTGGCCCCATGTTCCTTTAACATTTTAAATGTCATCTCAGCCACTTGCTACTTGTTGATCTTGGGAAATGTCCATATCCTCTTTGAGCCTCAGTTCTTAATCTATTAAATGAGATAATAACAGAAGAGTCATTATTGGGTTATTGTGTGGATGTACTGGAATAATACGTGTAAAGCTCTTAGTGCTACCTGTCATTATAAAAGCTCAGGCCGGGCGCGGTGGCTCACGCCTGTAATCCCAGCACTTTGGGAGGCCGAGGCGGGCGGATCACGAGGTCAGGAGATCGAGACCATCCTGGCTAACACGGTGAAACCCCGTCTCTAATAAAAATACAAAAAATTAGCCGGGCGTGGTGGCGGGCGCCTGTAGTCCCAGCTACTCGGGAGGCTGAGGCAGGAGAATGGCGTGAACCCGGGAGGCGGAGCTTGCAGTGAGCCGAGATGGTGCCACTGCACTCCAGCCTGGGCAGCAGAACGAGACTCCGTCTCAAGAAGAAAAAAAAAAAAAAAAAAAAAAAAAAAAAAAAAAAAGCTCAACACACATTAGCTATTGTTATTACTATCATTAGTATTTCTAGTCTACCCAAAGAGAGATGCTGGCAAGAACTAGACACCAGTGGTATCTAATCTAATAATGCTCTTATCTTTTTTTATTATACGCGTTAAATAGGATTTAAAGACATTCAAGGAAGGTCTGAATCTTCACTACGTGTAAAAAATGCCCACTGAACTTACTGAAAACTCCTCATCCTCCTGAAAGACGTTCTGGTTCAGTGGATCTGAGGTAGAGCCCCAGAATCTGCTTTTATAACAGTGCCCTTTATA
Organism: Homo sapiens; assembly: GCF_000001405.40. Lineage (NCBI taxonomy): Eukaryota > Metazoa > Chordata > Mammalia > Primates > Hominidae > Homo > Homo sapiens. Next base: position 64,090,468 of record NC_000003.12, on the reverse strand, counting down.
TCTTTATGATCTAGGTGGTTTGAGAATCACAGCTCAAGAAATTCTGCCTTGGCATTTCTTGTTTTCTTCCAAGTCTCTGAAACAAATACACACATGATGCAGTATTTTTGCTCCATAGCTTAGGCCTGGGTTCTTGTCTCACCACCAGGAAGGATTGGGCACGCACACACTCGAAGAGTGAGTTAGGCGAGAAGTTTGATTGAGTGCTGCAATAGCTCTTGGTGGGGAGGGGATGCAGGGGTGGTCCCCCTACCTGAAGGCAGGAGAGTTCCCAATATCACTGAGCCATATCTAGTCTAAGAATGCTCTTATCTTTTTTTAATGTAAGCATTAGATAGGATTTAGAGACATTGGAGGAAGGCCTGAATCTTTACTAAGTGTAAAAAATGCCCACAGAACTTAATGAAAACTCCTTGTCCTCCTCAAAGAGGTTCTGGTTCAGTGGATCTGAGGTTTTTTATGGGCTCAGAATAAGGAGTGCATCCTGATTGGTTTGTGAGTAGGCAAAAAAGGTTAAAGCAAAGACATCACTCAAAGGTGGGCATGATAGTGTAGAAAACCAATTAGGAAAGGGTAGGTATATGTAAAATAGGTGAAGGGTGGGGAACAATCAGAGGAAAGCGGCCAGGCACAGTGGCTCACGCCTATAATCCTAGCACTTCAGGAGGCTGAGGCAGGCAGATCACCTGAGGTCAGGAGTTTGAGACCAGCCTGGCCAACATGGCAAAACCTCATCTCTACTAAAAATACAAAAATTAGCCAGGTATGATGGCACATCCCTGTAATCCCAGCTACTTGGGAGGCTGAGACAAGAGCCTGAGACAACCCAGGAGGCGGAGCTTGCAGTGAGCTGAGATTGCACCACTGCACTCCAACCTGGGTGACAGAGCAAGATTCCTTCTCACAAAAAAAAAAAAAAAAAAAAAAAAAAAAAATCAGGGGAAAATGTGCCAAGTTCGAAGGCAGTTTCTCAATCCAGTTTGAGGATTTACCCAGGACTATTTCCGGCTTGAAAGTGGGGTTTTGCTGGAGACCCACCCTTATCTGCCTAGACATTTGTCTGCCTCCTGCCCCTATCGCAAATAAACAAACAAAAACACATCCCCTAGTCCCTGATGCTTCAAGAGAACTTAACAAGCTTATTAGTTTGAATAAAGAAACTTGAGCCAGTGACTTCCATTCCAATTCTGGAGGATCTGGAGTGGGTTCACTTTTTTTCAGGAGTGGCAGTCATCAAAAAAGGAACAAACTTCAATTGGCTTTAATTTTTATGATAGAAGTATACCACTGCTGCACTGAAGAAGAGAGTGAGCTTATTGTAAAACACAGTCTAACAATTATGTTTGGATTGGAGAATTGCTACTTGGGCTCATAGCCAATGGTTTTCACACATCAAAATTAACTGGGTAGATTATGTACAATTCAGGATCCCCAGCCCCATCCCTAGAGAGTCTGATTCAGCAGGGCCCTGGGTCATCACATTTTTCATAAACATTTGGAGATCTAGGGCCACCCCTCTCACCATGGGAAAGTCTTTATTTTCTGTGAGTCCTTGTATGCTAAGGGCTCAGTCCTGTTTGTGTTATAGAGCTTTGGGGTTGAAGGGTCTGCTTCCCAAATACTCATCTGCCCTATGTGTAAAGTAGATACTGGTTTTACTTTTAGCTTAGAATGAGAAACACCAGCCCCTTTGGAAAACCCATCCCAGCCTAAATTCTAAATATAGCCAATTTTGACGGAGACAGACATCCAGTCATGAACCTAAAAAGGAAAGCTCATTAGTAGATGCAATAGATAAATAAAGGCAAACACAGCCTGAAGTTTAGGGGGAAATGGTTAAGCTATTAAATGACACAATTATACCCAGCAGGAGATAAGATGATTTAAGAGCTTTCTCAGCAAAATACTAGCAGATACTTGTTGCCTCTGCTTGGCTGGCTGATTCTGAAGATAAAACAGATCATCAGGGCTGATGGATGGCCTTGTGTCCTTAACACACAAGAAGTTCACAAACAGATGGGTCTAGAAATACTAGAAAGTAAACTGAATAACCTAAAGAATTTGGGCCATAAAGGGCAATTTTTTTAGGCTAGGTTCTTTGGATTTTAAGTAATCAAAACTTACTTCGCACTAACTTGGGCCACAAAAATAATAATAATAATAATAATGTTTGTTTCAAAGATACCGCGTATCTTGCAAGAAGCTAGGGGAAACAGTTTCTTGAGGGCCTGGAGCCCAAAATAGAAAAGCCACCAAGAGATCAGAAAGTTTCTACCCTAAGTTTTAAAGCTCAGCTTCTCTTCCATAGTCTGCTTAATCTTTTCCCTTTATTACTTTGCTTTTTCAGCTTTGGGGAACTCATGGACATATGTGGTTCTCTGCAGCTCCCAAGTTGCCATCTTCTTCATTTAATATCTTATTCTCAAAAAATACTCTGATTGGCCCAGTTGGGGTCAGGTACTCATTCCTGGTCTGATCGACCAATGTTGGAACAGGGGTGAAGTGCTAGGTGCTAGCATGCTGGCAGAGTGCTAGTTCTATTTTTTTTTGTTGTTTGTTTTTGTTTGTTTTTTGAGACAGAGTTTTGCTCTTGTTGCCCAGGCTGGAGTGCAATGGCGCGATCTCAGCTCACTGCAATCTCTGCCTCCCGGGTTCAAGTGATTCTCCTGCCTCAGCCTCCCCAGTAGCTGGGATTACAGGCATGCGCCACCACGCCCAGCTAATTTTGTATTTTTAGTAGAGATGGGGTTTCTCTATGTTGGTCAGGCTGGTCTCGAACTCCCGACCTCAGGTGATCCGCCCGCCTCGGCCTCCCAAAGTGCTAGGATTACAGGCGTGAGCCACCATGCCTGGCCAGAGTGCTAGCTCTTATGGGTGAGGGAACAGTTTTTTGGATGCAGAAATTCATGGGCTGGGCAGACATCCCCAAATGTATCTCTTTAGGAACTATCCTAGTAATAACCCAAGAGTAAGAACTGAGATTATCTATTGGCTATATTTCTAAACAGTCATCTGCACTCTGCTTAGCAAGTTGAAGCTACAGTCTCATGAGAAAATTTCTACAACCCTGTGAGCCCTAGGGTTCCAACTGGTCCATTCTCAGCCAAGTACTGCATTCAAAGAAATACAAACACAACCAGAAAGTATTATAAGTCTATATTCAGCATTTCAAATCTGTCCTGTCTATCAAGGAAACACCGAAGGAGGAGGTAAATTCTTAATGCATAGCAGACATTTAAAAATTCTCTCTCACCATTGCTGCCCAGTCACTACCCTGCATGTGAATGCCAGCTTGTCTCTTGAGTTGTCTCTTTCCTATTCTCAACTTCCACCCCCAAACACATTTAGAGCACAGGTCTTTTCTGTCACACTTGCCAGTCTTCCTTGCCTGCTCTTATTATGTAAATCAAATTCACCACTCTGTCCTGTTTTGTTTTCATCTCTGCTTCACTCAATACCCCGACTCCCTCAGGACCGTGTTGCTTCTGCCCTGAATGAGTTCTTTTCTCCCGGGCTGCAGGGACCACAGAGGTCTTCTTCCTATTACTTCATGGACTGTATGAATTCCACCCAGCTGGTGACATCATGGCAGGTAAGAGGATATCTGTGGGAAGGTTGTGTCTGTTGTTCAGAGTCAAGACCCAAAACCCTCTAGGATCCTTTATGGTAGACAAGGTCACAGGTCTGGCACCTTCTCTCTGTCTTGTCACCCCCTCACACAAACCACAATTGCTGGAAAGCATTGCATAATGTGCATACAATGAACAAATGCCATGAATGTCTGGCCAAATTGATCTTTCAGTTTCTCATCATGGTCTCTCCCTTGCACCCAGACCTTTGGACTTGCTGTTCCATCTGCTTAAAGTACTCATATTTCTACTTTCCCTTTTCCACCTATTGATCACCTGGTTAACTACTTCTCATTCTTCAGGTCTCAACGTAGATACGCTTCTTCTAGGATGAAAAGTCTGGTCTCAGCAAGTTAGAAATAGGATCTCTGCCTTGGGCTCCCCTGGGATTCTGCATATCTGCTGGCAACATCTTGTAATTCCGAGTTTCCTTTTCCCCCTCATTAGAACCAGTACTCCATGGGGGTAGAGAGCCCAGCTGTCTTTTCTTCTGGGACCTAACACATAGTAGATGCTCAAAAAATTTTAAAAGAGTGTGAAAAGAAAAATTCCTAACAATTCTGGTTCAGTAAATTAAAAGGAAGAAGAGGGAGTATGGCTTTAACCTTACAAACCTTTGAGTATGAAACACTAAAAAACAAAACAAACAAACAAAAAAGTTTCAGCCTTCCTTCCAAGGAGAAGTCTTTTTCTCTCTGGATAAGTCGCTGCAAGGCAAAATTTCACTCAAAGTTCCTATTAGTGGTTACGTCTGAGATCAAGTTTGCATTACTGAATTTCCCCCAAATTGGTTTCTTTTCTAATAAACTCCAGTTAGGCAATAGCGTTTTCCAATTTCAAAGAGTAATAGTGTCTTTGGATTCCATAATGAAGCTACCAACATTTCAAGTACTATCAACTGCAAGTTAAAAAAAAGAAAAAACACGAAGTCAAGAGTTTATGCCACTGAATTATAATCAGATAATTTATAATATAATGAAAGAACCATCACTAGGAAGTGAAGATTTAAGAATAATCAAATCCATGTGGCTTTGGAAAATACTACCAAGGAATAAACTTATATTAGCAAATGGAATAAATTATCATATTTCAACATATTTCTTTCATGGGTCTAGTGCTAATTGCAAGACTATAGTTTATTGGAGAAGGTGCCTGAGCAAGCAAGGACACAATCAGGGCACACTTAGGCAAAAATCTGCCGCTGAATTAGAAATAAATGACATGCTACAACATTTAATTTAATAAAAGCCCCAATGGCAGAAGAAACACAAAGAAACAAGTTGATGCTTTCTATCCAGTAACAAAAAGTGACTCTAGAAAAAGCAAATGTTATTCTAACATTTCAGACACAATCCGCTAAATATTTATTATAAATAGGAGTCCAGTAGACAAAGGGTTGCAAAGGAAACACTCGGAAGGCAGGTAATGCTACTACCATAGAGTTTTAAGAGAAAATAAAACAAATTTACAATCTAGAGTGTTATCTCTTTTTACCAGGATGAAAAAATAAACCTTACCACCTGAAAATATGCAGCATAAGATGAAGTTTTCCTGACCTAAGAAAGAAATCAAAGAATGATGGATGTACAAGAAAGTCAATAGTGAATTCCTCTGACCTAGAAAGAGGAATAACTAACTATATTCCTTTAATTTCCAAATTAGTCTCAGATAAATAGCCTAGAAAGGAAATTGACTCATTTATTTGAAAAATCTATTCTCTACATCTCATCTATCAATTGTTTCAATGTTGTTTCTCAGTTCTTCAGAATGATAATTCAGGGGGAGTTTTGTGTAAAGAATGAGTGTGGCTGAGATATTTACTGCTCATCAAATATCCATGTGTTCCCACCCACCTCCCAGCCCCCTCCCAGTTGCATGTGGTCATGTGACTAGTCCTAGCCAAAGAACTGTGAGGGGAAGTGGATGTGTCACTTCCAGACTAAGACAGTGGACAGTCTCTAGGCATTTGCCTACAGTCTTTGATCTCAAGTCATGGTAACATGGATGCCACATAGTTAGATGCTGAATCATTAGATAGAAGCAGACTAGATCTCTGAGTCACTGTGTGGAAGCAGCCATCCATAAGGAGCTTTGCTTAAACAAGGAATATACCTTTGTTGTCTTAAATTGAAGAGATTTCAGCGTTAATTTTTTACTGCAGCATAACCCAGCCTATTGTGACTAATACATAAGGGCCAGTCTAAAATGTCCTCTCAAGCTTCTTTCTAACCTAGAGGACTGAGTCATGTGTATCGTCTGATGTTCATGAGAAGTTCTGAAGTTCAAAGGGGCCAGTGCTTTGGATGTAGTTTTTTTGTTTGTTGGTTTGGTAGGTTGCTTTGGCTTGGTTAAACTGATCAGTTAATTAAAACCTGGAATTCTAATAATGGTCTCAGAGAACTACAGCCTATGAGACTGCACGGTGCACACAGTCTATTTTGCTTACCATTGTATTCACATATACTAAGCTTATTACCTATACAGTACTAACTGCACAATAAATATTTGCTGAACGAAAGGAATAAAATAACTAAACAATTAAAATGACCCATACAAAAAGTATGTATTGCATAGAGCCCTTAGTAACCCCAAGTGTTCCCTTTGAAAGATGGAGGACACTTTCCCCTTTCATAGAAAAACAGAGGCTGTAGAAGAAAATCGCTGCACTGAATTCACTGGGCAGCCTGCTCATTCCTCAGATATTTATGGAGCACCCACTGCGTGCATTATTCTAAATCTGAGGATAAGACAATAAGTCAGTCAAATCTCCTATCTTCACGGAACCTTGCTTTGCTTTTCTTACATATCTTTTTTAAAAGCCAGAGTTTGGCCTGCAAAAGGAAATGTCCCAGATATCTAGTTACCTGGTATAAAAGTTAAAGCATGGCAGAAGGTCCATAGTGCAGCAATGCTTCACCTCAACAAATCCCACTTCCCCAGAGCCCTTGATGACTCACCTGCCTGCCTTGCTTTACCCTTCTACTGCCTCCCCTTGGACATTCCCATCTCCCTAGTTCTTGTTTGACTGAGCAGAGGGTTCCTACCCTCCTGACTTGCCCAACCTCATTCTTAAGAAATGCGCATTTGTGCTGCTTCCTTGTGAGAGCGTGTCTTGATCTCTTCCTAGGTTCACTCCCTGCTGTTTTCTGCCATAGGTGGTTTGGAGATGAACTGGTATCCTGCCCTGTGTTAAATGTCCTCAGACTGGAGCTCAGAACTTTTGAGTATTTTCAAAAGGGTCACCGTGTCTCCAGAGAAATGCTCCCAACAGTCCTAACTGAAGTCAGCACTGAACTGGGCAAAGGACTCAAGAAAAAAAGTTTCCTTCCTCCTCGATGTGTTGCTCAAAGCACTGCGTGAGACCACACGGAGCAGTATCTAAGCATTGAGCAACACTCAGAAGGGCAGCAGGACAAATGCGTAGCTGCTAATGACCCCTCTCCTGCCAATGCTTTCCTCCCTCAGCCCCCTCTAGGGTCACCGAACAGCTGTAAATACAAGCTGACCACCCTCAAGGAGCTGGGATGGAGGGAGGTTTTCTCCAGTCTCCAGTTCTGCCTTTGCACCTCTGTGGCCTCTCAAATGCTCAGCCAGTATTTTGAGTACACCCAACCTCACCCAGGAGATATATGTCACCCAGAAACATGTGCTCTCCAGAAAGTCTTCCTGACATCATCGGGGCAGTCCTCCTCCACCTCCTCCTCTTCCCAGCAATTCGTTCTGCAAATTAATGCCATCCAAACAATCCTGTAAGTGAATTGTTTTTTAAAAGGCTAAGGCTGACAGCTGAGCATAATAACCCAGGGCACACCAACCCAGGGCACAAACAAGATTTCAGCCTTGCATGCTGACAGCTGCAAATAAAATCCTTAGTTAGAGTGGGGAGTAAAGTTCCCTGCAAAGAACAAGCTGTAGAAGCCTGGAAAGAAATAGGATCCCAAGGAGCAGGGATGTGGGGGATCTCCAGGTCTTCTTTTGCTCTGTTCCTGGGGCCTCTTCCTCTTCTTGCTGCCTCCTCCCCTGCCTTGAACATGTGCCTGTGACCCACGAGGGACAGCAAGGCTTCTTCTTTCTATCTGCTAGGCCATCCAGGTAAATAACAGGTATAAAAATGAGTGAAAACACTTCCAAAATGTTGATAGTGCTTGGGAAAAGGAGGCTCTGTGTTACCTTCAGCAAGGCAAGCATGCAGAACTTTCTGAACTCAGATTTCAGCTGAGAGTGTGAGTCAGCTACAGGGAAAAGGGAAAAGAAGGAAGAGGGAGGTCACAGGCTCCTCCAGTTTCCAAAACTGATAGGTCTACAAGTTTGAAATCTGGATAGGACATATCTCCCTGCCTTCTGCAGATGGGTCTTTGTCAACGATTATGACCGCAGCAGGGGAAAAGCCCATTTCTAGTTTGGGCCTAGAATACTCTATAACCTTCTCAAATGATTGCCCTAAGGAGCAGACTTCTAAGCAGTAGGTGTTTGTTAATTTTTGTATATATCATGTTCAATGGAGTGAAATTAAGGGAATCATCTATATTTTGTGTAGGCAGATCAATTCCATTTTACTATTTCTATTGAATATTTGATTTTGCTCCTCTTACTCTCTTCTCTGAGGCAGTATCATGAGAAAGAAAAGTTGGTTGTAAATAGACCTTCTCTCTCTTGCATCCATCATCTGCCGTCACAAAGGAAAGTAGTTTAACAATTAAGTAGCCAAGGATGACACCTGTGTAGTAGAGGTTCTGCATTCAGCTGCACCCTGGATCCTGGGAACATAATTGGACCCAAGGCCTGCCCCATTGTACACCAAAGAATGTTAATAACATGGCTGCATGCATGCATGTGTGCACACACATGATACACTGGCTACACATTTGTAAGGATCTGTTTTTTTCAGGAATTATATGTATCTACCAAAGCAGATAGATTTAATGTATTGTAATAAGTCCACCAACAATATTTTCGGTTTAAGGGCTTGTTAGTGAAAGTTTTATAAAAATTTCACTTATTTACTGTTTCTGGTTTTTGTGTTTTGTTTTGTTTTGTTTTCTTTTTGGTTTATTGTTGTTGTTGTTTGTTTGCTTTTTGAGACAGGGTCTTGCTCTGTCACCCTAGCTGGAGTGCAGTGGTGCTATCTGCTACTGGCCCACTGCCACTTCTGCCTCCTGGCTTAAGTGATTCTCCCACCTCAGCCTCCAGAGTAGATGGGACTATAGATGTGTGCCACCACACCTGGCTTTTTTGTACTTTTTGTAGAGATGGGGTTTTGCCATTATTGTCTAGTCTGGTCTCACACTCCTGGGCTTAAGCAATCCGCCCAACTCAGCCTCCCAAAGTGCTGGGATTACAGGCTTGAACCACTGAACCCAGCCTCACTTACCTATTTCTTAGAAACAAGCTTGTGGCTAGAATGAGGCATATGTGACTGGAAAAACATGCATGTAACAGCCACCACTAATACATATCTTAGGTGCTGTGAGTCAATTATAAAGAAGTGAGGATTCTGTGATATAAGAGAGGACATTCCTCATTTTGCCCCAAGGAGCATCCTAAGAGTGTTGGTTATTATATTTCTATACCTTTGGGGCCTAGGAGGGAGCCTGACCCATAGTAGGTGCTCAATAAAACATTCTTAATAAAATCTCATGAAGAGCCTACTGTGTGCCAGCGACTGCATTGGGCAGCAGACATATTTAAAAGGATATAGCTCTAGTCTTGATGAGTCAATCTAAGAAGAGAAATAGTCATAATGATTTTTTGAAGGAACTATTTGAGTTTCTTTTGAAGGATGTGTAAGAGTTCAGCAGGGGGAGATGGAGTGAAAAGGCAGCTCATAGGCATAAAATGCTGTGATGTGTTCAGGAAAGACTGTGACTTGAGTGTGGCTTGGATCCCAGGTTCTAGGAGACAAGGTTGAGGAAATAGATGAATAGATAGCAAAAGGTCTTGGGTGTCATACAAAGGAGCTCCAGCTTTATTTTCTGGGCAGTGAGGAGCCTCAAAGCTTCTCATGCAGGAGCACAGATGGAGTCAATGTGTTTTGCAGAAAGCTTACCCTGGCAGGAATATGCAGTATAATTTTGGGGTAGAAAAAAATAAAAAACTGAATCCTGAGGTCAGAGAAACTGTGGCTTCAATCTGAGCAAGGGAAGTTGAGATCCTGAAGTGTTCCATGTTCCATTTGCCCAGGACATTTGGCATCAGATGGGAAGATGTGGGAAAAAAAGCTGGAAAGAGTGGTGAAAAGAGGCAGGGTGGTGAAACTATTGAAGATGGGCAATGGGAAGAACAACCTGGAACCAACCAGGAGGGAGAGTATTTTGCTGGTATTCAATGGGATGCCTCTTTCAGGAGCTGTGGTCTTCTGGGAGCCCGGGATCACTTTCAAGGGAACCATGCCACAGATTCTGACTGTTCACATTGTAGATCTTAGCTCCGCCCCTTGACAATTGTGTGCATGTGAACAGTTTGTTGCTCTCTTTAGGCCCCAGATAGGAAAAGGTATGACACCTGAGAGGCAAAGAGAAGTGCTCCTTTACTAAGAGGTGAGTGGGTACAAATGAAGCCCTAGTAGGCCGAACAAAGGAAAGAAAGAAAATGGGCCGGTGTGGTTGACTCTGGTTGCTACTCCTTCCTGCCCTTGCTCCTATTCAGCTTCTTAATTTTCAGGTGACATTCATCACCCACTTCTACACCTGGGAGCCAGCTCTGCTGGGGCTAGTTTAGAAGTGTGGAGGGAGAAGGGGAGGTCTTTTTTGAAACACTGGTTGCACTGCAGACAGACAGGCCTCCATTTATTTTCCAGTGGAACACCATATTGTTTCCTCTCACTCTCTTCCAGCGAGAACTATCTAGGAAAGGACGAGGACCAAATTACCAAGCCTTTGGATCTAATCCATGTGGCATCCCATCTGTGAGCTCCAGGGAGATTCAAAGTTGGCCAGTGCTGGAGGCCAATCATATTTATACCATTTCCATATGGCACCTTTTGATTGAGACTTGGCAAGCACATGAGTAAGTTTACTTTCCTTTTTTAAAAAGCTATATTTGTTCCCAACACTGTAATGTCTACAAATGTCTTTTAATTGTTATACTTGTAACCAGGATAATAAGATTGGGCAAGCTTGAATAGCATTTAGTTTGGGACCTCTTAGAATGTCAGAGCTTTTGGGAATTGTCTTCCTGGGGTGGAGCTTTCCCTGAAGGGAATGGATGGCCCCATTACCAGCGAACTTGGACTATAAGTCACTCTTGGGGGATGACAGAACTTTCCTCACAGTCAGGCTGGAGGTGAGTCAAGCCAAGAGGCATTAGGAGGTTCCACGGGAGGAATCAGTTTCCTGGCTGTGTCAGGGCTGTTGTTGTGTATGGTGTGTGAGGGCACCATTCTCAGAGAATATGATGTGAATGGTGCCCCTTGGAATTGTACAGCCGGGTGGACCTGTGCCACACAGAAATAAGGAAGTGGCTCAGTGGGAGGACCTGGAGTATGTCTGGGCTTATGCATAAGTTGAGAGAGCCTGTAGCCATGCTTCGGTAATGTGGTAGAGAAAAGACCCCCACCCACATCTCCACTCCCACCCCCACACCTACACTTGCCAACCCCACTGCAGTCGGATTGGAGGAAGACAGAGAGCAAGACGTTGGAACAAGCAGCAGGGGTGGAGCCTGGGACACAAGGTCAGCACATAGCAAGCCCTTGCTTTGGAGCAGAGGTGGCCGGTTTCCAGGGCAGTGAGTATTTGAGGCAGTAATTGTGATCTTCAGCTTCACTGGTGCAAGTATCACCTGTGAGAAAGCAGGCATTGGGTGTGATTAATTAGTATGCTTCTTTAGCATATGGGGTGAGGGAGGGACAGGGGCTAATTTGAGCAGTCAGGGACAAGGAGTCAACATCAGTGTGGAGTGATAACGTTTGTACACCAAGCTGGTAAATAGACATCCTAGTTACATATGATTCTATTGGCATTGCCTACAGAGGAGAAAAAAGTGATCAAGTGGTTGTGGATTTTATGTTTGCTTACCTGTTTTTTAAAAAAAAGGTGAATAAGGAACTTTATAAAGATGTTGGATTCCAGCATGTTAGACATTGTAGTGGATTGAATTTTGATCCCCAAAAAGATATGTCCCAAGTCTTAACCTCACAGTAGCTGTCAATGTGAGCTTATATAGAGCCTTTGCAAATGTATTAAGTTAAGCATCTCCAGACGAGATCATCCTGGATTCAGTGTGGGCTCTAAATTCAATGACTGGTGGTGGTATAAGAGAAAGGAGAGAGAGACAAACAGACCCAGAGACACACAGAGGGGAAGGCCATCAGAAGACGAGGCAGCTATTGGAGTTACGCAGCCAGAGCCAAGGGATGCCAGAAGCCAACAGAAGCTGGAGGAGTCAAGGAAGGATTCTCCCCTAGAACCCTGGAAGGGACTGTGGCCCTGCTGACGCTTTCTGGGCTCCAAAACTGAGTGAGAATAAATTTCTGTTGTTTTAAGCCACCGGTTTATGATCATCTGTTCTGGCAGTCCTAGGAATGTAATACAAGCATATTTAGTATTTGCTGATAGAAAAGTGAAGATTGATTTATTACTTCATGCCCATATTTCTAATTCAAAGTCCTAAAAACCTGGCTGAGAGCACATGATGGATTTATTTAGTGCTCTAGGCAGCAATTCTCAAACTTGAGTATGCATCAGAATCACCTGGGGGGCTCACTGAACTAGATTACTGGCCCCCCGCCCCCCGCATTTCTGATTCAAAGAGTCTAGAGTAGGGTCTGATAATGTCAGATTCTTAGAAGTTCCCAGGTGATGATGCTGTTAGTTTGGGACCACACTTTGAGAACCATTGAGCTAAATTTGCAACCACCTCAAGCAAATGAGTGCTTCTAATTTTAGAAACTAAGCAGAAATTCTGGGAAAGGAATCCCTTCTGGGATAAGTGGATAATGAAAAGAATAAAATTTATTTTTGTTTAATTTGCTGTGGTTTGCAGGAGTTGAAGTTATAAATGAAACAAGTAAAAACTACCCTTTTATGAGCAGTATTGCCTCTTCTCCCCATCAAACCCCTGTTTTTTCCCCTGAGTGTAGACATGTCTATACACTGGTCTGGAGCTTCATGGGCAGCCCTTTGGATGTCCCTGGGAAGATGCTGGATCCATGCAGTAGTCTCACACTTGCTTAGAATTGCAGGATTATTTCTTGCTACACTGCACCCCTCTTGTATACCACTTCACATCATCTTGGCCCTACCTCTTACTGCACCTGCTGCTATGCCCCTGAGGTCAACCCAGCCTTCTGTTTCACGTAGGTGCAGACTGACAATGCATTCTCTTGGGTCTTGGCCCTGGGCTACTTGCCTCTTGCCTCCTGTCCTGGGTCAGCTCTGACTCCTTGCACACTCAAGCCAAAGCATGGAATGCCCACGAGGCCATTCTTACCAGCAGGGAACTGAGCTGATGTACAAATATTTCCCCTATTCAATTCCTAGATGAATTGTTCTGGATTCTCAGCTATATGCTTCTCAAAATGTTCTATGGGGTTATTTATTGCCCATCGAGGTGTCCAACTAAGTAACGACTCTTAGTATACCTAGGCTTTTCTCCTTCCCTGTTAAGCTCGTCTCCATCCCCATCCCCATCCCCATTCCCATCCCCATCCCCATCCCCATCCCCATCCCCATCCCCATCCCCGACTCCTCCTCCCCGGAATCACTTCCCAAATAAACCTACTGGCACTCAAGCCTTTGTCTCATGCTCTGCTTCTTAGAGAACTCAGGGTAGGACACTGAATACACCGAACTGCACCCACCTTCCTCCTTTCCCACTTTTGGGAGATTGGTGCAAATCTGAAGATTCAAGGTGCATATGTGCATATGAAATTTGGAGTATCTGCTGAAGGGAATGCTGGCATGTGTTGGCTTCTATCTGACCCTAAGAAATGAAATTACCCATAAGTGATCCATGGAAGTGGGCAACAGGAACTGAAATATACCATCATCTGCCACCTGTCCTGGAGAAAGACCTTGGATTTCACTAACTGTTTTTATCAGAGGGAAGCCCCTTACTGACTCAGGCAGATATCAGAAATGTTTGGAGCTTATCTGTCCTCACAAGTAGCTATATCCCAAAAGTACATCCTACAGTGTCTTTTTGTTTAAGAGGCAGATATTTACACAACACAGCTCAGGGTCTTCCTGGTTGACAGTGATGGCGACATCATCTGCACCTGGCTTTGCCCTATACAGGAGAAAGCATGCAACCACTTTGGCTTTTTTAGCCTGTGAAACATCTAGAGCTGTAAGCTCTATAAGCTATAAGCTAGTCCAGAGGTTCCCCAAAACTGCCTATGGGAATAGATATTTCTCAAAACAAGACACACAAATGGCAAACAGGTATACGACAAGGTGCTCAACATCATTGATCAGAGAAATGCAAATCAAAACTACAGTGAGATATCATCTCACCCCAGTTAAAAAGGCTTTTATTCAAACATCAGGTAATAAGAAATGCTGATGAAAATGTGAAGAAACATGAACCCTTGTACACTGCTGGTGGGAATGCAAGTTAATACAACCACCATGGAGGACAGTTTGGAGGTTCCTCAAAATCAAAAACAGAGCTGCCATGTGATTCAGCATTCCTGCTGCTGGGTATATACCCAAAAGAAAGAAAATCAGCATATCAAGGAGCTATATGCACTCCCATGTTTATTGCAGCACTGTTCACAATAGCCAAGAATTGAAAGCAACTGAAGTGTCCAACAGATAAATGGATAAAGAAAATGTGGTACATATATACAATAGAGTACTATTCCACCATAAAAAATGAGATTCTGTGATTTGTAACAACATGGATGGAACTGGAGGTCATTACATTATGTGAAGTAATCCAGGTACAGAAAGACAAACATCACATGTTCTCACTTATTTGTGGGATCTAAAAATCGAAACAATTAAATTCATGGAGATAGAGAATAGAAAGTTCCCAGAGGCTGGGAAGGGTAGGGGGAGGGAGGTGGGGATGGTTAATGGGTGCAAAAAAAAAAAAATTAGACTGAATAAGACCTAGTATTTGATAGCACAACAGGGGGACTATAGTCAATAATTTAACTGTACATTTTAAAATAAAAGTATAATTGGATTGTTTGTTACACAAAGGATAAATGCTTGGGGATGGGTACCCCATTCTCTGTGATGTAATTATTTCACATTGCATGCCTGTACCAAAATGTCTTCTGTACCCCATAATTATATATACCTACTATGTAGCCACAAAAATCAAAAACTAAAAAAAATTATTTAACTGCTCTGTGGACTGACTGCTTTAAAATCAGTGAGAGAGCTTTTTGTCTTTCTTAAAAAAATTGTGGTCAGATATACATAACAGAATTTACCATTTTAACCATTATTAAGTGTGCCTGCCATTTAGTGGCATTAAGTACATTCGCATTGTTGTATCACCACTGTCTATTTCCAAATCTATTTCTTACCCCAACAGAAGCTCTATAACCATTAAGCAATGACTTCCTATTCCCCACCCCCAGCCCCTGGTGACCTCTAATCCATTTTCTGTTGCCTTTTCTAGATACTGTATATAAGTGGAATAATATAGTAGTTGTCCTTTTGTGTCTTTATGTTTCATTTAGCAGAATGTCTGCAAGGTTCATCTACGTCGTAGCATATATCAGAACTTCATTCCTTTTTATGTCTGAATCATACTCCATTGTATGGACATACCACCAGATTGGTTATCTATTCATCTATTGATGGAATTGTGGCGTTTTTCCCTTTTTGGGTTTGTGAATAATGCTGCTACGAATAAGGATGTGCAAATATGTTTGAATCCTCGCTTTCAATACCTTTGGGTATATACCTAGAAATGGAATGGCTGAATCATTTGGTAATTCTGTGTTTCACTTTTGTGGAACTACTACACAATTTCCACAGCAGCAATACCATTTTGCATTTCTATCAGCAATGCATAAAGGTTCCAATTTTTCCATATCCTCACCAATATTTGTTGTTTTCCCTTTTTTCTAAAAAAAAAATAACCATCTTAATGGCTTCTCCCACCTAGTGGTAGTGGACTGGTATCTTATTGTGGTTTTGATTTGCCTGATGACTACCTTGGAAGCTTTTAAACAAATGCACATTTCTGAACTCTACCTCTGGAAATTTGGCTTGGCTCTGAGGTTGGCACTATGGAGCTGGCTGGTATGGCCTCCCACCCAGGTCAAAAATGTATTTTTGTAATTTCCCAAACTGCTAATCTGGTCTCTGCATACCTCTAATAATATGGAACTTTGGGGTTTTCTGAGGAAGCCCATTCCATTTTTACAGTTTTAGTTATTTATCTTCTAATCAGAACTTGTGTAATTTATAGCCACTGATATAGTCTCGTGTGGCATGTTTCATGTCTTAAGAGTTCCCTTCCCTCACCTCTACTCCATCCAGCCCCTTCAGCCTGTATCTGTTCCTCCTCAAGCTTTCTCAGCCATCCCCATAGCAAGGCTGCATCTGGCAAGCTTCCTCTATACTTCCATAGCATCTTAAGCTTTCTCCATCATGGTGTTTCCACGTGTGTCGTAATTTCCTGTTTACTTGTCTGCCTCCCTTATGACACTATGAGCTCCTTGAAAGCTCACAGCTGTCTACAACACTCTTCACTGATGTCTCCTCACTGGCCAGTGCATAAGGTGGGCCCTCAACAAATGGTGGTTGATGCATTTGTTGAAAAACACAAGTTCTGCACTAAATACATAAGAAAACACTTTGGATATTCTTCAGTATGTAATAAATTAAACTTGTTAACATTAGGAGCTCCTCAATCAGCAAGCAAGAAAGAGAATTTACAAAAGCATGGTTTTCAAATTGGATGATAGAATCCTAAACCATTAAGAAATTGCATCTTGTAAGCACAGGGAGCTGAAGAGGCTGCCTACTTCCTTTCTCTCTCCACTTTTGTCTCTTCAACAGACTTCTTGGCAAGCACATACAATATTTGTTCACCCTGGGCTTTCTGTGTGCTAAAGAAAAAGTACCTTAGGGTGTATTTAAACAACCACAGAGTTATATTTTTACTTGTGCATTTTACCTACAGCATTGGAAAAAGTAATTTTGCCTCAATTAGAGTAGGTCTTTTCAACTGCTGACATATGTTCATAGAGCATCTGGATATAATCTGATTAGCATCTGTTGTAAGCCTGTGAGATACTATCTATCTCCTGAGGTCTCCCTTGGAGAAGGAAAGGCATAAACGTGCACTCAGCTGGACCATCCCAGTGCTGACATCTGCTGTTGGGTCACACATCTGGGCCTCCCATCCTCCATCACTTTGCCAAAGTTCATCTGGACAAAGAGTATCACCCCCACACTCTCAAGGTCCCACTTTAATTGGAGCAGAAAACCAGTGTCAGCACTCTGGCCAGTGAGAAAATCTTAACATTCTTCTCTCTCCTTTTCCCCTGCATATGTTAGAGCCAGCATGGAATGAATCACACACATCTAGAGAAGGAAAAGTATCAATAATTGATATGCCTCTCCCTGCTCAAGCTGCAAACATTGCCAGCTCTTTGGTTTATGTATTCCCCATTCACCTTCAGTTTGCATCCTCAGATAAAGTTACATGATACCTCTCTTGAGAATTCCCTTCCTAGTTTTTTTTTTCTTTTTTCTCCTGCATTTTGGATGCAAAGATTTAAAGGAAAATAATTTCATAAGGTTGTATTTGTTTATGCTTGTTTTTTAGAGCAATAGAGCTACATCCCAAGATGTAAATACATGGGCACCCTCTCCCCCACCCACTGCTCAATTATTTATGCTTAATTAATGCACATAACTGAATTGAGGATAAAGGAGCAGACACCTCACATTCATCACCCAGCATAGAACAGCTGAACTAGGAAGGCCTAGAAAGTTCATTCTGTATAAGAATAAAGGAGGAAAAAAAGGGAGGGGTGATTTTAGGTATTGATAAGTGGTTAGTTGTGCAGGATCTGATATAATCCTACATTCATAAGTTTTTGTGCTGGGTTTGGGGAGAGAGGGTGTCTCCCCAGACCCAGCACAAAAACTTATGAATCTAGGATTATATCAGATCCTGCACAACCGGGGATTTACATCCTCAGTTTAACTGAGTCTCATATACCCTTCACCTGTTTAAGTACCATAGCACCAAACAAACATACTAACTTATTTTAGAGATTCAGGCAATAGATATTCATTGAGCACCTCTAATTTGTCAGGTACTAGATTGCATGCCAAGCATACCAAACGGTGCATCTGTCTTTACCCTAGATGGAGTCTAGTGAGGAAGACTGGCCATCAGAAGTGATCACACACATCAATACAGTGTCCTGAACTGTGGGGAGGTTGTGAGTGAGAATGTAGAGCCCAAGAAGAATGGGTGGAGGAGGTGCTCTGAATGAAATGGTGAGGAAGGGCCTCTCTGAGGATATGACATTTCAGTTGACACCTGGCAGCATTTCAGCTAACACTTGGCAGTGTCATTCAGCTGGGGGCAGAGAGTTCAAGACAGAGGGAACAGCCTGTGCGAAGGACAAAAAGAACTTGACACATTCAAAGAATTGAAGTAATGCCAGTGTAGGCGAAGCCAAGAATGAGAGCAAGAGAGATGGGACTTGGAGGAAGAAGGAGGTTGACAGCACTGCTAAGTTGCACAGGCATTCTAGTTCTTACTAAAATTTGTAGCCTTGTCCTAAGGACAATAAGAGCCATTAAAGATGTTTAAATTGGGAAACACAGCATAATGTATTTAGAAACAATGGTTGTTTGGAGAATGAATTGTAGGGGACAACAGTAAAAGCAGGGAAAGATTATACTTTCAGGAATCATTTCTATAGTTTGTTACTAGAGAAAGTTCTCTGAATGTGTAAAGCATGAAAAACCACAAGGAGACACAGTGTCTGCTCCTGACTGAAAAGCCAGCTCTTGGTGTTGCTCTGCTGCAACTGCTATTTGCCATTGATAACCATTCTTCTCTTCCTCTGGGATAGTAAGAGGGAGAGACTGCAGTCTGAGTGGTTCCCATATTTGTAAAAAAACAAAAACAGGAAAACAAGTCATGGAAGAGAATGCTAATTGCCCACCTAATAATCTTTTTCCCCTTTACACAGATGTCTGATTTTACTTCAGTTAATGATGTGATTATATATCCCAAACTCCCTTGCAGCAATTACTGAACAATGACATATAAATAAGTGAAGTTCTTGGGTACAGCTTCTGAAAGCCATCTGAGAGGGACTGCCTCATCTGGAAGGAGGCCCTTTTGCACTTCACCTCCTTCCCCTAACCTGCTCCTTGGAGTGCAGATGTGATGGCTGGAGCTCTAGCAGCTGTCTTGTCTCATGCCACAATCAGAAGGTATTATGATGGCTTGGACCACAGAGGTGGCAGATGGGATGGAATGATGGAGTAGGAAGTGGAGGGCATGTTTAGAAAGGGTTTTAGTAAGAGGTTGTGCTTATATTGCATTTTGAAGGACCGGAATGATTTGATCAAGTAAATAAACATTGGGGTCCAGTGTGGTAGCTCACGCCTGTAATCCCAGCCCTTCGGGAAGCTGAGGCGGGTGGATGATGAGGTCAGGAGTTCAAGACCAGCCTGGCCAAGATAATGAAACCCCCATCTCTACTAAAAATTCAAAAATTAGCCAGGCATGACAGTGGACGCCTGTAATCCCAGCTACTCAGGAGGCTGAGGCAGAGAATTTCTTGAACCCAGGAGGTAGAGTTTGCAGTGAGCTGAGATCACACCACTGCACTCCAGCCTGGTCAACAGAGCAAGACTCTGTCTCAAAAAAAACAAAAACAAAAAAAAACAGAAAAAAAACCCACACATTGGAACAACTATTAATAGTTCTTGCTGTTTTTATATATTTCTCTAGTTTTGTTTTTATTTCAACATATATGATAAATAAAACCAGATGTTGAAAACTGTAGCTCACAGTCATATCCAGCCCTGTCACATACTTCATTTGGACACAGGGGTTGGTTCTAAATTTTTTGAAATCCTTAAAATTTAAAATCAGGAAAGTTTACAAAAGTCTAGGACAGAGAAAATTCTGAAAACAGCAAGAGAAAAACATCAAGTTGCACATAAGGGAACTTCCATCAGAATAACAGTGGATTTCTCAGCAGAAACCTACAGATCAGGAGAGAATGTGATGAAAGAAAGAATGTGAGAAACTGCTAAAAGAAAAAAAACTGTCAGCCAAAAACACTATCTGCAGCCAATCTATCCTTCAAAAATACAGGAGAAATAAAATCTTTCCTAGACAAGCTAAACCTGAGGGGATTCATTACTAGGCTGGCCTTAAAAAAATGCTTAAGGAAGTCCTATATCTGGAAGTAAAAGAGCAATATCCACTATCATGAAGATACACAAAAATATAAACTCACTGGTAGAGCAGACATAGAAAGAGAAAGGACCCAAATGTTACCACTACAAAAACAAAACAAAACAAAACAAAAAACCCACCATAAGCAATGGCAGACAAGAAAAAAAGAAAGGAACAAAGGTTATACAAAACAACCAAAAAACAGTTTTTAAAATGACAGGAATGAGTCCTCACCTATCATAAATAACCTTGAATGTAAACAGATTAAATTCTCCACTAAAATAATACAGACTGGTTTAGTGGATTTTTTTAAATGCCCCAACTATATTCTGCTTACAAGAAACTCACTTCACCTATAAATAAATGGGATGAAAAAAGATATTCCATGCAAATGAAAATCAAAAGTGAACAGATACTAGATAAAACAGACTTTAAGTCAAAAACGGTAAAAAGAGACAAAGAAAGTCATTATATAATGATAAAGGGATAAATTCAACAAGAAGATATACCAATTCTAAATATACACATGCACCCAACACTAGGGTCCCCACATATATAGAGCAAATATTATTTCATCTAAACGGGGAGATAGACTGCAACACAATAGTTGGGAACTTTGATACCCCCTTCTCAGCACTGGACAGATCAGACAGAATATCAACAACAAAAAAAAATGAATTTAAATTGTACTTTAGACCAAATGGACCTAACAGATAATTACAGGACATTTTACCCAACAGCTACAGATTACACATTCTTCTCATCAGCATATGGAACATTCTCCAGGATAGATCATACATTAGGCCACAAAACAAGTCTCAACAAATTTTAAAAACTCAAAATCATATCAAGTATCTTCCCAGACCACAATGGAATAAAACTAGAAATCAATACCAAAAGGAATTGTGAAAACTGCACACATACATGGAAATTAAACAACATGCTCCTAAGTAACAATTGGGTCAATGAATAAATTAAGAAAGAAAAAATATGTAAAAACAAATAAAAATGGAAACACAACATACCAAAACCTATGGGAGACAGCCAAAGCAGTGCTAAGGGGGAGGTTTATAGCAATAAATGCCTCTGTCAAGAAGGTAGAAAGATTTCAAATAAACAACCTAATAATGCACCTCATGGAACTACAAAAGGAAGAATAAACAAAAACCAAAATTAGTAGAAAGAAATAATAAAGATCAGGGCAGAACTAAATGAAATAGAGACTAAAAATAAAATATGAAGGATCAACACAATGAAAAGTTGGCTTTTTGAAAAGATAAACAAAATCATAAACCACTAGCTAGACTAACCGAGAAAAAAGAGAGAAGACCCAGATGAACAAAATCGGAAATGGAAAAGGAGACATTACAACTGATACCACAGAAATACAAAAGATCATAAGAAACTACTATGAACAACTATGTACTAACAAACTGGAAAACCTAGCAGAAACAGATAAATTCTTGGACACATACAACCTATGAAGAATGAACCAGAAAGAAATATAAAAACCTGAACAGACCCATAATGAGTACAGAGATTGAATCAGTAATAAAAAGTCTCCTAACAAAGAAAAGCCCGGGACTGGATGGCTTCACTGCCAACTTCTACCAAACTTTCAAAGAGGGACTAACACCAATTCTCCTCAAACTATTCGGAAAAATAGACAGAAACATGTTCCTAAGACCAAAGCCCAAGTGAGTTTTCCCCAAGACCCAAGATGCAAGACAAGATGAAAATCTGATATATTTCAGTAATAAATTAGCAATAAAAAAGAAATACATATTTTAAAAATTGATATGATGAAACAGTCCCATTCCATCATCCTGAAATCTACTTTTCTTCCTTTCTACTCTATTAAATCAAATGTCACTGCAATCATCTTGATGGCTTTCATTTATCTTTTGCTTGATTGTCTATGTGTAATTCTTTGTAAAAATCCTCCCTTTGGTTTTCTCTTCTTCCCTCTCCCCTCTCTCTTTGCTTCTCTTTTTTTCTCTTTTATTCCAGTGAGCAGTGATGTACACCCAAATATCTAAGTTTCTCTGGAATTCCTTTTGTACTCATTGAAGCTACCAATCCACCATAGTTCTATGTTACTGGCCCCATGTCTTCCCCACCCCTCAGAAGCCCACACAGATCTAGGGCTTAGTGAGTTGGGGCACACCTTCAGAGGTCACTCAGGAGGCCTGGGCTAGCTGAGTCAGGCAAGAGCATTGGAACCACCCAGGCAGCTCTGAACTCCAGAAAAAGTCATCCTGCAGCTGCCCTCAGCAGTCTGTTCCAAGATCTGTCCACAACGGCAGTCAGGAAGTTTTCTTAACAACTCACCTAAGACATACCATCCAGATTTGGCGAGGACAGTGGCCATTCATGCTGGCCTCTCCCAGTCTTCTTTTCCAGATATGAAATCTTGGACTTCTCCATGCACACACACCCTCCACTCTGCTCCTCCAGGGAGTGAGAAATTTGGCTTGAAATTAACTCAGGACTCCCAGCTTCAGCGGGCCATCTGGAGTGACTGCTGCCTCCAAATTATGTTCACATCCACGGATAACCAAGTGGATTATCTCCAGGAATCATCTTCTCAGTCAGAAGAGAGGAGGCGGAGAAAATATCACGTTCATTTCTTGCCTAGAAAAGACCGCTGACATCAGCTATTTGCCCTTTCTGGCAATAATATTTGGTTGCTGCTCCATAATACAAAGCCTAAATCAGGCTTATTAGTGTCAAATTAAAAGGCCCTGAAGGGCAGCCAGATTTTCCAGAACTGGCACTCGTTGCAGCCTGGCACAGTGATAGAGCTGACAGGCCCCAGCTTGGGAGAAGTCAGCAAGGGTTTAGAGTACCCGGAATGCCTCACTGGCCCATTAACCACTGCAGGTATAATTAAGACGCATGTCCCTCCATTTCTGGATGCCATCCCTTTGTTGACAAGTTGCTCAGAGAATGAAAGCTAATATTTACCAATTAGCCCAAGCAAAACATTGTCAGGGAGGCAAATCTGGCACAAACACAATGTCTTGGTGGTCTCCCTTAGCACATAATAAAATCGATATCAGTACATACAGCTGGTAAGAATCTGTGTCCATAAACTCAAGACACACAACCTTTCTTTATGTTCCCTTTAATCAGTGGTTCTCAGTCAAGTGCAATTTTACCCTCCACGGGACATCTGTCAACGTCTGGAGACATTTTTGGTTGTCACGCTGGGAAGGGGATGCTACTAGCATCTAGTGAGCAGAGGCCAGGGATGCCGCTAAACATCCTACAGTGCACAGGCCAGCCCACCAAACAAAGAATTATCCAAAATGTCCATGGTGCCAAGGTTGTGAAACCCTGCCTTAAATCAACGTAATTTCTACTTCTAGCCTCCCGTTCTTCCGGCAAAATGATTAATGTCAGTTATTATCACTGTTTTTTGAACCAGAGCTGCACCACAGTTCTGTGGTCTTTAGGGCCGAGCCAAGGTTAGATGAGGGGTACTATGCTTAGAAAACATGGAATCTTAGCCAGATGTGGTGGCTCATGCCTGTAATTCCAGCACTTTGGGAGACTGAGGTGGGCAGATCACTTGAGGTCAGGAGTTCAAGACCACCCTGGCCAACATGGTGAAACTCCATCTCTACTAAAAATACAAAAATTAGCTAGGCATGGTGGTGCGTGCCTGTAATTCTAGCTACTCAGGGGGGTGAGGCAGGAGAATCACTTGAACCCAGGAGGCAGAGGTTGCAGTGAGCTGAGATCGAGCCACTGCACTCCACCCTGGGTGATGGAGTGAGACTCTGTCTCAAAAAAAAAAAAGAAAGAAAGAAAAAGAAAACATAGAATCTTCTGGGAGGTTGTCAAGGCCCATCTGCCTGAGACCCTTTGTCCTTCCTTCTCCATTCTGCAGTTCAGTGGCGTCCAGAGTTCCATAGCACTTTCTCCTCTTCTGCCCCTAGCATGGGCAAATCCTTTTATCTAGTCTCTTTTCCCTGCTCTTTCTGCCACTCTACCTCTTCTCACCCTCTTCTTATTCTCAGTACTTAGGAAATCTCCTGAGAAAAGAAATTTCTCAGGCCACTTCTACCTTCATCTTTGGCATAAACCTCCCCTGAGAGCCTTACTTGACTAAAGAAGGGGCAAAATAGGACAGAGTGGGGAGAAAAAAAAACACATAAATTAATATTCAAAATATTATCCAGCAGTTACAAAGGCACCAGTGAAGTCAGGTTAAGGAGCTTGTGCCATCCTTGCCCTGGGCCATTCAGGAGTCCCCAAGCCTTCTTCCCACAGCTCTGCCTTTCATGCCTGTGGGTGGTGAGAAGTTATTAACATCGGTTATCAGATATGTTAACCTAAGTCATCATCACACTCGAATGAGAAAGATTTTAAGGTCTCAGCCCTGGAGAAGGTTTTATGTCAACATTTCCACATTGGCATAAAAATAACAAGTTTCAGCCTGGCGTGGTGGCTCATGCCTGTGATCCCAGCACTTTGGGAGGCCAAGGGGGGTGAATCACCTGAGGTCAGGAGTTCGAGACCAGCCTGGCCAACATGGTGAAACCCCATCTCTACTGAAAATACAAAAATTAGCCAGGCATGGTGGCAGGCACCTGTAATCCCAGCTACTCATGAAGCTGAGGCAGGAGAATCGCTTGAACCTAGGAGGCGGAGGTTGCAGTGAGCCGAAATTGCACCATTGCATTCCAGCCTGGGTGACAAGAGCAAAACGCCATCTCAGAAAGAAAAAAAGAATAAAAAGTTGTATATTTGTACTCTCAATAATTAGAGCTGACCCATCTGTGTCAGGGTCACCCTAAGAACAATAAAAACTCCTTTCAGAAGTGATCCCACAGCATCATTAAAATTGCAAATAACCATTCTGCTGAACCCCTATATCTCTTTTTCTTAGATTCTATGCAGTGGAAATAAAAAGTTTTTGATAACTGAGCATTGTTTATAGAAGAAAAAAATATAGGAAAAAAACCCTAAAAGTTCATTAATAGAGAAATGAATTGGGAAATGAATGAATTGGGGTATGTCCCTACTGTATATGACAGTTAATGTTATATGTCAATTTGACAGGACCACATGTCTAGATATTTGGTCAAATATTATTCTGGCTGTTTCTATAAAGGCGCTTTTAGATGAGATTAATATTTAAATTCATAGACTCTGAGAACAGCAGATTACCCTCCATAATGTCTGTGGGCCTCATTCAATCACAGGAAGGCCTTAATAGAACAAAGACTGATCTCTCCTGAGTGAGAAGAAATTCTACCAGCCAACTGTCTTTGGACTCTGACTGCAACTCTTCCCTGGGTCTCTAGCCTGTGGCCAGTCCTGTAGATTTTAAACTTAACCAAGCCTTCACAACTGCACGAGTCAATTCCTTGATCAACCCATCTCTCTATCTATCTATTTATCTGTACTTCCTGTTGGTTCTGTTTCTGTGGAGAACCCGGACTAATACCCCATGGATTATTATGCACCTATGAGTTGGCTCTATACCTAGGAACCTGGAGGGATTTATATGATGCATTATTAAATGGAAGAAGCAAGATGTGGAGATACATGTTGTAAGAGAAGCAGTGGCCAAAAATGTGCTTGTTTCTATTGGCATAGAGAAAGATAGGAAAGAAAACATGACAAGTTTTAACAGTGGTTATCTGGAAGGGGTGTAGGGAGGTAAAAAGAAACAATTGAAATACAAAAATATTAATCAGATAATGCTGATGAAAATTGTAGAATATTAAATCCTCCGATATTATTAAAAGTAAGAAAGTACTAAATATACCTATGGGGGGGGATTAGAAGTTAAAAATGGAAAAAAATTTTAAATTGATATGCTTTGGGATTGGGATTTGGGGACACTCTTTTTCTTGGATATCTGATACTTCAATATTATAATAATTAAAATATATGTATTCCTGGGTATGACCCCAACAATTCAGATTTTGTAAGGTGAGCAGGGGTCTGGGAGTGTGAGAATTAGTACTTTTTAAATAAAGGCCCCCAGAGTAATTCTTGATGCATCACTGAGTTTGGGAACTGCTAATTCAATAATTATTCTTTCAAGCTAGGACACACTTGATTTTTCCCTGGAAACAATTAGTGAAGGAGGGCCATCAGTGTGAACAGGAGAGAAGTCCCAGAGCCTTGCTTAGCCCCATAGCTGAGTGGCCTGCCCCTGAGTCCCCCCTACACCCCTGAAAAGGTCTGATGATCTGGCCTTCCTGAGGGACAGGGAAACAGGGGTGGTCAGACCGCAGGTGCAGGCCATTCTCTGCTCCCACAACTCCACAGTCATATCCATTCACTTGCCATTGCTCTTTCAACTGCCAACTTTTGTTTTAGAAATGCAGACATTTATATGGCACTGTATAGTGACTTCATGTATCTTATCTCATTGGATCCTCCCTCGTTCCTGACAAGGTGGATAGAGAGCTGTTGTTGCTATTGTCTCTGTCTACAAGTGGTGACAATGAGTCTTGGAAACTAGTTAGATGACCTCTTTTGACCCAACTATTTCATGGAAGAGATAGAACCTCGAACCCCAAGTCTGCCTTTCAAATTTCTTTTTTCCCATTCCACCCACCACATGGCCTTCTCACCTTATTTAAATTGTTTGCTGAAGGACATCCTCTTTCACATTCCTTAAATATCCAGCCTTTAATCTTCGATGATTAGATGTGAAAAACATTTTCTTATGATTGACATAGGATTTGACGCATGCTGTTTTATCTTTGTGTTTGCTTTCTTTGTTAGCTGTTTCGCATCTGCTTTTGTTAGTCATTCCATGTGGGGGGTTAACTTTATACTGTATTCATCACAGATAATTCAGGGTAGAGTTTTACAAACATGTTTGGGACAATGCAAACTGAAATTGGCAAGATGTACTTTCCCCCTAAGTAGAAACTATTGTTCCCTTGACGGGATGGTTTGTCTTTTTCATTCCAAGGACACTTGAACAATGAGTTTGAAAGCTGCTTCCCAGGAGGCAGAACAAACAACACCACACCTGAGAATTAAAGCAGAAAAGCATCTTGAAATATGTGATAAGAGTGTAGTCCTCCAGTTAAGGAAAACTTTCCTAGTTTTAAAAAATATGCAACATGGAGTAGAGTCAGGTCCACAGGCAGCAGCAGGAGCATATCATCACTGCTAGCAGAATGCTCTGGTAACTGGATTTTTGTTCCTGATAAAATGAGAAGGTCTGTTTTTTGATCATGGAAACATTTTTCCAAAAGAAACCCAAATATATTTTCAAAGTATTTCCCAAGTGTCAGCAACTATTAAGTAGAAAACACTCATTAGTTAACAGACTAGAGGAAAAAAGGGGCTTCAAGTCAGGGCACTCACTGGTCAATTTTGAAGATCCACAGTGTTTTGATTAAGAGCCAATGAATTATGCAATAGGTTTATTATCCAAGGTAGAATCAAGAAGTTGAAAAATTCCTGTATGAACTGCGAGGACAACTGATTTAGTGAGCAATCTGTCTGAGAACCAAATTCCTTCTGCTTAGCTCAAAGTGCACTTGACTCTGACCTTTAGTTCATGGAGGGTCGTTGTGGAGACTGATACTGAGTTTCATTAATGCATCAGTCTCAGCTAGTCTCAGTAAGTATCCTTTCTTATCATCCTGGAACTTCAACATCCTGGTGGGATGTGTTTCCTTAGTAACTTGGGGAACTAGAGCCACCCCACTTCCTTTCCTCTCTCCTAAAAATCAAAAGCCTTGATTTTCTGCCTTGATCGTTTTTTTTTTTTTTAATGCCACATCCAAGAAAAAAGTTGAAGAAAACATCAGCATGGCATAGGCTGGTGTCATTTGCGAAAGAGCTGGTGACCTAGAGATAGGGCTGGAGGCCATTCTAGAGGCGAAATAAAGCCTATCTTGTTGTCAAGAGGATGGAATAGCCTTGTCTTAGTAAGAAGTGAGATGCCACAGTATTATATGAGAGAGAGAGAGAGTGCAGAAAGGGCTTTTATTCATCTGATCCATAGTGATTGTTCCTTTAGCCTCTTATCTTCCCACTGCTTACTGGCATCAACCACTTGAATTAAGTAATCCAGACGCCTGGCCAGCCCACCTCTTTGAAGGGCACTGAAAAAGATCCCAGCTTCATTTCTGTATTATCTTCATAAGGCAGACAGGGAGATACCCTCTTGCCATTTCCTTTAGATTAGTAAAAAGAGCCCTCTGAATCCGAGGGTTTCTGCCCAAGTGAACAATGGACCACCCTAAAAAGGAGGGAAACGAAGGTCTTTGGAGTTATATCAAAATAGAACTGACTAAAATTAAAATTCCAAGGCAAACAGTTTTGCTATCAAACAAGTTGTCATAAATGTTTCATCACTGACTTTCCCAAAGCTCTGGCATTAAACATTAATACACAAACAACTGAAATGTGCCCACTTTTAGCATGGGCTCTAGTCTTCCTCTTTCCTCCTCCAATCAGGAATAAATAAAAGGCAGCATCAGGTTTTGCGTTAGTGTTTGTCAAATGCTTTGAAGTATGTGATAATGCCGTAATAACGCCATGGGTGGCAATGGTATTCTTTTGCCCATTATGCAGATGAAGTTAGTGAGCCAAAAAGAGTCTTAAAGTATTTGCTCACAGTTGCTCCAACAGCATTCAAAGAACTGGCATTTGCACCTCTTCCTTTTCTCAGACTGGTCAGTTACATTATGGTTCATCCAAATTTTGGGGAACTGTTGCAGCTGTTTTTTAAAAACGAGATGCCTCCATGGTGCACTAATGCAAGGAAATTGCCACAATACTGAGCAAATATTGTGAAGCCGCAAGTATGTGTGTTCATGTACATGTGATGAATAGAGAGAGTTCTGGAACTGTGCACACACACAGTTGGTGACAGTGTTTACTTCCATGGTGGTGTGTATGATGGGGGTGGACTGCCTTCATTATTTACTTCATATACTCATGTATTATTTAACTTTTTAATGACAAGGGTATGCTATGTTTGTCATAAACTTTCCCTTTACTCAAGATATATAACCGAAACATCCTTCCTATCTCAAATCTTTTTGCTCTCTCCAATTCTGCAGACCTGTGAGAAGCAAGAAGAATATTGTTATTCTCCATATTCAAATTAATCCATGACAATAAACACTGATGCATATAACCAGTGCCCCATAATATACCAACCACACTTACTGTCATGAGAGGCAGTCCATGAACTTAAAACAAGGAACTAACAAACACTGTCTCCTTTGTAGGTGCCAGACACTTTCCCATGTTAGCCAATTTGAGCCACTCACTACCTGTGCAGAGGAGGAGTAGTTAGCTCTGGTTCTATAGACGATAAATCCAGAACTCAGAGTAACAATAACATGCCCATGTTCACACACAAATACATGGCAGAGCTGCACTAGTGCCTGTTCCACACCACGATGCCTCCTGGAAGTCAACTTGGTAAAATCATTTTTCAGTGAAACATAAGATTCAGGATAATGATTTTTGGGGTTTTTATTTCTGTTTTTATGAGACCATTGAGTTTCATTCCTCTTGGCAATAATCTATATGACCTTAGCTTATCACAATAAAGAAGCCCCATGGGAGGAAAAGAGGGGCCATTGGTTAGTGTGATTTTGTTCAATATAAATCATCAATTTTATGAGCTAAATATAATTTTTGATAGCACAGACATTTTGAATTAGAATTGATGATTGAGGCTTTGACAGCATCTCAAGCTACCTCTTAACCCCATAATGTCCATTCATACATTATTGACTCCCATGGTCCTTTCCCTTTGTCCAGCCCACCTCTCAATGCAGGGACATGAAGGCTCCCATCTTGCGAGCATCAGATAGGTTGCAACTCATGAAGCATCTTTGTTCCCAGATAGTACTGTACTTTCCCTCCACCCTCAAGGGTCACAGTAACAAACGTCAACTGGGAAAAGAAATCCATTTAGTTTTTATTAAGCTGCTTGACTTTTCCAGGGGTCTTTAACTTCCATCTTGGTTAAATGGTAACTGGACACTGAAGAAATAGCCTCAACTCTCTCAAGTAAGTCCAAAGGTTTGTTAAGGACCAGAAAAAATTAAAAATCCCAGAAGGGAAGGTCACCAAAATATTAACAGTGCTTCTGTGAAGTGACAAGATTGAAGTTCTTTTTTTAGTTCTTGCTTTACACTTTTCTGTTTTTTTCCAGATTTTCTACAACAAACATGTATTCACGTTTTAATCACAATAAAATGTTATATATTTTTTTAATTCTGAAAAGCATGATGTGAGAAGCTTTACATGCAGTATTATCCTAGTTCTGTAACCATGTGCTTACAAAATTACTGGGGAGAAATAAGCCAAAATGTTTACAATGTCTGTTCCTAAGTGAAGGCATTATGGTTGATTTTTTTCTTTATATTTTTATGTGTGTTTCAAATTCTCTCTAAAGAGCCTACAGAGGATTTATAACCTTAAATAATGAATGTATTTTTAAAGCCTTGAAATTTGAGGAGGAGTGTGAGAAGGGGAGATTCTATGAAATTCCACAATGTTGTTACTATTCCTGTAGTAATGACATATGCCCTTAATTCCTGGAATAGCTGAGATTTCTCCAAAATGCCTAATTTATACTTGGAGAATAATATATCCATCTTTTAGGATCTGGGCCCCAAATACTCTAATTTCTCCTAAATTGACTTAAGTTATTTCAAAATATCAAATGAGCCTCTAATTATCTAATGAGCCTCACAAGATATCTCATGAGTGTCTACACCGTGTCAGATATCCTGCTCGGGGCTGCTTGAAGCATGGTATCATCTTCAGGTCATCTCTTTTTCCTGGCATCCCCCAGGTACTCTTACTTCCCCCAGGTACTCTCACTTCCCCTGAGGATGCTTGTCTCAGGGGCAGTTCACTAAAGGGATCCAGACAGACACCACAAGTCCTTTGTGCTCTTTCCTTTAATTTTTTTTTTCCTTTCTTTCACTATGATCCAGAGGTAGAGTTATTTTTACTGGGTCAGTCCCTATTATCATAAACGAGATTTCACATCTGAGACAACGTGATGATCTTTTGACTTGGCAAGTAACAATCGAACTCCATTGTAAGATGGCGTTAAATGCAGTAGTTGGAAATGAAAGAGGAGACCTAATAAAGGAATTGGGATACAGGAATTAGCTTTCTGATTCTGTTAGTCATCTGTTCCGTTCATCATCAAAATTATGACTGAATCTTATACAGTAGCCATTGCTTAAAAAGAATATTCCTCTGGCCAGCTGCATCTAATTTGAGATATTGTTACACTAAATACAGTAAAGGTCTTTGGCAAAACTATGAATTAATCAATTATGCCAGATCAGTTTTTTAGATATATAAAGAGTTCTGAATTTAGGACTTGGTTTAAAACTGGAATTTTTTGCCTTAAATGAAAACTTTAATTTAAAAAAGGGAGAGGGCTATCTTTTCTAGGAGGTGGAAACCATGTCTAGAAATTACAGATGTAAATCAGAGCAGTTAAGCAGCATCAAAAAAAGAAATCTGTTTGTGGAGTTAAAAATTCCTCCGTTGACACAATACAGTAAATGCAATATGGTGACACAAACCATTTAAGTAAATACCAGCTCTAATAATAGCTGTGTATCAATTGGAAAGTATTTTTATCATGTGTATGCTAGCTCCCCAGCCATAGCTTTTAAAAAGCAGAACAAAATGTGTAATCACTCTGTCCCCGTTTCCGAGAAAGAAATGATTGATTGTTTGATCCCAGGAAACATCAGTGCTGCCTAATGGGTCCTTAGTGCTAAGAATAATGGAGAAAAAAACTCTGCGTGTCATTTGATAACCTCCCTGGCTGAGGAGAAGAGTTTGAGAGGGAAAGGCATAGAATAAGAAAAGAGGAAACTTAATTCCCCAATTAATCTCACTCTGCCTCTGACATAATTCTGGATGGCATCGAATATTAAAAATTGGCATGCTCCACATTTATATTCTTCCGCTCCATGTTGCCTCCTATCCATCTCTGTCAGATTTTCTCTGCAGAACAGGAATAGAACTCCCCCCAAGGACTTGTGGAGAGAGAGGAAAAGAGTAGGAGTCCTTCCTAAACTTTCCAATACTTGATTCAGTTTTCACCTGAAGTTCAAAACCATTCCAGCTGAGGTGGTCTGAAGAGATTAAAGGTGTTCTCACAGTGATGGTTTAAACAGGCCCACACTCCTTGACATTCCCTTTCAAACCTGGAGCCTAATTCCCATTGCCTTAACTGTGAGCTGGATGTATGGACTCACTTCTAACTAATAAAATATGGCAGAAATGGCCGTGTGAAACTTCTGAAACTAAGCCATAAAAGGCATCATGGTTTCCTCCTTGCTCTTTCTTGGATCGCTCAATCTTAGGAAAGCCACCTGCCATGTTGTGAGGACTCTCAAGCAGTTTTGTGGACAAGCCTGTGTGGCTAGCAACTGCCAATAGCCAGCCAGGAACTGAGGCCTCCTGCCAACAGCCACACAAGTGAGCTGTCTTGGGAGCATACCCTCTAGCCCCAGTCAATCTTAGTCCTCACAGTAGGTCATCAGTTGGCGGTAGGAGAACATCCTGCTATACAGAAATGTTCATTGTAACTATGGGCCTTCCTGAGGCAACGTTTTCACCTCTTATCCTCAAAGGTGAGATATAGGTTGGAGAGAGGTGCCAGGGGAAAGGTAATATGAGGACTGTTTTAAATATTATGGTTGGAACCTTCTTGGGCAAATTGGGGGCAGCCTTTATGGTGTGTCTAGGTGTCATGAATTCCTAAAAGGAAATATTGTGATAGGGTAAGACAAATTCAACCCCTCTTATTTTCTATGTGGTTAATGGGGTCTCCTGGGGGCCCAAGTTGAAATCCTCAGTTACTCCTGACATCAAGCCCAATCAACAGTTTGGCTGCGTCCTTCAAGACTCTGAGCTGAAGCCACTCAGCTCAGCCACTCCCATCTTCCCAACTATACAAAACTTTGTGACCTAATAAATGTTCATTGATCTAACTGTTAAATCTTTAGGTAATGTGTTATACACAGTGATAGACAATATATTCGCCTTTCCTCTTGAGCACCTTGATAACTAACATTTAAACCTTGAACTTGTGTTCTGCGCTAGCAATATATTCCCTAACTGCTTTCAGACAGATTTAATGAGTTTTACATCTTTCAGCTACGCAGTTGCCATATACAGTTTGGCAGTTGAAATCATCTTGTTCATCTCCTCATTCTTTAGATCTAAAGTGGCCTAGGTGTGCCCATAGTTAGTGGCAGAGATGCCAGTGTTCCAATGAGGATGGATACTTTTAATAATTTAAATGTGGCAGAGTTTTAAAATGTATTAGAAGCAGAGACCAGAATTCCTCTTAGGAAGACACAACTGTCTCTGGAAAAACACCTTAATGAGATTCCAAGGAACAAGATGAGGTCGTAAGAGCATAGATTTGGCAGAGGCTCGTGTATTGGAAATAATTCCATTACAACAGTGGAAGTGGTGGTGGGAAGAAGTGAGAGAAGGACCAGGTGACTAAGAGGGAAATGGCTGGGGGTGTTTAAGGAACAGAAATTTTCAGCATTAAATTTTGAGCAATTTGCATTTCTGCAACAGAACTCCCAAGACTTTCAGGAAAATGCTCTGCTTGTGTGAGTCATTCATTTAATGGAAATTTAGAAGAAAGGGCTGGCAAGGTATGGGAACTGAGACCACAGAGGAGTTATTTGGCAGAACAGGGAGCTCAGGGCCATGGGTGATTCACAAACACCTAAAGCCCCCAAGGAATTTAAAGACGTCTTGGGGAAAACATTAGGCTTCTCAGAATCTATGAACAGCAGGTCTGGGTCAAGCAAGGTGACCCAGCTGACATCTGAATTATGTGTATTGCTCCTTTGTTTGTATGTTCAGAGTTCTATCTCTCCAGATTATGATGTTACCTAGACTTTATCTTTGTTCTATTTCTCCAGACTGTGATGTTACCTAGACTTCATCTGAAACATATACCTAGTAAATACATCTCATCATAGATGACTTCCTGGTTGTGTGGCATGTTTGTGTGTGTGTGTGTTTGTGTGTGTGTGTGTTTCTTGGCTTTTTCTAAAGTGTTACAACCTTTAGTATGTATAACAACTCAATGAGGTAGACAGTATGTTTTAGTTAGTTCCAGCCGCTATATCAGAATACCATAGACAGAGTGGCTTAAACAACATTTATTTCTCACAGTTCTGGAGGCTGGAAGTGTGAGATCAGTGTGCCAGCATGGCCAGGTTCTTGGTGAAAACCCCATTCCTGGTTTACAGATAGCCATCTCCTCACTTAGTGGAGAGCAGAGAGAGGAAGCAAACTGTCTCATGTCTCTTCTAAAAATGGCACTAAGCTCAGCATGAGTGCTCCACACTCATAGCCTAATTACATCCCAAAGGCCCCATCTCCAAGTACCATCACATTGGAGATTTCAACATATGAATTTTGGAGGGACACAAACATGCAGTCATAACATACTACTACTACTACTATTATTTTACAGAGGAAGAAACCAAGACTTAGCTGTGTGTCTTGAGACATTTATGTAACTAATAAACAGGGGTGTCAGGATTCAAACTGGGCTTGTTCAGCTGAACAGCCAAAATTGTTAAGCATTGTGCCATGCCATATTCCTACCAAAAAGGCAGGAAATGTTGCAAAGGAACCCAAGGGGAGAAAAAGGGTCGTGATAATAAAGCAGTGGGCTGGGAGTCTAACAAAATTACCAGGGGAAAAAATAATCCAAATAGGCAAGGTGTGATGTAAATGCATGAGCAGAAGAAATCATTGTCACCGGGGGGCATCTGGGAAGCCTTCCTTGAGTACGTGGGACTTGAGACGCATGCTGAAGAATAGATAGGACTGAGGGAGACAGAAACCATTCTAATCAGGTAAATATTGGGGGTGATGATGACCAGAGGATAGGAATGATCTGGCATGTTTGCAGGGAAAAACAGGATGAATAGGGAGGAAGAGAGAGGAAGAACAGCATGGATGAAGGTGGGTAAAAGAGTGCAAGTTATGGAGAATTCTGGATGTTAGTTGAAGAGCAATGAGGAGATTTAAACTCTTGAGCCAGGCTATGGTTGGTGCAGAGCCCTCTGCATTAGGTCTGCCCCTGCTCCTGAAATGCTGTCACCACACACTGCACACTTCTGTTTCCTTTTAAGAGCATGGATCATTTCCTATTCTTCCTGATATCCGCCTTCATTCTTAGAACAGTACCTAGCATACAAAGGGCATTCATTCAAAGATGAATTAGTAAATTAATAAATGAATGATCAGGAAATGAGAGGAAAGAAAGGGAGGCAGTGTAGAGCGGTGGTAGAGTCAGACCCTCATGACTGTCTACTCACTTTACACTTATGGTCTGGTGTCTTCAGACATGTGTCTCCCTAAGCCTCAGTTTCCTTATCCAGCAAATAGAATTAATAATAGTGTCAGCTTTCTTGGGCTGTTGTGAGGGTTAAATGAAATAATACATGTAATACATTTACCATAATACTGCCCATAAAATAAGCATAGAATACGTTACATCTCTATAGAATGTATAGAATATATCAGAGTCACAGATCAACTTAAGTAAGCTAGACCAAGAGAACATAAACCCTAGGAATTAAGAAAAATTGTTGGGAGATTCTTAGACCTTCCTCAGAATTCAAGAATGAGCTAAATTTTGGTTAAGTCTCAAAGGGCATACTGACTTCGGCTGGCCTCAGGATTTTAATTGGAGAAATTCCTGGGAATGTGATTATGGCCTTGAATGCTCTGCCGGGGTGGGGCAGGGTGGGGTGCGTGGGTGTTGACTAAAACAGTGACAAAACTACAACTGTTTTAGAAAGATCTTTCTGGTGGTCATGTGGGTGGTGGCCTAGGGAACAGTGGGACTGGAGAGTGTCACTGAGAGGCTACTGAAGTAGTCCTAGTAAAGATGGTGAGGGCTTGAATTAATGCTGAGACTGTGAGGATGGAGGAAAGAGCTTAGAGTTAAGAGGCTACAAGAAGGCACTGCATTGGATTTAGAGACTACTGGGAGCAAGTGAAAAGACAAAAACATGGGTAAATGAGGATGTCAACTTGGGCCCCAGGAGATACCGTTAACCAAATGCAAAATAAGAGGGGTTGAAATTGTCTTACCACATCACAATATCACCTTTTCGGAATTCATGACACCTAGACACACAATAAAGGCTGCTCCTGATTTGCCCAAGAAGGTTCCAATGGACTTTACAAAAAAAAAGAAGAAAAAAATTCTTAAGGCAGTCCTCATATTTACCTTTCCCCTGGCACCTCTCTCCAACCTATATTTCACCTTTGGTCTTGAGAAGGGAAAACGTTGCCTCAGGAAGCCCCACAGTTACAATTGTCAACATTTCTGTATAACAGGATGTTCTCCTACCTCTAACTGATGACCTACTTACGAGGACTAAGATTCCAAATAAAGTAAATACTGGCATCAAATTCCCACCCAACAAAAGAATCAGAATTAGATATGACTTGTGCATGCATGCGTTTGTGTGTGTGTGTGTGTGTGTGTTACCCCTAGCATGCACACATACAGGAATACACGTTCATGGAACACACTGCCTCACAGAACTCCCTTTAATCAGTCTTGGTATCACCATGGTAACGTGAACAGAAGCAGTACTCCTAATCATGGAGGGAAAACCTGCAGCTTTGTGATACACACCCCTGGGGAGAATTTCAGCCACCATGTGTACCACAGCAGCACAGGATGCTCAGAATAATCTCATGGGTTCTGTTTATCTTTGGCTGCTTCTAATCTTCCTCCTATCTGCTGTTTCAATCAGCCTTCCCTCAGGATCACAGAGCTCCAGTTCTCATCCCTGTCCTTGCTGCTGAAAAATGCTTCCCCGCAAGCTTCCTTTGGCTATTGTGAGAGGGAGCTTTCCCTCTAGTGCAGAAATAAACAATTCTGCCCTACCTTAAAGTTATTTGAAATTATATATTATTTGAAAAATAATAATAAAAACCAGGCTTCAAAATGCCAGCATCATCTATTTCCCAGGTTACTTATGTAAGCATGCATGAAAATGACACATCTGTGACCTACAGATTCAAAATTCCAAGGCAGAGGTCAGCTACCTGTGAGTGAGGTTTAAGAAATGCCTAATCAGTCTCTCCAAGGGAAAATCAATCTGGCCTTTATTATTCTTCTCAAGAGAATTGGAAGTAGCACTCATTACAGAAATCCACTTCCCTCCAACTCCAAGGGGATTTAGAATTTTCCAATTGTACTTAAGTATTATATCTCTGGCAACAGTTGTCCTAAGAGAGAGCTCTTTTCTTCTGTGTAATATTCAAGCAATCTTCAAAGGCTTTTATCTGCTAAAACTGATATGAAAATGGCATTTTATTTACCAATTCATCTCTAAGTATCAAATCATTACTTTTCTGTTTTATGTACATATCATCTATAAATGTTCTGAACATTTAAACAGTCAATAATTTTTCTATTCTGTGTTTCAGTTGAAATAGAACTTTACATCATAAAGAATTTACCAGTTTTAGAATGTTTTATAGTAAAGATACGTGCATTCACACAAACATATATGCATATATACCTATATGAATGTGTATATATGTGCACATATATGTGTGTAAGGCTACATATTATATGGTATAGAGATTGGGAGTTTGGGTTCTGGAGTCAAATTATTATGATGTGAATTCTCCCTTCTGTAAGACCTTTTGAAAGCTACTTAACCTCTCTTTCAGCTTCATCTATAAAATGGGAGCAATAATAGTAACCACTTCATAGAGTTGTGATGACTAAATGAATTAATACATATTAGGTGCTTCAAACAGAGCTTGGCAGGTAGCAAGTGGTCAGCTTAGCAAATATTAGCTATTTTATTAGAAACAGTCCAAGTAACCCATATTTTAAAAAACTGAGTTACCTGTGAACAAGAAACTTCTAAGTTATTGGTGTGTTTTATATGTGTTTTACACAGTTAGCAATGGTAATAGCATTATTGCTCCTGTTTGCTCTTCTTGAAGACAGTGAATTCTTGGTGGCACCCTGCTGTCACACTCTCAGCTTTTCTAACTCTCTGGGCAAGTTCCAGGTCCAAGGCTTTCTCCAGCAGAGTTAGTCATGCAGGTGGACTGTCCATCCTATGAAGGCCTCAACTTGTTGGAGAGCAAATTAAATCGATGCAGAGAAAGCTGTTGCAGGTGTGTTCTTTCTTGATATGGTTGGTGGTGGCGGTGTTTCACTCAATTTTGAGAATTTTTCTTCTTACTGTTGTTAGTATTGCTGGAGTGAAAGAATGTGCACCTTCTAGGATGAGTACACATATTCAAGCAGGAGGAAATAATAAGGGTGGCTCCTCCACATTGAGCTCTCCGTCTGGCCGGGGACTGCCTTCTGCTCTGTAGACCATCCCCACACCCACCCTCACCAGTGAGGACAGGCCCAGACTAGGCCTGACTTCAGTAGCCTGAAGTCCAGTTCACATGTCTACATTTGCGCATTCAGACGGCACCAAGAAAAGAACCACCTTTGGGATGCTCTTAAGCTCATTTTTAATAGACTTTATTTTTAGAATAGTTGTAGATTCACAGAAAAGTCAAACAGATAGTACAGAGGGTTCTAATATACCCAATGCCAAGTTTCCCTGATATTAATATCCTACATTAGTATGGTACATATGTTACCATCAATGAACCAATATTGATAAATTGTTGTTCACTAGAGTCCGTACTTTATTCTGATTACCTTAGTTTTTACCTGCTGTCCCTTTTCTGTTCCAGGATTCTATCCAGGCTACCAGGTTACAGTTAGTCATGTCTCCTTTGCTCCTTTTGGCTGGGATAGTTTCTCAGACTTTCCTTGTTTCTAATGACTTGGACAGTTTAGAAGAGTATTGGTTAGATGTTTTGTAGGATGCCCTACTATTAAAATGCTGTCTGGTGTTTTGTCATGATAAGACTGGTGTTTTGGGTTACTGGGGGGCGGGGCAGGGGGGAAGGCCACAGAGGTAAACTGTCATTTTCATCACATCTTATCAGGAGTATGTAACATCAACATGATTTATAGCTGTTGATGTAGACCTTGATCACCTGGATGAGGTGGTGTTGTCATGTTGCTCCACCGTAAAGTTACTTTCATTTTTTGTTCCTCCTTTTATGCCGTACTCCTTGGAAGGAAGTCACTATGCATAGCCCACATTTAAGGAGTAGGAATGTATGCTCCCCCTCCTTGAAGACGGAGTATCTACATAAATTATTTGGAATTTTGGAATTGCCACGGGAGATTCATGTAGTCATTTTTCAAGTGAGACTATATAAAAGGAAATTGACCAAAGAGAAAATTATGGTCAACAGATGTGTAGGGATGAAGAGAAAATCTTGAAAACAACAAAGGAGACAGTCTGAGAAGTAACATTTCTCATCTATTTTTGAGAATTACCTGTATAGTCAGACAAGTACTCAGAACTAATGTCCAAAAATATTTAGTGCTACATTACATTATGTAAAATACTTAAAAAAAGAAAGAAAGTAAAATATTCAAACAAGTCATGGGACATTCATGTAACTGTTAGGTCAAAAATGTATATATACATCATTTTCATCTGTGTGTGTGTGTGTGGGTGTGTATGTATGTATGGATGTATGTATAATTATTTTTAAGAGATGGGGTCTTGCTATGTTGCCCAGGCTGGACTCAAACTCCTGAGCTTAAGCAATCCTCCAGCCTCAGCCTCCCAAGAAACTGAGACTACAGAGACTACAGGCTCATGCTACTGAGCCCAGCTCTCTCTATATACAATTACTGGCATGGAAATACAGTAACGGTATGCTATGAATGAATTAAAGCAGGTTATATAGCCATATGCCTGGTTATGATTGTTTCATTATAAAACAAGTGTATTATATAAACACACACATGTGTGTGTATATACAACATTTATAATGTCTGACAGGTTAGTTAATACCAAAAAAAATACTTTTATTATGACCAGCTGGTAGGATTACATGTAATTTAGCATATTCCTTTTTAATATCTAAAATTTCTGTTTTCTTTAATAACTTTCTACTTATCTAATGAAACAAAAATTAAAAGAAAATAACCTAAAGCAAAAGATATACTGACAAATATAACACTAGCATGTTGTGTTAGTAATCCAGGTTGTTAGAAATCCACTATATGCCAGCTTTTTAAATGCCTCTAGTAGGACTTGAAATAGGGAAGAAAGGCAAGAACTTTAGTGGTTGTTTTTAATACTGTTTCCTATAACACCAGTAATCCTAATTACAGGTACTTGTTTATCCATGATGGAACTGGACTCCAAGAACCCTCTGAACCCAAAGGATATGTTGTTCCAGTCTCATCCCTATCTTCTCTGTTGCCTGCAGTGGGCCTCAGCTCAGCCCTTCCCAATCTCAGTGAGCCCCGACCATCCTCTTTTCTGGCATTCCACCTCCCGGGCTGCTCCCTCCCTCTTGTCCTAATCTCTTGAGTTTGCTCACCTCCTCCCCTCTACTTACAAGTCTTCCACA
The DNA here is from genome assembly GCF_000001405.40 of Homo sapiens. Lineage (NCBI taxonomy): Eukaryota > Metazoa > Chordata > Mammalia > Primates > Hominidae > Homo > Homo sapiens. The sequence goes on along the minus strand of NC_000003.12, from coordinate 64,049,972 downwards.
AAGCTCAGCCGATGCACTAGCTCCCTGAGCATCACAATGGGAGAGCCTTTGTCATCGGCATCAACCTTTTTAATGTCAACCTAATCCTTCACTCAAATAAAAAAAGGATCAATAGAGCCAAACTGTAAACATGCCAGTCTTCCTATGTTGCCTTTTTTCTCTCCTTTTCATCTCCTAGAAATGCCCTCCCCTCAGCTGTCCATTTTCTAGCCCTCTCTTTCCTTTAAAGTACAAGTTAATCACCCCCACCCTCAAATTTTCCAGCTCCCCTAAAGCTTATGATTTTTTTCTCTCTTATTTTTGCAAGCATCTGTTGTCTCTATAACTGGTTCTCGGTGGAAGCTATGCTGGTCTGTTATATTTTCATCGTATCCGCCAAGAGTAGGACTCATTTTCTCATAGTCAGGTACTCCTGGTGCCTACGATAATGACATGCATTCATTTGGCCTCAGTAAATGTTTGTCGTTGCTCATGACTATGTGGCCATCACAGTGAGAAAGAACTAAAGATGCAGCAAGTGAATTTGAGGTAAGAGTAAGTACAGTGTTAGAAACCCTGCCTCTGGAGCCAGACTACCTCTAAGCTCTGTTGCCCACAGGCTGAGTCATCTCCTGCTTCTTACTCACCCTCTCTGAGCCTTTCCTCATGCGTAAAATGGGAATAATGATGGGACCTACCACATAGAGCTGAGATGAGGATGAAATGAGTTGAGTCATGTGAAGTACTCATTGTTTGCAAGTTGTCAAACCAGGTTAGCTGTTATCATCATTAGCTGGTTTGTGAATTCCACCTTCAGAATCACATAGGCCGTGAGGAAAAAGTCTGTCTCACAGACCACTGCTCACACAAACACAGTTTAGAAATGCGTACACCATTGAGAATCCAAAATGATGTTTTGTAGCTGTTTTACAATGTGCCTGGGACTTGTTTGAATCAGGTGGGGCAAGATGACAGGCACAGAGACGATTGCATTTGAAAGAAGAGTTTATTATGCACAGTTCCAAGAGGAGGGGGCACACAGTGCCCTGCAGGGGTCACAAGGAGAACAGCCAGAGTTAGTCAAGAGTCAGAAGGAAGAATGAGAAAGCGTGGGCAATGGCCTTTATTACTATAGTGGCAGGAAGTTGTTGGGTGAGGATGCCCTTTACAGGGCAGGATGCAAAACACAGATGTTGGAGTTTGTGGCCAGAGGATTTGTAATACCATTTCCAAGTGCTTGCAAAAAACACAGGGAAATATGAATGCAAACAACTTTGGTCATTAGTTTGGCCCATGATTTCAAGATGCCAAATCATCCATTACATAATATCCAGAACGATTATTACACTAGTCCAAGCCAGTTCCTCACCACAACTGCTGTTGCCTGCAGTTTTCAGTGGCCACCATCCTTTCCAGTGATGTCTGTAATTTTTGCTGCCTTCTTGAAGTGGCCTCACTGGGCCTGGGTTTTATTTAAGTCTCCTATTGTTTGGCTCATTTTGGTTGGTCTCTCTCCTCCTCTTTGACTTAGCTTCGATTATGCCTGAAGAAGGATTTCCTCCATTTTGCACTCTTTCTTCTGTGTACAGGGGTTGCTCCTTTTTCACAGACAAGCAGAGAAACTTGGAAAACAGAAGGAAGCTGAGGCTGTGTTGTTAGGTCAACCAAGGACCAAGGCAGAGCCAACCTTTCAGCATTACATGCTCACCTTTCTGCTTTATGGACCGGGAGGGTCCTGGAAAACTGTTTTCCCCATCCAAAAGCCTTTTGGCAATTACTGAGGATACTTGCACTTTGAATTCTGAGACCAGTCTGTGCTGTGGCTTGGGTGAGCTGCCGACTGAGGTCTGCTGAAATTATCCGACTGTCAAGACAGGACCCAGCTACGGCCCAACACCCTTCTCTTTTTCGTCTTTTTCTAAAGAGAAGCCCCACTTATATCCATGCCAGCCACATGACTGGATAATTACAGGAAACCATGGCTCCACTCAGCTGAAAAGAAAGAATTCTTGAAGAAGAATTTCAGGCTCTTTTACCATTTCCCCCTTTTTACAGTCTGGCTCTGTGGCGTCATCCTGTCGCTTTCTTTTCTCCGTACTGTTTCTGTGATGCTTTCCTCCCCTGGCAACCCCTCACCACACCATCCTCTATTTGGATAAATGTGAGGTCCCTAATACACAACCTTCCACTCTGAATTAGCTGAACTTGTTTCCTCTCTCTTTTTCTTTAGGCAGAAAAAATATATATATTTCACTCTACAGCCCTTGCTTTACTATTGTATTTTTTACTATTATTTTTTAAGGTGAAATATATTATGGGTAGGTAGCAATCTGTCTGGTTTTGATTTCTGCTCCTATTTACAGAGGCTGTCACCTGATTATACCCTTTAATGATGGTGGCAACAAACAGGAGGAGACTCAGAGTTCTAAGAGGAACTGCTTGATTTAAGTATGTATTTATGGGAATAAAGGCAGATTCCACAGGAGCCCTGGAATTTACTCCACAGTGATTGTCTTTCTTTGACTCTGGCTTTTACTTTCCCAAATTGAGCATCCTGGTATCTGCATGTCTCTTTTGCTTGGAATGTCACGCTGCAGGTCTTAGTGCCTGGGACAGAACAGAGCACGCCACAAGTGCACTTGAAGGAGAGCTCAGAATCAACCAACCAAACCCCTCCAAGTTCCAATGGCAGCACAGATTCCAGACTGAAACGCTGCTGCATCTTGCTTCATTTGACTGAAGCAAATGCAATTGGTTTGTATTTGACATTTATTCTTTTAGGGAGGGGCTGCCAGGGGAAGGGGCATTAACCACAAATATGACAAGGTTAAAGAACAACGGGTCGGGTCTGAAGCATCGTATTGAGATGGTTGACATCCTGGGCTCATCAATCAATATTATTGACTTGGCCAAGCTTCAGGTTGGAGTAATTTCTATAATGAGATTTAGCCTGCACCACAAAATGGTGTGTTGGGGATAAAATGTCTGAAGCCAATCTTTTATGAGATACATTTTAGGAAAATGTTCTTAATCTTAAAAATAGAACTTGTAGTGTTTGCAGCCAGGAAGATGCTTAACTAGATTCACATAGGAGTCACCAGCTGTTCACAAGACAAACAGAAATGTCTGAGGTTTCCCTGGTTCTATAAAGACAAGGGAAATGGCTCCCTCTTTTCGTGCCAAGTCTGAGAGACCCTTCAGCTAAAAGCCCTCCAGCCTGAGTGGCCAGGCTTGGCACACAGAAGCTCACTTTTTCCTTTTCCTCTGTCCTCTCGTTCTGCTCTTTAAACCTGAGGAGTTCTTAGTCAGAAGAGTAAAGTGGCCACAAAGCCAAACTGCCATGGGAAAGGCAGTGCCCGACCAGCCATCTCCCTGCCTGCTCCCACCCTGGGCATCTCCTCTACCCACTCTCAGAGGTAAATGCTGTCTTTGCTGGATGAATTTCTTGACCTGGATGATGTAGTTACAGAGAGGGGAACATGGAGAGAAAACATATGAAGGAAACTGAGAGGCAGGAGGGGAGGATGGAAAGGCATTTCCAGAAAGGCTTGGTCCAACCTATATAACGAAGAATTGGGAGAGAGCATCAAGAGTATGTGGAGGGAAAATTGTGCAGCTAGGACGGATAGAGTTTCATGGTTTGAGTGGAAGAAGGAAGAAAGGAGACTGGAAGAAGTGTGGTTACGAGTTGTGAGTTATGAACCTTGAAAGTATAAAGACAATTTGAATTAAGTTACCAGCCTCACAGGGTCAGAGGAGAAAGAGGCCTCAGAAGTGATATGGCTCAGCCTCCCATTCAATGCAGGAAGCCCTTTTAAGGCATTCCTATCAAAGGGCCACCCAACCTTTACTTGGATGCCTTCAGTAATAGGACATGTGCTAGTCCATTGGCCGTATAGAAGGGTGGTTACGAACACGAATGCTAGAGCCAGACTGCCAAGGTTCAAATCCAGGGGCCACCAGCTACTGATTGCACCTTGGACATGTTACCTGATACCTTGGTTTCTGTACCCATGAATTGGGAATAGTAGTAGCAGAGTGCCGTTATGAGTATTAATTGTATATTTATATACACACACATAGACATATATAAAATTATATAAAGTAAATATTTATATATTTATTCATAAAGTGCACATATCAGTACTTGGCATATAATAAGTGGCATATATGTACTTGCTAGTATTATCATTACTATCATTCAGGTTGTTCCATGGATAAGAAAGTTCTTTTTCAGATTGAGTAAATTTGGCCTCTCTTATTCCTGCCTGTTTATCCCATTTCTCAGCCCTGAAGTAACTCAGATCAAGCCTTAACTGCCTTCCATGTGTGTCCTAAGTATTTGAAGCTAATCATTGTGACCCTCTTTGCTTTTCTCCCTTATATTCTAGAGAAGAGTTCTTGCAAATGCTGTTTCTTCTGCTTGCGACACCTTTCCTTCCCATGTTCTTCATGTTCTAACTTGGACTCCAAGTCCTTCAATACACCTTCTATCTGAGTACTTAACACATTACTTGCCTATTGTGTTAGGCGGTTCTTGCATTGCTATAAAGAAATATCTGACACTGGGTAGCTTACAAAGAAAAGAAGTTCAACTGGCTCACCATTCTGGAGGCTGTATAGAACTATGGCACCACCATCTGCTTGGCTTCTGGGGAGGCCTCAGGGAGCTTTTACTCATGGCAGAAGGCAAAGAGGGGGCAGGCACTCAAATGGCCAGAGAAGGGGAGAGAGTGTGTGGGAAGTGCCACACACTTTTTTTTTTTTTTTTTTGAGACGGAATCTCGCTCTGTCACCTAGGCTGGAGTGCAGTGGCACAGTCTCGGCTCACTGCAAGCTCCGCCTCCCGGGTTCACGCCATTCTCCTGCCTCAGCCTCTCCGAGTAGCTGGGACTACAGGCGCCCGCCACCACGCCCGGCTAATTTTTTTTGTATTTTTAGTAGAGACGGGGTTTCACCGTGGTCTCGATCTCCTGACCTCGTGATCCACCCGCCTCGGCCTCCCAAAGTGCTGGGATTACAAGCGTGAGCCACCGCGCCCGGCCCACACACTTTTATACAAACAGATATCATATGAACTCACTCGCCCCCAAGGGCATGGCACTAAGCCATTCATGAGGGATCTGCCCCTGTGATCCAAAAACTCTCACCCACGCAGCCGCACATCCAACAATGGGAATTACAATTGAACATGAAATTAGTGATCCACACAACATCCCCCATATTCCCTGAGTATAATTATAAAATAAAGGATATAGTATCTGTTCTCAAGGCCATTTGTGTATGTGTCACCATTTTGGCATATTACTTATACGTCTTGTAAACCAGGCTTCATATGAGGTCCAGCATAGCACTGTGTTTCGAAAATATGTGTTGAATGAATTAGGTGGAATACAGGAGAAGATGAGTGGACATAAAGCAAAGGCCTTCTTGAAAGGCATGTAACATTTCCCTTGGAGAATAGGGTCTTTGGAACAAGCAGGTGGGTGGGAAGAAAGTTGGCTTTTTCACACACACACACACACACACAAAAGCAAAGAATCAAAAATTATAGGCATGCTTGTAGGAAACAGGTAAACCTGTAATCCCATTAGCTGATCATATTTGTCCCTGTTAAAGCCATCAAAAAAGGAAAGTTTCTTGGGTTCTTACTTTTTGATTGCTTGGTCAGCTCTTAGTCTTTGCTTTGTTGCTCAGAATCCTGTTAATAGAAGAAATGAAAAGCAAAAGACAAAGAAGCAGGCAAGTGTGAATCCATTCATAGAATAAAGAACAAGGAAGGGAGTGAAGACGGGGACAGAGGTGGAAGGGCCCTCTGGGTCTGGATGTGGGCAGAAGGTCTTTGAAGAGTAGAGAGAGAAGATAGTGTTTTGGTAGAAGTCACTCTTAGGAGTGTGAAAGGGTTTGAAAGTGGAGAGTCACCTTGGGAGGCTTTGTAAAGGAAATTTACTTTGCACTAAAAATGATCTCTTCTTTTTAGGGTTTTCTTGTGAGACCGAGTAAAGATTTAAATGGCTTTTGATGTTCATTTTCTATCAGACTGCTATTTCTTTGAACGTGGCATAGCCCCGAGCTCCAGCCATGTGGGACCCCAGTTGTATGTGGGTCATATTCTGCTTCAGCTAGTGGATTGGGTGATAAAATCCACGGTTGCTCTTGTTCTGCAGGATGGTGAGTGAGGTATTGCCATAGCCACATAGCCCTAAGTAAGAGCACAGACATTACATAGAGGCTGCAATGTCTATAAATATGTGAAATAAGCATGGGTGCAAGTCAAAGTAGCCCATAGGTCTCTTAAAACTTCCTCTTTGGATAAACACAGACGATTTTCTCCAGCTTCCCAAACTTAACCAATGCTTAGTCATAATCTCTACCTAGATACCGATCCAAAGAGCAAATTATTCTAGGGTAAAACCAAAGGAACAGTATTCCTTGCCTTTATTTTTTTTCTATAGACCAATGGTAGAAATGTTACTCTGGATATAAAATTTATATAAAATACCAGCGTTCTTTTCCAGACTGGTTTAATGATTCCCATTAAAAAGATATTTGACTTGCAAACTATGCATTCAACAAAGGACTAATATCCAGAATCTACAAGTAACTCAAACAAATGAGTAAGAAAAAACAAATAACCCCATCAAAAGTGGGCAAAGGACATGAATAGACAATTCTCAAAAGATGATATACAAATAGCTAACAAACATGAAAAAAATGGTCAACCTCAGTGATTATCAGGGAAATGCAAGTTAAAACCACAATGAGATACCACCTTACTCCTCCAAGAATGGTTATAATTAAACAGTCAAAAAATAATAGATGTTGGTGTGGATGTGGTGTAAAGGGAACACTTTTACACTGCTGGTGGGAATGTAAACTAGTACAATGACTCGGGAAAATAGTGTGGAGACTGCTTAAAGAACTAAAAATAGAACTACCATTCAATCCAGCAATCCCACTACTGATTATCTACCCAGAGGAAAATAAGTCATTTTTTGAAGAAGACACTTGCACCCACATCTTCATAGCAGCACAATTTGCAATTGCAAAAATATTACCAATCTAAATGTCTATCAACCAACCAGTAGATGAAGAAAATGTGTTATACATACACCATGGAATACTACTCAGCCATAAAACAGAATGAAATAATGACTTTTGCAGCAACCTGGATGGAGCTAGAGGCCATTATTCTAAGTAAAGTAACTCAGGAATGGAAAACCAAATATCAAATGTTCTCAGCTATGAGGATGTAAAGGCATAAGAATAATATAATGGACTTTGCGGACTATAAAAAAATAAAAAATAAAAAAATAATTCCCTAGTGGGCTATTTTTTAGAGGACACAAATTCCTGCTTCTGATGTACAAATCCAGTCTTCTTGCAGGTTTCTGAGCTTGTTGCTCTTTTGTGGTATGCTTTTCACTTTTGTTAAAAAACACTTGCCACACATACCATAATTAGGTATGGGAGGAGGGTGAGGGATAAAATACTACATATTGGGTACACTGCCCAGGTGACAGGTGCACCAAAATCTCAGAAATCACCACTAAAGAACTTATCCATGTAACTAGAAACCACCTGTACCCCCCAAACTATTGAAATTCAAATTATTTTTAAAAAGATATTTGGGTAAAGTATGTTGTCAGAGAACCTCTGCTGAAACCTTTGCCTATCCTTGGAAAAGCCCCCAAGTTGTAAAGAAATATATATCATGCTCCGGCTCCTCCAAATGTAAAAAAAAATCAGCCATTCCTATCTAATTTTGACCACGTGTTCATATTTTCAACTTGTTTTAATTGTAGCAAGTAAGAAAACTTGACATTCTCTAGTTTTTCAAAGGAAAGGTGACGTATACATGCTTCCTAATAGGAGATCATAACCACTTTTAAAAACACATCAGCCAAATATACGGAAGAGATTGCTTTATGGTAACACAAGGAAGAAGGATCTTTAAAAATAATTCCTGGCCGGGCACGGTGGCTCACACCTGTAATCCCAGCACTTTAGGAAGCCAAGGTGGGCAGATCACGAGGTCAGGAGATCGAGATCATCCTGGCTAACACGGTGAAACCCTGTCTTTACTAAAAATACAAAAAAAATTAGCTGCGCATGATGGTGGGCGCCTGTAGTGCCAGCTACTCGGGAGGCTGAGGCAGGAGAATGGCATGAACCCGGGAGGCAGAGCTTGCAGTGAGCCAAGATCATGCCACTGCACTCCAGCCTGGGTGACAGAGTGAGACTCCGTCTCAAAAATAAAAAAATAAAAAAAATAAAAAAATAAAAATAAAAAAATAATAAAAAATAATTCTCTAGTGGGCCATTTTTTAGAGGACACAAATTCCTGCTTCTGATGTACAAATCCAGTGTTCTTGCAGGTTTCTGAGCTTCCTGCTCTTTTGTGGCTAAGCTTTTCACTTTTGTTAAAAGACACCACACATACCATAATTAGAAGTTTGGAGTTGTATATTTGGGGTAATCTCAGACAGCTACATTAGACTGGCCTCAGCTTTTCAGGAAAAAATTCATTTTGAGTTAATTTATTATTGAACATTGAGGCTATTTCAATTTGCTACCAAATCTTCACTTCACTTTACCATTAAATGTGACTTTTAAAATGTGCAGAAAGCATTTACCATGTTTTCTCTGTTTATAAGAGACTAGGTGGCTATACATGATGTTAACAATAATTATACCAGAGAAGTAGAATTACAGACCATTTTAATTGTCTCATCTTATATAATAGCAAGAAGTCTAATAAGAAAAAAGTTAAATGTTAATATTTCTTTAATAAAGAATAAAAATAAACCATTTTCTTAGTATTCCCAAGCTTTCAGAGGAGGTGGAGTGCATATGTCTCTGGCATCAATTACACATGTTCTAGATTGTTTATTAAAGGATTAGAAGAGAAAATTCAACAAAAAGAGAAAAGAATGAGGATGAAAAGAAATTATGTATGGAGGCTGGATGTAGTGGCTCACATCTGTAATCCCAGCAATTTGGGAGACTGAGATGGGCAGATCACTTGAGGTTAGGAGTTCGAGACCAGCATGGTCAACATGGTGAAACCCTGTCTCTACTAAAAATACAAAAATTAGCTGAGTGTGGTGACACACACCTGTAATCCTAGCTACTCAGGAGGCTGAGGCAAGAGAATCGCTTGAATCCAGGAGGCGGAGTTTGCAGTGAGCTGAGATTGCATCACTGCACTCCAGCCTGGGTGACAGAGCGAGACTCCATTTCAAAAAAATAAAACAAAATAAAATTGTGTATGGAGACATACAAAAACTGAATATATAAGCAGGTCTGAAAATATTGAGAGCATCTTAAGCTGGGTTTATACAATTATTTGAACAATTCAGGTCAAAAGCCACACTTAAAAATAAAAGCAACACCTGTCAATTCAAAGCAAAAGTATTTTATTTGTATCAGTTTCTACTTCCTATAAATGTAAAATTAGCCCAAAGGGTTAGAAAAAAAAGAAAAAAACAGAACTGTTCTCATTCTCTCAGACTCTTCCTCACAATGTGAACACATCAGAGATTAAAATAACACAGAATAAGGTTGGAGTTTCAATAGGCATTATCCTGAGAAATCAAGGGAAGGCTGAGAGTGGGTGGTCGGTGAATAGATAGATATTAAGAATAAAATCTCCTCTTCTTGTTTGCATGACTTGTGTGTGGAACTATGCCCACCCTTTGCTTTGCTTTGCTTTGGCGGGGAAGCAGAGTTCTGACTTGGCTCTGTGACATTCCATGACATACGCCTCAAAGCTGTGAGACATAGCGGGGAAAATGTCACTGTGTAAGGGCAGTCTGTCTCAGGGCAATGCAACATGGCCATCTGAGGCACTGCTTGGTGGTCGAGTGATTCATCAGAATACAGACACTGAACACTGTTGATCTGAGGACAAGGCATGGCAGAGATCAGTGAGATTCTGAGCAAGAATGGGGAATTACAGGGCATACTCAAATGACAAAGGAAAATCTAGGACAGCAGTCTATATGTGCAGGCAACGGAGGTGATGACAATGTGTTGATAGCAATATTTTGTTAATATCTGGGAGTTGTTAATAAAGGGTGCTTCCTGGAGCAACCAGAACAAGTACCTGCCTAAATGGAGTCAACTAATATGCTTACTAAAAGGTTTTCGAGCTAAATGGCAAATTGCTTCAGAGCAGGCAAAATGCTCCATTTAAGATTCATAATTGGAAGGCACTTTATCTACCTAATGATCAGAAGGATGCTGATTATTAGAAATGCCTGCATTAACGACAGGGAAGCACATTTGCATTCAGCTCAGAGTACGGGTAGAGGGAAAATAATAAGAATTCTCTTAAGATACAGATCTTAAGTTCTTTACTGTATTTGTGTTAATGCCTCTCCTGGAGTCCAGCCTCACATAAAGTGAGTGGAAAATAATAACCCCAGATGTGTGCTGGCCACTGCATCCTACTGCACAGAGAACCAAATGATTCTGGCAGCAGCAGCAGACCATCACACGCAAAACTTCTCTCACCAGCAAACCCACACACCTGCGAACACCCAGCACAGCAGCACAGCCAACTGTTCTAGCCACAGTGCCACTGTGAAGGGTTTGCAAATCAGGATGGGCAGGATTAAAAGAGAGCCAGTGTAGAGATTTTATATCTGTAGGAAAACAAAAACAAGATGAATGTTTCATCAAGCTCATATGGTGTCTGAACAGAAGAATAATGTGAGATACTGAAATAGAAAAGGAAAACCAAATGTTGTGCTATTCAAAGTGAAGAATTAAGGGACACTCCAAGACACAAGAATTAAGGGACACTCCTCGCCCCTTAGTTTCTTTCAATTATCCATACAGTTGGATGAAGAAGAGGAGGTAAGGAAGAAGTGAGGCTGGTATTTGGGATCTGAATTATTGAGCTATCACTTCACTTTCTGTAATTCATTCTGAATACATACACTTAGTCTTATTTTCTAAAATACCTTAAAATAGCAGCTTTTAATACTCTTAATAGCACATGTCAAGAGGAGCTTTTTTTCTTTATAATTTGAACAGAACAGTGGGCATTATTACTTCACACACGGTAGATACTCAGCAACCCTTACTGTGTGTCTCCAACTTCCATCCTTGCCATGATTATACTTTCTGTAGACACTGAGACTTGAGGTAGGAAGACCAGGTAGAAGTCCCTTGTACAATTGTCCAGCAGGCAATAATAAAGGGTTCACAGTAGAGTGCTGGGAAATGTGTGTTGACCAGATACATTTCAAAGTGAATTAATAGCATTTGGTGACCAACTAAATTTCAGGAGGAAAGAGAAGTAGCTGAAGAGGAGGCTGATTTCTCTAGGTCGGATGGCCAAGTGGATGGAGGGACCATTATTGGCTGGGGACGCAGGTCTGCAGGTCATCCTGAAGAACATCAATCATGTTCCTGGCAGGGAGGCCCTCGGGGGGAACTGGACCACGTGGGACTGTTTGCTCTGCTTTTTAATTTTCTCTCTTCTTCCTTAGCTGTCAAGCTGTCAGCTGTCACTTCTTGCTACTGTCAGTTCTAAGCCCTTCCTTCTTTACTTCCTAATTTGCTGCTTCTGGAAAGCCTGAGAGGCAAGGCTGCTAGAAATATATGTAAAGCAAGAGTCTATGGAGGCTAAGTAATGGTCCAAGGACCATTGACTATTATAAAGTACAGGCCTTCATGATTACTGTTTCAACTGCTCAATTTAAATGGATTAGGTCTTCAGAGATCTGGCACTCAGATAGCTAGGGAGGTATTGATTTCTATTTGTGTAGCAACTTTGAGAATAAAATTGTTCTTCAAGTCATCCAATGATTCTTAATTTTTAAGGTAAGATTTTAAATTGGCTGCTACATAATAAATCATAGCTAGCACTTATTGGGCACTTAGTAGTTGTCAGACCCTGTTCTAAGAACATTTCACGTAATATCACTTGTAACCAGCCAGGAGTCCTAAGGATTGTGCAGTATTATAATTACCCATTTTATAGATAGAAAATCTGAGGCATAGAAAGGTTAATTTTTCCAAGACCACTGAGTGGCCATAAGCAGCAGAGCCAGATTTAAAAGCATGGCCAGGCGCGGTGGCTCATGCCTGGAATGCCAGCACTTTGGGAGGCTAAGGAGGGCGGATCATTTCTGGTCAGGAGTTCAAGACCAGCCTGGCCAACATGGTGAAACCCTGTCTCAGCTAAAAACACAAAAATTAGCTGGGCATGGTGGTGCACACCTGTAGTCCCAGCTACTTGAGAGGCTGAGGCAGGAGAACTGCTTGAATCTGGGAGGCAGAGGTTGCAGTGAGCCGAGATCATGCACTCCAGCCTGGATGACAGAGTATTAAAAAAAAAAAAAAAAACTCTGTCTCAAAATAAATAAATGGGCAATTAGGGTGAAATGCAGTCATATGGGCTGGCACTGTTCCAGTATGACTGGTGTCCTTATAAGAAGAGATTACGACACAGACAAACATAGAAGAGGACCCTCTAAAACCAGAGGGAAAAGGTGGCCATCTGCAAGCCAAGGAGAGAGGCCTTAGAAGAAAACCCTGCTGATACCTTGATCTTGCACTTCCAGTCTTCGGAACTGGGAAGAAATGCATTTCTGTTGTCTAAGCCACTTAGCCTGTGGTATTTTGTTACGGCAGCCTGAGCAGACTCATACACGCTGACCAAAGAGGTTGGTATTAAGAGCTTTACGTAGAAGCGCCCTGAAAACAACTTCCCTCCTTGACTTTTCTCCCAAATCTTAAGTTCATTGAAGGGATTAGTTCAGGGAGAGGGAAAGAAGTTTGGTTTCTTAGAAGATGGGAGAAGGCCGAAATGAAGAACGCAGAGGAGTGGAGAAGATTCCTCAAGACCAGAAGGGCTCATGGGGCTCAGTGAGTGCAGGCCTCTCATGGCATCCTCTCAGTGCTCTGGAAGAGAGAGTGCTGTTCCAGGCATAGTTCCAGGACACGGGGCTCCAGCCTTGTCACCTACTGACCCCTGGGTGCAATAATGACTCAGTTGAGTTTCTGCCAGATCAATAAGATGGAGATTCAGAGAAAGATATTTTATAATTTGACTATTAATTCAAAAAATAATGTGAATTAATACTACTTTAATACTAGTTTCACACCCAAGCTTGTTAAATGGAACTCAAGTAGGATCACACCCTCTATGGAAGAATTAATCACCCAGTTGTGCCAAGACTCCAAGCGGAACACTGACAGTGGTGATCACAGTTGCTCTTCCCTGCCCAGCATCACCCCTTCTTCTTCTGGCAACACACCCTGATACCTTTTGGAGCAATGACTTTCCTCCCTAAAGTGCCTGCTTCTGGAGGATTGTCACTCAGGGGGCTTGCGTCGCCAAGCACAAGCATGGGACCCAACTGGACCAATTGGCTTCTCTCTCCCCACTCTGAATCTTGAAGTGGGTGGTAGAAGGAAGAACAAATGCTAAAATTAATTCATCTCAGCTTTGGCTCCCTAAAGTAAGTGGCCAAATTGCTGGAGTTCCTTGGAGATATCATAATAAAACTGGTTCCCCAGGCTTGACTTGCATCCTGTAGGCATCCATATCTCCCTTGAATAAATTTCCTTTTGTCTATAGTTGCCAGAGTCTATTTCTGTGGCTTTCAACCACAAAAGAGCCCTAGTTAATATAATGCCTGTGGAATCAGACTCTGAAAACTAAGATGGAAGTAGTAAATGTGGTACATTGGTTCCCATTCTTTTGGAAAGGTGTGTGTGCTTGTTGTGTGTTGAGATTTTGAGCCACCCATTTTGATATCCATTTGTTTCAGTACCATTTATTGAAAAGTGACTCATCCTTCACGCGTTGCCTTTGCAACCTTGTCAAAAATCAGTTGTCTATATCTGTTTCATTTCTTTCTGGACTCTCTAGCCTGTTTTATTGAACACTTTGTCTTTACACCAATATTATGCTGTTTTGATTACTATAGTTTTATAATGATATTGTCATATTTGGGTGTGTGTGTGTGGATATGTGGGTGTGGGGGAGAAGAAAGTTGCAGTCATCAGGACATTTCTTCCTTAAATACTTAATATGCAAGTTTTAAAAATAAGGGCTTTGTCATACTTGTCACAGCAAAGAAAATTAGTAATCCCCAAATATCATTTAATATACAGTCCATATTCAAATATCTCTAATGTCTCCAAAACATCTATGGCTGTTTTTCTTAAAAATGTATGATAGATCTTTTATTAGTATCTCTAGCTTTGTCTTTGATGATTTAGAATTTTAAACTTTTTTCCTTGGGTCAATGTTCATAATTTATAATATTACTAGGAATTCATCCTTCCAAGTTTTGAAAACTATTATATAGAGTTGCTTATTATATTCTCTTAAACGATTTTAATCACTCCTATATCTATGGTTATTTCTCCTTTCACGTTTCTAATGTAACCTATTTTTGTTCACACTCATCGTCTTTATCTCTCTTGCTCACTCTTTCCTTAATCAGGATTTGAAGGGGCTTATCTGTAGATGTCACTGGTCTTTGCCAAGAAGCAGTATTTGAATTTATTTTTCCTCTCTGTAGATATGCTATTTTATTACCTTTGTATTTTATTTTTTTTTCATCCGTCTTCTTAGTGTCTTTGAGTTTACTATGTTGTTCTTTTTAGAAAACTATAGAAGTAAGTCTTTAGCACCTTTTTGGTGGTTCACTGGCAGTGAAGGCATTCAAGGCTATAAACTCTTCTCCAGGCTGGGTGTCATTGTGTCTGATGGACTTTGTATTTTGTGCACACCTTTTCACTGCTTTCTAGAAAGCTGGTGATTTTTCTTTTGATTTTCTCTTTAATCCAAAGATTATCAACAGCTGCCTTTTAGTTTCCAAATGGGTAAAATGTTTGGCCATTTTAAAATTGCTTATGTCTTATTTTGTTAGATTGTGTATTGGAAAATCATGTCTTATAACATCTCAATGCTTTTGAATTTTTAAGGTTTTAATTGTGGATTTATGTCACTTCTTATGATCACTTTTTATAGATATTCCTGGACATTTGAAATAATGGAGAAATATACTCCTATTCAATGGATGTAACATTCTATAGTACAAGTTACATTTAGTTTACTGATTGTATTTTTAAATCCTCTATGTTCTTGCCTACTTTTTTTTCTGCTGCATATGCTAAGGGAACTATATAGCAGCCCCTGATTACAATAGTAATTTTATCAAGTTATCCTTGGATTTGTAATAGTTTTGCTTGGGGCATTGGGCTTCTACAGTTTGGTGTGCAAATGTTTTGTCAGTTGCATTGTTTTAATAAATGTCAGTATTGTGGTTCCAAAATGGCCCTGTACATCCTGTTGAGTGATTTTACCTCTTCTGTTTATCTTCTTCCATCTTCAGATGCCTCTTCTGGTTCACCTGTGGTTGGTTTTCAGTCTTAATTATTTCCTCGGAAAGGGGTTTTGTGGTGCTATAGTTTCTATTTGCTTATCTTCAAATGTCTTTCAGCCTGATAGATGGAAGATATCTTAGCTGGGTATGGGATTCCTAGGTTGCTGATCCTTCTCTCTTTGATGTGACTCCATTGTGTTTAGCTGTCAGTGTTGCAACTGAGAAGTCTTAGGCCACTCTGATGAGTTTTTTGCTGTATGTATATGTCTTTTGTGGATGAGAGGAGTGGTTTGAAGGATGGGAAAACAATGTCAACCAGGTGTCACCACGCACAATTCCAGGAGGCACCATTCACATCAACTTTCATCATAAGAGTCATGGATGACTGCAGGTCAAATTCTTTCCAGCATCTGCCACTGTCTTGTCCTCATCCTAGGCTATCTGAAGCCTCATCTCCAGGTACTTCCCCAGCCTATAGGGAAAAAATACTTCCACCAGTTTTCTCCACCTGGGCTTCCAGAGAGCTAAAGGTCTCCTCTAAACCTCACTTCCCTTAGGCCTCAGTAGGAAGACTTCAGGAGATGCAGAGGCAGAACTGAGCATGGAGATAAAGAGGGTTGCTTTTGGGTAGCCATGGGCCCAGAATGTCCCTCATCCCTTAGAGCGTAATTCGTTAAGCAAGGCTTGCTTATAATTTTTCCTCTACAGATGTGAGCTCTTCAAATTGAGAGATCTCTCAGTGACAACAAAGTGGCTGTACAAAAACTATAACATCATTTTAAACAGATTAGGCACTAAATTAGTCTGGGCGCCATAGCTCACACCTGTAACCCCAGCATTTTGGGAGGCTGAGGTGGGTGGATCACTTGAGGTCAGGCGTTCTAGACCAACAAGGTGAAACTCTGTCTCTACTAAAAATGCAAAAATTAGCCAGGCATGGTGGCGGGCGCCTGTAATCCCTGCTACTCAGGAGGCTGAGGCAGGAGAATCGCTTGAACCCAGGAGGCAGAGATTGCAGTGAGCCAAGATTGCACCACAGCACTCCAGCCTGGGCCACAGAGCAAGACTCTGTCTCTAAATAAATAAATAAAAATAACGGGTTAGGCGTTAAATTATTTCTTCCTAAAATAAAGCTGAATGTGTTGGAATCATTGTTCTCTATTAATAAAAAAAGAGGAATATTAAAAATTTCAAGCAAAAATTTGGCTTGTTCATGGTCTAGGAAACCTACTAGGCAGCCTGCTTTTGAAAAGGAGAAGATAAGGCTCCACAACACATGGCGTGACAACCATTTATGACCTCTCCAGAGACAATATTCCACATGAGACCATCCGATTAGAAAGCAGAGTCCATGAAATAGACTTGTCTTGCTATTTCTGTGTGCTTTTAGGAAGCCTATGCTCACTGAGAAGAAAGAAAAGAATGTTCCTATAAACTTGTGATGGAAAAGCAATAAAAGCCACCAGAGACATTCTGAAATTTTTATTCTAATATTTCACTGACCAGAAGGAAGAAGCAGGAAGCCTTGCAAGGTTCAAGAAATAGTTGTCAGCAATAAGGAGAGACCACATTTTTCTGCCTCGTATAAAGCTTAAAAAGCAGGGGAATGGTGTTCAGAGAGAAAAGAGCAATTGATCTAATTGGACTAGAAGAAAGTATACTTTAAAAATTTTTTATTATGATAAAAATGCATAAAATGTGGCATTTTAACCATTTTCTTATTTCTTATTTTTTATAGACAGGGTCTTGCTCTGTCACCCAGGCTGGAGGGCAGTGGTGCAATCATGGCTCACTGCAGTCTCAACTTTCTGGGTTCAAGCCATTCTCCTCCCTTGGCCTCCAGTGTAGCTAGGACTAAAGTTGCAAGCCACCATGCCTGGCTAATTTTATTTTTACCATTTTCAAGTGCATAATTCACAGGGATTAATTGCAACTATCACTGCCGTCTTTTTCCAAAACATTCTCATCACTCCCCACAGATACTCTGTACCCATTAAGCACTAACTCCTCATTCTCCTTTCCCCAGCCCCTGGTATCCTCTGTTCTACTTTTGTGTGTGTGTTTCTTTATGAATTTACCTATAGAAGGAAGTATTTTTGTGTACCAGGGAGCAGTAAAACTAAGTCAGTGAAAAGACTACCTCTTAATCGATTCAGTACTGAATTCCGTAGACAAGCGAAGCCACGCAAGGTTTCAGAGCAAAAAATACAACCCGGCTAGAGCATTGCTTTCAGAAGCTTCATCTGGCAGTGGTTTGTGGGATGGATTGGGGTCTGGAGACCAGTTGAGAGGTTGTTATAAAAGCCCAGGCTGGGGGTAAGGAGCACTTGGAGCCACTACTGAAATGAGAAAGAAGATTTAGGAGACATTTTAGGGAATATACAGGAGGAAGCAGCCACAGGACCTGGCAAAATTACCTCGGGGTAAAAAGGGAGGGAGGATGACAGATGTTTTGAGTCTGGGTGACTCGGGTGATTAATTTTTAAACTATGCATTTTTAATTAGGCTTCTATAAAAAGTCACAAAACAGTCATTTAAATTATCAACAAAGCGTTCCAAAAAAAGATCAGAATCGAGTGTGATGTTCTTTTAGGAAAAAAACCTGAATCAAACAAAAGAATTCTATCTTCTAAATGTCAAGGTTCATGTGACATGACATGGCATTTTATAGGAAAGGAGGGAGGTAGGGAGGACCAGGGTAATCAATCAATCTAGAATGCTCGAAGGTAGGAATTCAAGGGAGGGAGAAGGAACTGACTCTATAAGGAAGGCCATTATTCGTGGAGAGCATGTTGTGGCTAATATTTAATAATAAGAAGTACGATATTATGGCTAGAAGCATGGAGTCTGAATCCAGACTTTTTGAGTTCAAATCCTACTCTGTCATGAACTAGCTGTGTGACCTTGGTCAAATTGCTTAACCTCTCTGAACCTCTGTAATATGGGTTAATATAATATCTATCTGATACAGTTGTTTGATTAAATGACTTAATATATATGTAATGCTTAAGTACCTAGCACATAGCAAGTGCTATACAAGATTTTGGCACCATTATTATTCTTAGGCTAATTTAAAAGAGCAACGTAAAATTTAAAAAGTTTCCCTGTAAGGTTGAATAACTTACTAAGGAAATCAGAAATAAAGGAATCACAAAGTCCGACATACAGCCACAGCTGAAATACCTCTTTTCTGTGATTTAAGAATGCTGCCTTCTTAGGCCAATGCTAATTATTCACCTGCTTATTAAACATTATTTAAAAAACACTTAAATTGGTATGATACTAACTCACTTTTTAAAATTCATTGACTTGGAATTTTTCTAACCAAGATTAAGTTTATTTGTTTCAATGGTCTGAGTCCATTCACTTTTTTTGCCCATGACAAGGGATGCTGAGTTGAACAGGAAGTAGGGATCAAATCAATAGATAGTTGACTAAATGAAGGAAACAATGATTTGTATATTTTCCGAGGCGATCTTTGAGGTCAAGGTCTAAATTTAGGAATATGGATCTTTAAGGATTTTTTGCTTCATTTGTAACTAAAATCAGGGCAGCGGTTCAAAGGACAGACTCAGCTTTTACACCAGTGGTTTTTTTCAGTGATTTTTCTCCTGTGAGATTTAGAAAATGCTGTGCTTACCATCCAGTGCCTCTGTCGTGCACCCCTGTCCTTCGCTAGGGCTGCACGTCGTCACACCCACCTGGCCTAGAATTCCCCATCTCCGGGTGGGACCGGAAGACAGTCTACCTCCGCACGCCGTGCTCTGCGGGAAGCGGTGGATACTGCTGCCCTCTGCTGGTCACCACTTGAAACACTTCTGGGCTTTTCCGAGGAAAGGGGCTGTGAATAAGCAAAAATCGCAGCACGAGAAGAGGGATGGGTTCGAAACCTCTGTAACCCGAAACCGTCGAGCTCACCCACCCACCAACCTCCTGTGCACCTTGCAAAAAACAAAAAAAAATTTTTTTTTTTTTTTTTTCAAAATAAAAACAGGCCAGGCGCAGTGGCTCACACCTGTAATCCCAGAACTTTAGGGGGCAGAGGCAGGTGGATTGCTTGAGGCTGGGAGTTCCAGACCGGCCTAGGCAACATAGCGAGACCTCGTCTTTACAAAAACTACCCAAAAAAGCCGGGTGTGGTGGTGACCCCCGTAATCCCAGTTACTAGGGAGCTGAGGTGGAAGAATCACTTGATCCCAGGAGGTCGAGGCTGCAGTGAGCTGAGATCGCTCCACTGCACTCCAGCCTGGGCGACAGAGCAAAACGCTATCTCCAAAAAAGTATTAATTAATTAGTTAAAATAAAAACAGTACTAAGTAGTACAGATGAGTGATAGGAAGTCCAATACGGTTCTGATTCGTCCCATGATTAGACCACACCTCTTGTTTAAATGTTTACTGGTTAATTCTTTCCCAATGTTCACTTTCTTGTTCCTATGCTTTGCTCCATCAGCGGGTGGTTGAGACAGTGCTGTTTCAATATGTGCAGGGTAGTTTCTTCAAGTTTATCTTAAGAAATTGCAGTGTACTTGCTGCATGTGTTACCATAGTGCTCTGTGGCTGTGTCTTAATTTCACTTGTTTGCTTACACAAATCAGAGACTCACCCTTCTTTTGTTTTTCTTTCGATATTCCATATTCTAGTGGTTCCTTTGAATTTTTGCTTTTATAGTGTCTCTCCTCTAGTCCTCTTTATCATTTTTGTTGTTAAATAATTGCATTTGATTTCTGGAAATTGCTCCATATCAGCTCATGAACATTTTCTTTATTTATTTCTTTATTATTTTTTACAGCTGCATAATACCCCATCATGTGTTATGTACCATTGTGTATGCAACCATTTTCCTATATTTGGGCATTTAAGTTGTTACCAGTATTTTACAATTTTAAACAATACTGCAATGAATAACCTTGTGCATGGGTATTTTTGAATTTTTGGAGGTGTAGCTTCAGGATAAGTTCCCAGAAGCAGGATTGCTGGGTCAAAGGGTGAATGCATGGGTATTGTTGTTAAATTGCAGGTAATTGTTCTTCTTAGGGTCGGAGACTCCCTATGAGACTGCAAGTGACTAGTATTTATTGTGAGGATAATTTAACAAGTGATTAAAAACACTGGAATATTAGTACTCAAGAAAATAGGGTGTGACGTCAGCGAAGGCAAGAGGCGTAAACTCAAAGAGTTGGGAAGAGCAGGAATAGTAGCATGAATTGGTGTTGTAAAGATGGTTTTGCTGCTGGATTTGCATGTAAGGTTGACCTAAGTCTTTTTGCCACATAGGCTGATGATGATCCACCCCTGTGTGCCATCATTTTCTGTGGCTAGGTTCTTTTCTGTCTGTCTGCTTCTGCTCAGATTCCCTCTGGGCTCCTTTGCTCAGTAAGGCATACCTCTGTTTCTCCTGCCCCTCCTTGCTCCTGATTTCAGCCTGCTATTCAATCTCTGACAGATCCCGGCTGCTCTCCTCCAACATCCTCCCTTCTATTTCATGACCCTATGGTGTCTACACCCACTACTAGCTGGTGATTCCAGCCACAGTTTCTAATTCAGATTCTGAAAAGTAAAAGTCTGAGTGTCCCAGATCTTCCCTTTGGAACAACACTTTGTAGGCTTCAGGTAGATGATCACTTGCAGTTCAGACTGCTTCCCTGGGTGTCATGTGTCTACCCAGGATGAGTCCTACAGAAGGAGTGTGGGTGGAACTAGAGGTATGACAGGTTAACATGATTGATATGTAAATTTTAGGCAATTTACCAGAAGTGGGAGGATGGCCACTTCTCAATGGCTACGCTGGTTCAGCTGCAGGTTCCTGATTTTTCACATCATGTTCCCAGGATCGTATACTTAGCGCCCTGCAGATGACTGTGTGCTGATTTTCAAACCACAAAGAGGAAAACAAACTAGAAAAACCTCTTTATCACCACTTATTTTATACACAAAGGGGGGTAATTATTAAAGGAACTAAGGAAATTGGCACAAAGTAACTGTTTTTAAAGATGACCCTAACCCAAGCCCATCATTTTGATCTAACCTCAAATATCACTTCATCAAAAAAAAAAAACCTTTTCTATTCCATTCGTGCATTCATGCCTTCACTAATTTTGCCACTAATTGAATAATTTATTTAATCGTGTATTGCTTCTCAGTCTCTTTCTACCCTTTCCCCACCAGAATGTGAACCCCATGAATTTTCTGACCACTGCTCTGTCTGGTACCCCAGCACATAGTAAGAGGTCTATGCTAACAGTGGGGTTGCATGAAGTGTGTCATCCTGGGGGACACATTTCACTCTCCCTGCCTTGTGCAAGTGTCTTCTCGTCATGGAAAAAGAAAACTGATATTGCTCTCAGCAATTACCCAACCTGCTCCAGAAACAACAGTGTTTCCTAAGCACTCTTTTTCCTTCAAAATACTCTTTTGGAAAGGAGTAATTTAGTGAGGAAGAAATGAGCATGCTACATCAATTGATCATGATGCTGCAATAACCCTGAAATTTTTGTGCGTTCCAAGCGGATACTCTATGTAAAGTTTCCATCCTATGTGGTGTAATCAATAACTGCCTAACAGGAAGGATGCTGGCAGGAGCAGAGATAACTCCGCCTGCACAAACCCATCTTGGACATATGCAGGAAAGCTATAATCAGGGCCGCGCACATAAATTATTTGAAATTCAATGAAAAAGCTGAAAGTGCATGTAATTAAAAGTGAGCAAAGCAGATAAAGTCAATTATACACTTAGAGGAACATTGTTTTATGCAGTGGGCATGGTAGTCATCAAAATCAACAGCCCGTGGGGCCTGTACAGAGAGCTGACGACGCTCTGCTCAGAATGAAGGAATCCAGTGCCCTAAATCAGAGCAGCCTTTTCAGAGCCATATAATCTCACATAAAGGAAAAGTACAAAGGCTGAAAAGGAGGAGGGCCCTGCTTGGTGCGATCTCGAAATAAAACCAGGTTCTAATAGCAAAGGGCTTGCAACACAGATAAAAAAAGGAAGAAAGAGTGCTTTCTAAAATAAACCCTAGAACCAGAGCAAATAAGAAAAGGTATGTATGCCCTTAGCTCACCATAGCCTGTTTCCATCAAACATTTTAATTTCCATGGGGCAGGATATATATCTACCAAGAAGATACACATTTATTTTTCCTCCCTGAGATTACAAAAACCTCAGGTTTCAAGCTTAAAGAAGGGGCTTTGTAAAACTAGTTAATCCAGTCAAATTGAGTTAATGGCTACAAAGAGATTGATGGAATGGACAATTTACTGTTCAATAATGAGTTGTCAATATGGGGCAAAGAGCTGCTTTGATCAGCTGGGCAGTCAAATCACAGCCACAGTTCAGGGCTCGATTGATTCCTCAGCAATTAATGGTTATGATAGTAAAAAGAGAAGAAGACAGATCTGACTGGAAATTGGTCTCCTCTGTGCTGAGTGGAGAGGCTGACAGCAGGGCATTGTGCACCTTGAAGCTCATTTGCACCTGGAATAATGAAGAGTCATAGAATCCCCTGCAATTGAGATTTTCTGGCAATTGCAACCTTAATTTGATTATGCGTCTATACTAGGACGAACTGGAAACCAGAATGAACCAGTCACATACAATTTAAACTACAAGACTATTTATACAGGTTTCCCCCTATACTTCAACATGAGTTTTGGATCATACATCCAATTCTTGTCACAAATGTAAACAGGCTGATACATTTAACTATGTAAACATTGTAAGCTTTTATGTTGAAGAAAAACCCCTAAAAATTTAGAAAAATAAATGAGGGGGGAAACTGTGATACTTGGAAATTAACAAAGTTAATATCCTTAAAATATGAAGATTGCTTACTAGTCAGTGAGGAAAGATTCCATAGAGAATTGACAAAGCCAAACAAGAATTTCATAAAACAGAAAATATATGTGGTCAGTAAAATGTGAAAAAAAGATTAACCTCACCAATCATAAAAGGAATGCAAAGGAAAAGCAACTGTTAGCAAAACTTAAAATAGCTGATGAAAGTACATTGGGAGACAGGTCTGATGGGGTTCAGGACACGCAATCTCAAAATATCACACCTTGTGCTTTGAGGAAGTGGTAGAAGCAGGAAGGTCACTCTCATCTTCTCTGTGCCCTTCTCGCTTGAAGCCAGTTATAAAAGAATTCCCTGAACTTCCTATAAGGTAGGTCATAAGACCCTCATTCCAAACATATTATCCCTATGCTCAAAGAAAAGAAATCCCTTATATATGAAGATACAGGGACACAGAGAAGAATCTGAACACACAGACCTTGGTAAGTCCCCCCAGTTTATTACCATCACATCACACCCCCTTTGACCAATCATACTTCTACATAACTGTCCATTCTTCATCAAATTTACCTTACAAATATACAGATTTCTTCATTTCTTTGGGTCTTCATTTCCAAAGGCTCTCATGTCACCTAAAATTTATATTAAATATATTTGTATGCTTTTCTTCTGTTATTTTATTTATTTTATTTTTTTTGAGACAAAGTGTCACTCTGTCACCCAGGTTGGAGTGCAGTGGCACAATCTCAGCTCACTGCAACCTCCGCCTGCTGGGTTCAAGCAATTCTCCTGCCTCAGCCTCCCGAGTAACTGGGACTACAGGTGTGCGCCACCATGCCCTGCTAATGAGGTTTCACCATGCTGGCCAGGCTGGTCTCAAATTCCTGACCTCGTGATCTGCCTGCCTCAGCCTCTTAAAATGCTGGGATTACAGGTGTGAGCCACCTCTCCTGGCCCTGCTATTCTATCTTTTATTATAGGTGCCTCAGCTATGAACCTCGCAATGGGTGAAGAAAGGATACTACTTTTTCTCCCCTGCAGGTTCTCTGTTCAATATTAGTGGCAATGTAAATTGATATATATATCATTTGTGGAAAATAATTCATAAAATACTTACAGAATACATCAAAATATAAAATATTAATGCCCTCTTATTCAGCAATTGCACGTCTAGAGATTTAGATTGAGAAATAACTATTTAAGTGTGAAAATATATATGTACACGGATAAGTGACACTGTAATATTAATAAGATTGAAAAAAACAAAAATAACCCAAATCAACCAGCACTTAAGGACTGATGAAGAAAAAGTTGGTATAGAAATATAATGGGCCGGGTGTGGTGGCTCACACCTGTAATCCCAGCATTTTGGGAGGCTGAGGTGGGCGGATCTCCTGAGGTCAGGAATTCGAGACCAGCCTGGCCAATATGGTGAAACCCCGTCTCTACTAAAAATACAAAAATTAGCCAGGCTTGGTGGCACGTGCCTGTAATCCTAGCTACTCAGGAGGCCAAGGCAGGAGAATCGCTTGAACCCGGGAGATGGAGGTTGCAGTGAGCCAAGATCACCCCACTGTACTCCAGCCTGAGATCCGTCTCAAACAGAGTGAGATCCGTCTCAAAAATAACAAACAAACAGAAATAAATATAATGGAATCCTATATGGTCAATCCATTGTCATCCAAGATATCCACAATACATGGTAGAATGAATAAAACACAGTTTAAAATGTGCGAGTATAGAATGATCATGTTAATATACCCAGATGAGTTTTAAAGAAGCTATGCTTCTCTGGAATGTAAGTTCCAAAGACAGGGCTTTGTGCTCTTCACTGCTGAGTCCTTGAGGCCTAAGACAGTGCCTGGTACTTTGTAACCATGCAATCATGTTTGTTGAATGACTAAATGAAAGAATTTTAGAAAGTTTTTTACCAAAAGTTTAGCAGTGGTGGAGAGCTATTTAATAGTATTTTTTTTTTACTCTTCATATTTTCTCTATCATTTGAGTTGTCTTCAAAATGCTTGTTTCATTTTTATAGAAACAAATAATAGATTTAAATTATGTGATGATGCCTACTGCCTGTGAGATGTGGCAGTCTCACCTGTTTCAGCAGCTGTGTAAACTGGTTCAGCTCTTTTGGAAAACCATTTAACATTAAATATCCCCAAGTCACAAAATCCTTCTTCCCTTTGTCCGTTATTCCTTCATGGGATTTTATGCTAAGGAAAAAGATGCAAAACATGAAGTGATCTAGACATCCAAAGTCTTCATCCAAGTTTTTATATTAGGTAAGTAAAAACTCTGGTCAACCTAAAGACACCTCTAACAGAGGGAAGAGTGAAAGTAAATTATGGTAAATCCATTAGATGGAATTTAGGCCAGGCATGGTGGCCCACACCTGTAATCCCAGCACTTTGGACGACTGAGGCGGGGGAATCACTTGAGGTCAGAAGGTCAAGACCAGCCTGGCCAACATGGTGAAACCCCGTCTCTACTAAAAATACAAAAATTAGCCCGGCATGGTGGTGCAGGCCTGTAATCCCAGCTACTTGGGAGGCTGAGGCAGGAGAATCGATTGAAGCTGGGAGGCAGAGGTTGCAGTGAGCCAAGATTGTGCCACTGCACTCCAGCCTGGGTGACAGGGCAAGACTCCGTTTCAAAAAAAAAAGGAATTTAATGTAAAGATTACCACCTCTGAAGATCTGTAGCAATGTGAACAAAAGGAAGCTGAAAATGCAGGCATGTAATGATTTAATTTATGTGTAAACAAAACGATGATGCTGTTGTACTATGACGTAGAATCCTGGGTGCAGTTTTTTTTTCTTCTTAAAACCGCAGAAAGAATGTGGATTTTAGAGTTCTAGATAGGGGTTTTCATTTAGGCCTTGCGACATGGCTGTTACATGACCTTGGTTGGTCTGTTTCCCTAACCTCTTTGTGCCTCATTTGTCTTACCTACTAAATAGGCTAATAGTACTACCTCGCAGCATGAAGATGATTTTAATAAGATGAATGAGAGTAACGACTCGACAAACTATGGTGATTGTTTTTATTAATGCTGTTATTACATTTTCAGTTTTCAAAAAATTTTAAGCTCCCATCAGTTACAAACGGAAAGTAAAATAGCTAAAAAGGGAGTGAGAAAGAGATTCAAGAAATTGGGCTTTTGAGTTGGGCTGCACCCACTCTGGGACTCCGCAGGGGGCCTTGAGGGTGGAAAAGCCCCCGTGACCACACAGGGGCGCAGGCGCCCAGGCCGGGTGAGGCGTTCCCGGAGGTGTCCAGCAGAGGACGCTGCCGGCGGAGACGGGACCGGAAGCCGGGCCGCAGGCGGCCGGGCGTATTCGCCGACTCCTCCCGCTTCCGCTGCCGCAGCCGGTCGTAACCAAGTTGTGTCCTGTCAGCCGCTGTCCCCTTCGCCGCGATGCCGCTGGAGAACCTGGAGGAGGAGGGTCTGCCCAAGAACCCCGACTTGCGTATCGCGCAGCTGCGCTTCCTGCTCAGCCTGCCCGAGCACCGCGGAGACGCTGCCGTGCGCGACGAGCTGATGGCGGCCGTCCGCGATAACAGTGAGGCCCGCACGAGCGCCGAGTCAGCGGCCTAGGCCTGGGCCGTCCCCGCGTTCCGGAGCCTGCGGGGACTTTTTTTGATGGAGCTCCAGACCCCTCTGACGGGGTCTCAGAGACCAGGCCTGGCTTCTCCGGCCCTTAGGGTTTTGCTTTGGTTTGGGGATACCCTGGGGGACCTCGACTTGCCTCAGCGGGGTCTGCATCTCTCTGTGCCGCCTTCCCCTGTAAGGGCAGCTTGGGGGAGAATCGTGAGGCATTAATATTTACCCCTGTGCTAGGCACAGAGTAAAGGCCCCGTGACTTTCTGTCAGTGGGGACTGCTCCCGGGCGCGGGGTATTCCTGTGGGAGAGTTCAGCTTGCCTGTGGAAGGGAAATTTGGGTTCGGTTCTTTCTGGCCCTTCTGTAGTGAATGTGTATGTTTGAACATATGTATGTGAGTATGTGTGTATAAAAAGTCTTTCCCTGTTTGAAGACTTTTGGAACAGAATCCGGCAAGAGCAAACCGAGGATTGCCCTCCCTCCAGCCCTAGTAGAGGTTGGCATTGCCAGGATTGGCCGTCACGCAAACCTCCCACCAGCATACGTTTATGTTTTGCCAAGCCGATTATTAAGCGCCATCGCATGCCTTCCTGTTAGTGGGGAAGAGACTGGTGGATGACTTGTGGCGGGGCGGGGGGTGAAATACGTGGGCAGACTTTGACTTGAGGGCACAAGTGTCCCCACTCACACATCCCTCTTTTTGCATGTTAGACATGGCTCCTTACTATGAAGCCTTGTGCAAATCCCTCGACTGGCAGATAGACGTGGACCTACTCAATAAAATGAAGAAGGCAAATGAAGATGAGTTGAAGCGTTTGGATGAGGAGCTGGAAGATGCAGAGAAGAATCTAGGAGAGAGCGAAATTCGCGATGCAATGATGGCAAAGGCCGAGTACCTCTGCCGGATAGGTGACAAAGTGAGTAGAGATGGTTTTCCCTCTCTGTAGTTAGTATAGGCTAAAATTGGAGACTATTCCAGGTAATCGTTTCTCATTAAAAAAATTAACTTCGTTTTAGAAAAAGTATAAAGGTAATCATGCTTGCTTGTACTGGTGAATCAATGTAAAGATGAAAAAGTCGTCTCCATGAAATGCCTTGTCATTTCCCCAAACAGCAGCTAGGGCTGTATTCTTCCCCATTTCACCCCATGCCGATAAAAACGTAAGTGTACATCTAGAGAATTTTATTTACTGCTTTTACAAAATTGGGATCATTTTCAGCAGTTTTCTCACTTGGTTGGGAAGCACTGGTTCTGGTGTCTTTAGTACTTTACACGAGTAATACTTAGCAGAAACTAAGAAACAGTATAGTAAATGCTGAAGTTCTGTTATCTTTCTTTACTCTGTACCTGCCCAGGGATAGGCTTTTCAGTTCTTTTATTGTGCATTTATGCAAACTTTTTGGTAATTTTTTTTTTTTTTTTGAGACGGAGTTTCACTCTTGCCACCCAGGCTGGAGTACAATGGAGTGATCTTGGCTCACTGCAACCTCCACCTGCTGGGTTCAATCGATTCTCCTCCCTCAGCCTCCCGAGTAGTTGAGATTACAGGCGTGCGCCACCACACCCAGCTAATTTTTTTGTATTATTAGTAGAGACTGGATTTCAACATGTTGGCCAGGCTAGTCTCGAACTCCTGACCTCAGGTGATCCACCTGTCTCGGCCTCCGAAAGTGCTGGGATTATAGGCGTGAGCCAGTGCACCCGGTCATAAAATCTTTTTTACGTAAAATTTTATATGTAAAAGAATATAAATGCTCAATGAAAGAACCAATTTTTAAAAAAGTTAATACTTGCAGAAATTTTTAATTCTACAGAATTTTTTTTTTAAGTACATAGGATCATAGTGTATTAGTGTAGTCCTGTTTGCCCTTTTCATTCAGCATTATATTTAAGAGGTCTTTTCCATGCCAACATACATAAATCTGGCTCATCCTGGTTAACTGCTGCCTAATGTTCCACTGTAGAGCTAGCTCTGGCATAGTTTATTTGCCTGTTCAGCTGTTGTTGGACATATGTGTTGTTTTCATCTGTTTTTGCTTTAGCAAACTGCTGCTGTAAAAATATGCTTATGTATGTCTCTGTGTGTATATGCTAGTGTTTCTCTAGGGTATAGTATATGAAACAAAATCGCCGGGACAATGAACAGTTTTTTTTTTTCTTCTTTTTTTTAAATATGTGTGGCCAGTTGTTCTGCATAGCAGCCAGCTTACTCCACCATCAGGGCACCAGAGGGGTACTCACCATTACTGGATCTTTGAAATTTAATTGAGTAACTGTGTAATAGTGGTTAAGAAAATGGGCTTTGAATGTTTTTAATTTTAAATTATTTGCCTGGAAGTATTTAGGTATAGAATGACATGGTGCCAATATAAAAAATAAAAATAACATGAGCTCTTGAATCAGATTGTCTGGGTTCTGTTTTCAACCTCGGTAATTATGATTTATGAAACCCTCGGTTTCCTCATGTGTAAAACAGGAGTACTGATAGTTTTTACTTAATGTGGATTAAGGATAGGAAAAAGCTTAGACTGGTACCTAGCACATAGTAAGTGCCTAAATGTTGTTTTGCAATGTATATCTAAAACGAGGTTTTTTTCTCTTTTCTGGTTGTAAACTTAAGACGTGGTCATTGTAAAAATTTGGAAAATACAGAAAAGTTTAGAATTATCTAGTGGTTTCCATTTACTTTTAAGCTGTATGTTTGTGGCTTGGTTTTAAAGACTAATATATTACATATGAATGAGAAACTTGAAACTTTTGATTCAGGTTTTGAAGAATTTCAACAAGGACATGCTTGAATCAGTATCAGGAAGTTGTAAAATGTTCTAATATTATATTTCCTCTGTATTTATTAAATACTCTTCCAAAACGAACAACTTTTCCCCTCCTATTTACTCTCGTTTTTTATATTTTATTTTATTTAGTATTACTAAATACTTAATGGACTTAGTGGGCTTTTATTATTCACTGTTACCACTGATGAGAGTCTTATTCTTTATGGTGCTAAGTTTGTTGCAAATTTGTTAGCAGAGGCTCCGTCAAGACACTTTGTCCTTTTGACATATCTCATTAGTCTTATTTTCTGATAAAACAAAATGTCACAGGTTCACCTGTTATTTTCACTCTAATAAACGTAGAATTATCTATTTCTCCTAGGATCCCTGGTTCCTTTTAGTGGGGGATAGTATTTAAAAACCAAGATCTTAGTGCTAGGTGTATCCATTGCTGTATTCCCAGTCCCTTATAAATTTGTGAAATATAACTAATAATTACATAAACCAGGCAGACACATACTGAAAACTACCAAGTGTGAACAAATTATTTTATTCATATTCAAAGCAAAGGAAACATTCCACAGTGCTTTGAGAGAAAATTATATATTTACAAATTTAGTCATATTCTAATAGCGACTAAGATACAATTTCCAAAACCCTTCAGATGATGTTATTTTGATGTAGTGTATTGTGATTATGAGAGAAAACATTGAATATATAGAACAGAGAAAAATACTTAACAATTGTGAATATATTTTTCTTAAATTGTTTTCCTGAATCTAAGTATATGCTTGGGCATTTCTTATGTATTTTTTAAACTTTATACAGGTAGAGAAAGTAGAATAATAAACCCTTGTGTACTTATCACCCAGCTTCAACAATTAACAGTTAATGGCCATCTTGTTGTACTTCTACTCCTACCTCTTCCCTCAACCTTTGAAGAAAATCCCAGACAGCTGATAGCTTTTTTTGGAAACTTGTAGCCTTTTCTCACCTATTGCCTTGGCTTTCTTGACAGGAGGGAGCTCTGACAGCCTTTCGCAAGACATATGACAAAACTGTGGCCCTGGGTCACCGATTGGATATTGTATTCTATCTCCTTAGGATTGGCTTATTTTATATGGATAATGATCTCATCACACGAAACACAGAAAAGGCCAAAAGGTACTTTCTAAGGGTGGGATTATATTTTCTCTAAATTATGATGCTACAAATGAGAAGCTGATATAAGAAACTGCCTGTTTTGTTTACAGCTAGTAAGTTTGGTCAAATAATTGATGTACTTATTTAGTAAAATAATTTAAATATCTCCTTTCGGTTCAAGTTGTTAAAAGTTGTTTTCTCATTTCAAATAACAGACAAGTTTTTAAAACGTGGCCTTGTCTGTTTCCAGACTATGATCTTACTGTTTTTATTTCATAGCTTAATAGAAGAAGGAGGAGACTGGGACAGGAGAAACCGCCTAAAAGTGTATCAGGGTCTTTATTGTGTGGCTATTCGTGATTTCAAACAGGCAGCTGAACTCTTCCTTGACACTGTTTCAACATTTACATCCTATGAACTCATGGATTATAAAACATTTGTGACTTATACTGTCTATGTCAGTATGATTGCCTTAGAAAGACCAGATCTCAGGGAAAAGGTAATGACCAAACTTTAATACTCAAATTTAAAGACTTGTTTTTTTTGTTTAAATACACAAATCATTAAAATGTACATTTTTTTTGTATATATGTTTTTTAAAATACCTAGGTCATTAAAGGAGCAGAGATTCTTGAAGTGTTGCACAGTCTTCCAGCAGTTCGGCAGTATCTGTTTTCACTCTATGAATGCCGTTACTCTGTTTTCTTCCAATCATTAGGTAAGGATAGGGTTGATATTTTTGATTATCTGTCTTCATCTTACTCCTGATCCTATGTGCAAATAACCTAAGACGATTTTTCACCTATCTGAGAAATGTAGTGTGTAGGTAGCTGCATGTCTTTGATCAGTATTCCTAATGTGCCCAGTTTTGTTTAGAAGAAGGGTCATCAGATTGTGGCCTGCTGTATGGCCCAGGAGGTAAGAATGATTTTTACATTTTTAAAGTGTTGTTTAAAAAAGGAGGATGTGACGGAGAGCTATGTAGCTTGCAAAGCCTAAAAATACTTACCCTCTGGCCCTTTGCTGAGGGTATTTGCCAGACCCCTGGTTAAGAGTCTTAATGGGGTATAAGGCAAAAGTGAGCAAATGGTTATTAAGTATTGAGCTTCATGGGGACAGAAGTGAGGGAATTCTGAATGTGATTTGGGGTGGAGATTAATTGAACCTTGAATTCAGCAATGGGCTATTCTGTATCAATAGCTAAATAGCTAAATCTCTGTGCTGATTTGCAAATCATTTTCAAGGGCTATGGGTTAAGAAAATAATCTCTTGAACGTAATTGTATTCCTTCAAAGCTAGTTTGTAGTGATCCTGCCTTCACACATTTGCTTGTTTCTCCCTCTTGTCCCCATTCTTTCCTGGCTATTTGGTTTCCTAATAATGACCACAAACTATTAAGATGATAGAAGAATCAGCTTGCATCAAGTTGACCCAGGGGTCTTTCCCAAAACTTAAAATTTGACATTGATATATTTTGTTTATGCTGCAAATTTCAGAAGGTGTTTGGTTAAATAGATAGCTTTGGAGAAAAGTGGGAATGGACGGTTCCAAATGACGATTGTTAATGTTTTTGCAGTGGGTTTTGGCCCAGTGTTTTTGGATGCTTTCTCCATGCATATAAATTGGGCTGCTTTATGAGAATTCATAGTATTTACCTCAGGTAATGTAGGAACAGGTTTCCCGAGCATGATGAGTAACTCACTTGGCCTTATCTTCTCATACATACACACACAGTTATGTTGCTTTTGCATATAAGGTTATATTGTAGAATTGCTCTTTTCCCTTTTTTATGCTTGAGGTCTCCTGGTCATCACTCAACTCAAATATGGAGCCCTTCCCTGCTTCCCTCAGTCAGAACAAATCTTACTTCTCTGCATTCCTGGGATTCTTATTGTATGCTCCCTCCTTCAAAAAAATTGAGGGAGCCCTTCCTTGCTTCCCTCAGTCAGAACAAATCTCTTACTTCTCTGCATTCCTGGGGTTATTGTATGCCCCCTCCTTTAAAAAAACTGAGGTATAAATCACACACCATAAAATTACCTCAAGTGTACAATTCAGTGCTTTTTCATATATTGGCAAGGTTTTGCAAATATTAATAATTCCAGAACATCTTGATCACCCCAAAAGGAAACCGACACCCATTAGCAGTCACTCCCTATTACTCCTTTCCCCCAGCCCCTGGCAACCACTGATCTACTTTATGTCTGTACGAATTTGCCTATTCTGGACATATCATCTAAATGCAGTCATAAAATACGTGGCTTTTTGTGCCTGGCTTCTTTCACTTTATAATGTTCCCACATTCATCCATGTTGTAGCATGTATCAGTATTTCATTTTGTTTTATAGCCAAATGATAGTCTGTTGTATGTATATACTACATTTTATTTATCCATTCATTAGTTCATAGATTTTTGTGTTGATTGCACTTTTTGGCTACTATCAATAATGCTATAATGAAGATTTGTGTACAGCTTTTTCTGTGGACATATGGAGTGGAATGGCTGCATCTTAATGGCAACCCTCTGATAAACTTTTTGAGGAACTGCCAGTTTTCTAAAGCAGGCGCCCGCACCATTTGACATTCCCATCAGCTGTGTGAGGGTTCCAGTGTTCCCACATCCAGTACTTACTATTTTCTGTCTTTTTGATTATAGGTATCTTTGTGGGTGTGAAATGATATCTCATTGTAATTTTGATTTGTTTCTAATGACTAGTTTCATTGAGCATCTTTTCATATACTTAACTGGCCATGTGCCCCAATTGCTAAAACTTAGCACTCTGTTTTGTGATAATTTCCTAGTTTGCCTCCTTTGCTAACTAGAATTTCTGGGAGCAGAACTTATGCTTTTTTTTTTTTAATCTTCATGACCCTGACAGCAGGACAGCACTTGGTACTAATGTGCTCTAAAATAATTCAATTGGAAAAGGAAGTAGTATCCTTTTCTAGGTAGTACCTGACTATATTTAGAAATCAAAAATAAATTGAGAAAGTGAAAGGTTTTGTATCTCACCTCACCCCCAAATCCATACACACATTCACTCACATATAAAATTTTTCCTGAGACGGTGATTTTAATATTGTTTTATATCCTTGTAGACCTTTTATTTATTTATTTATTTATTTATTTGAGACAGAGTCTCACTCTGTCGCCCAGGCTGGAGTGCAGTGACATGACCTTGGCTCATTGCAAGCTCCGCCTCCCGGGTTCATGCCGTTCTCCTGCCTCAGCCTCCTGAGCAGCTGGGATTACAGGCGCCCGCCACCATGCCCGGCTAATTTTTTGTATTTTTAGTAGAGACAGGGTTTCACTGTGTTAGCCAGGATCGTCTTGATCTCCTGACCTCACGATCCGCCCGCCTCAGCCTCTCAAAGTGCAGGATTATAGACGTGAGCCACCGCGCCCGGCCTTTTACTCGTTTATTATATGCACTTTAAAAAAGAAAAAACATTTAAAAACCGAAGTTATATGTACACATGGAACAGTTGTAAACAGTATCATATAAAGAAGAAAAAGGCTTTCTTTAATATCTGATCACCAGTGTCCTTTCTCTAGAGGCAACTGCTGTTAATCAGGTTTTCCAGTGTGTCCTTCAGGGGCACTGTTATCCAGAGATAAGAGCATGTAACACTTTTGTGTATTGTGGATGTATTTTATATGCTGTTTTGTAAGTACCTTTTTTTCTCTTCACAAGTAACGTGTATATCTTTTCATGTCACTATACATATAGTTGGTCATTTAGTCAGTAAGTGTTTTTGAGTGGCTATCGTGTACTAACATTGAGAATAGCAGCAAATTGAACAGGTAGTGTTCCTAGGAGCTTCAGGTTATCCTTTCTTAAGGACTTCCTAGTATTTCAATGTATTGGCTATGCCATAATTTATCCTCTACTGATAGAAAACGAGGTCGTTTCCAGTTTTGCCCTATTATAAGCAACCCTGTTTTGAACACTCCAACAATTTATCTTTCCCACTTGTTATTTCCTTGGGGAAAAAGTCTAAAAAATTGAACTTTCCAAAGGTTAAATATATTGTGTCTTGACCACTGTTGCCCTCCAGAGATATGTCAGTTTACATTTACACAATTTATACTTCTCTCAATCTATAGCATTTGAGAGAACCTGTCCCACCCTCTCCATACTCTTTGCCAGTCTGAGAGGACAGAAATAATTTTATTGATGTTTTATGCATTTCTCTTATTAGTGAGAATACGCACCATCTCATGGTTAGTGGCCATTGATCTCCATGTTGCTAAATCATGTGTTCCCTTGCTTATCTTTATCTGCCTTGATGTTGACCATCCTTTGCTTCTCACCACAGCTTTCTCTTGGTTCTGCAGTAACGTGCTCTTGTTTTCTCTGGACCTACCTCCTCATCCACTGTTAGACCTCTCAGTGTCTGACTGCCTTAGACTGGGTTATTGCCCTTGTTTCTTATCTTCACTTTGTGCCATCAGATACATTTGGATGGCAGTGATGGACAAATTCATGTCGCCAGCCCCAAACTGGAGCACCAGACTCATGCCTCAATGCCTCCTTAGTGTCCTCACTTGGCTGTTTAATAGGCATATCCACTTGAACACTGCCAAAGTATGCTTGAATCCCACCCTCACCCCCAACACTAAAAACAAATATTCTCCTTCTCCAGGGATTTCCATCTTGTTGAAACCACAAACATAAGTATACTCTAGAGTCTCTTTTCTTGCTCACCTTCTATATACCTGTTGCTGTCTTCCTGCTTGCATTCTGAGTCTGGCATCCTTTCTGTTCCTGGGCTTAACCATGCTTTTCCTGCCTTCAGACTTTTGTATCATTTACATTGCTCTGTGCTTAGCCAGCCCCTGAGAGAGGTATTCCCTGTCCACCCCAATCCAGTGGAGGGCTTCCTAGTCACTCTATCATGTTACTTTTATTTTCTTCACAGGATTTATCTTGTATATTTGTTCATCTGTCTCTGCCCTTTGAAAATTTAGTTTTTGTGGCAGCAAGGGTCTTGTCTTCTGGTTCACTGCCATATAACTATCTAGAGTAGTGATATACAGGAGTTATTCAGTAAAATAATTTATATTTGTGTGGATTGCTCATTAATACTCTACGTACATTTTACTGTCTTCTAAGGATCTCTTCTGGATTAAGGCCATTAACTCATCGTTATAAATTTTCTAGTTTATCATTTGTCTTCAAACCTTGTTCATAGTGTTTTCTTACGTAGACTATTTACGTGAACAAATAAACAGGCAATAGGAGTCATCAGTCTTTGCTTTCTTCTGAGTTTTGTTGCTTTTTGAAAATGTCTGATTTATACCTTTTTTCTGGTCTGTATAAATCGTTTTTCACTGTACCTGCTGTTTCTCTGTTAGAATTGTTTAAAAAATGATTTTTACTTTATTTTACTTAAGGCATAAGAAGTTCTCCGTGGTTAAAATATTAGTACGTGAACTTTGTCATCTATGAACAAGTTCCTTTAGAAGCTGAGCTCTGATAGTGATGTCAAATAGCCACCTGTTACTTGAAGACGATGTTTGCATACCTGGCCCCTCCTTTATCACTGCTGTTGCTGCCATTGTTGATGACATGATGTGGAAGGGCAGTGAGAAATTTGATACTTGTTCATCTATCTGTTGGACTCAACTAGTAGTGTTGCTTTAGTTTTTAATCTTTTTATCTGAAACGGAGAGTCTATTATAATTTGTCATTTTATTCATTGCAGCGGTTGTGGAACAGGAAATGAAAAAGGACTGGCTTTTTGCCCCTCATTATCGATACTATGTAAGAGAAATGAGAATTCATGCATACAGTCAGCTGCTGGAATCATATAGGTCATTAACCCTTGGCTATATGGCAGAAGCGTTTGGTGTTGGTGTGGAATTCATTGATCAGTAAGTTTGAATAATGCCATGTTAATTGAAGTTTTAAAGTTGCCTTTTAAAATATGTGAACTTGTACAATTTTTTACTTGTTTACATTGGTTCCCTCAATCTTAACGGGGAGGGGAGAGGTTTTTTTCCTCAGTATTATCAAAACATTCGTATCCTGTTGCCTCTGCCTTCCTCATGTCATGTCTGCCCCTTGCATTAACAGATGGGAAGATGAGTTGTAGTGAGGCTAAGTGATTTGTTAAAGGTCATTAGACCAGTTGTTATCAAAAGTTGTCTTCTGTTACTTCTTTGTAGACCACACTGCAGCTACGGTAATGACTCTTAGATCTGATATTTACAGTTGGTCATATTCCCTCTGATAATTCCTTCCAGTTTTTAGGTTGCTGCTGCAATTCTGGTCAGATTGGTTGTTAAATGTGGGACTTTTAGTACTTGCATCAGTGATTAAACAAATAAATACTTAATGAGCCATTCATTACTATATGTTTGGTATTGTTTTACAGCTCCCTTTTCACACTTTCATTGTAGTAGTAGGGAAGAGATGGCAAGGAAGCAAATAAATATAAAACGTAATTTCACATATAGAAATGAACCTATGGAGATGAGAAAATGCTATCCTTACGTACGGCATGCTTAAGGAGGTGAGGTTTGCTCTGAGATTTGAATTGAGAGGAGTCAGCCATATGGAGTCCTTCTGCGTGCAGAAAAGGGAATAGAAAAGGCTAAGGCTTTGAGCCAGGAATAAGCTTGGATGTTGTAGGAACAGAAAATGTCAGGGTGGCTCCAGCATAGTTGGAGTGGTAGGAGATTTTGAGGATAATATATGGAGAGTTAGGTAGGTAATGATTTGTGTAGGGCCTTGTAGGTCATGGGATGGAGCTTGAGTTTTAAGTAAGTTTGATAGGGAGCCATTGGAAGATTTAGAGCCCAAGTTACATGGTCCTATGCAGTGTCTTTATATAAGAAATAGAGTAAGGTGGCAGAGAGGACCAGTTGTGCTGTTTAGTAGCTCTTAGAGGAGATGTTACCGTGGCGTGGACGAGGGTGGTGAGAGTAGAGTTGGGTAGGAGACATACTCAATATGGGATGTCCAGATGGCATCTAGATCAGTGGCTCCCACATGTAGGTGTTTTTAAATGTTGATGATGGTGTTTTCAATGGTCTGCAGTGGAAACTTTAAATGAAGATGCATTTCTTTTAAATAAGACCATTCTCTTTCTAGTATTTTTTAAATTTCGAACATCCATAAAATTGTAAAGAAAGAATTGTACAGTACATTTTAACATATTTGCTTGTTACAATCTATACATTTTATGTTTTTTAACCACTTCAAAGTAAGTTTCAGACACCAACACATTTTTTAAATGATCCCTACCATTTTTTAAATGATCCCTACCAAAATGGAAGGCTGGTATCCCAAGGTTTTGTTCCATTTCTCAATTCTAGTCTGTGAAATTGAAGTCTGATGACCACTCTTAAGAGGGCTGTTCATTAGGGTGCGGGCTGGGCATTATGAGTGTGTTTTTCATGAGTCAGTGGAAGGAGGGGCTTGTTGTGAGCAGTGCATGAGAAAAACGGCTTGGCTTTGCTTCTTTTTCCAGCTCTGTGGCCTTGGTCAGGTTACGTCTCTTCAGTATCGTAACTGTAATGTGGAGATAAAGCCTTCATTAGTTAGGGGCACACACCGCAGTATTCCTTAAGTCATCTTGATGACAAGTGAATGCAAGGCAGCTGGTACCTTTCAGGTAGTAGTTGAATTCAGGTAGTATTTGTTCAGTTTTTTTTTTTTCCCTTCATGTTCTAAGACCAGCTTGAGAGGCAAAGGTTGTACCACTGAGCTCTAGTTGTTGTTACCTAAAAAGGCCTTGTTTTAAATTTCTGTGATACCTAAGAATTTCAAATCTGGGTTGTCATGGATTCTTTATTCTTTTTTTCTCCCTTAAAAAGTTACATTTTAGATGAAATCCCCTTTTTTAAAATGGGCAAAGCAATAATTCTACATCATTTCTCCCCTTCCCTTCCACTTGTTTAGACTAAGATATGTTAGAGAGGGAAAGGGTCGTTGTTTTAGTAAATACTATTGCTGTTGACATGTTAATACTATTGCTGTTGACATGTTTACTGATGGGCTGTGTTCCATAATTTTGTTTTAGGTCTTTTGTTTGAAACAGTTTACTGTTTTTATCAGTTTTGGTCCCTAATTTTTCCTAACCTACAGTTTTTCTCTGAGTACATATGGTTTCATTGTTTGATCTACTTTCTATCTATCTGAATATGAACTTCTAGGATCATGTTTATTCTAGTAGATGATGACTTAAAGCCTGCAGTATAGGAGGGACAACGTCAACTACTGCATGTGCAATAACAAGCTTGAAGGGAAGCTAAATGTTTGTTACAAATTTAAGACAGTATTTTAATGCCGTTTGCATTTTTCTAAGAATTTTCTATAAAGCTAATTCTGTTATTTTTTGTCTCTAAATTAGGGAACTGTCCAGGTTTATTGCTGCCGGGAGACTACACTGCAAAATAGATAAAGTGAATGAAATAGTAGAAACCAACAGGTACTCTCATTTCTCAGAATAAGGGGCATTCCTAAATTTTAAAAGTAGGTCAACTATTGTCATGGAATAATGTGACTGGTAAATAATTCATTTTTTCTTGAATTTATTTATAGACCTGATAGCAAGAACTGGCAGTACCAAGAAACTATCAAGAAAGGAGATCTGCTACTAAACAGAGTTCAAAAACTTTCCAGAGTAATTAATATGTAAAGCCATGTAACTAACAAAGGATTTGCTTTAGAGATAATTATTTGGAATTTTTATAGCTTACTTCACAATGTGCCCAGGTCAGCTGTATAAAATAAATACTGCATTGTTGTTTCTTTCCATTTATTTTTTTCTTAAACACATAGGCCTTCTAGAATCGGGTCCACTTATGTTAAAATAATGTCACTTGAATTATTCATTAATGAAAATCTGGTTTATAGGGTAAGGTTGCAGCTGGGTTCAGCTAGGTTCAGCTCCTGACTGCCTCATCAGTAAAATACGTCAGTAAAATACGGATGTTGACACAGCCCATTATCGCTTACCTTTAAATCTCTTACCTGTAAGCTTCCCGATTTTAGAAAGAAGAGTAGTGGCCTAAAATTAAACAAACAGTGTCTCCCACTTTTAGTATACAAAAGATAGAAGATAAAGAAAATGTGTAATAAGCTTTCCCTCAGAAACAAGTAACCATATAAGGCAGGAAGTTACTCTTTTTTAGGAAGCTGACATAACCTGGATTACAGAATCTACCAAGGCTGATCTCAGTTTTCTAAAACCTTATATGTAAGTATTTATTAGCAAACTGAATCTTTTTTCCAAAAGTAGGACCATAGTAATAATAGCAGTGAGGAAAACAAAGTTGTTCCTCTGTTTGTTTGAAACAGTTTATTAGTTTTATCAGTTTTATTCAGTGTGTCAGATAGGAATAAGTGCTATAAGAAGTATAAAACCAGATAGACAGACAGATAGATAGATAGATAGATAGAGATACAGGGTATAGGCCGTCTTCTGAGGTGTTGTGGAAGGCTTCTATGGTAAGGTGACATTTAAGTGAAAAGGAGGGAGAGCCCATGAACGTATGGAGGGAAGAAAGACGAGGAAAGTCACTGGCAATTTTAAGTGCGGATTTGGCTTACCTTTTACGTCTCACTTACGGCATTCGGTGGCATGGATTGTACAGGCAGCTGGATTTGCTAAAAGATTGAAGAATGGGGTGAGGAGGATGAGGGGGAGAAAATTTGTCAGAGGAGATCCTAGGCTTTTTGGCTTAAGTGAAAGACAGCTAGTGACCTTAATGAGCAGTTTTGGTAGAGGTGAGTTCAGAAGAGAATGGGAAATGGCATTTTACTGTAAAAGGCAAGGGAAGGAAAGAAGAGTTTTGAGTTTTTTTGCTTTAAATAACATTTACTGATGGGAATGATTCCTGTTAACATATTAGGAATAACATATTCCTAATATGGAATTCCTAACAGGAATAACATACTCCTGTTAACATGATCTCATTTGATTGAAAATAATTTGATATAATTCAACATTTCTTCATGATAAAAAAACTCTTCAGTAGACTATGAATAATAGGTTGGGATATCAAAGCCCTATCACAAGGTAATTAATGGCAAAATATTAGAAGCATTATCTTAAAAGTGAAGACAGCAGCTCTCATCGCTGGAAGAAGAGCCATTGGTTGTATGCCAAGGAAAGCAATGTGGCTAGATCTCTGTTTTGAAAGGAGTTTCCTGTAGGCACTGTATTGTGGAGGGGAGGCTTTTAAAATGCTGACTATGCCTAATGTATTTGAGAATATCCACCTATGAATTTCTAAAAATGCTTATCTAGAAAACATTTCTTAAAGGAAAAAAACCTCAGCTTTTTGGTTTTCTACAGAAAACCAAAGCTAGTCAGGAATGCAAAGGTGGCTTCTGAATGCTACAGAGTTGCAGTTGTTCACCCACAGGCGGCAATTGACACACCCTAAATACTTTTCCAAGAAAAAAATTTATAGTTACCACGTAAAAGTTGACAGTTTAAAAACCACATATCTAGCTTCTCTGGAAAAAGGACAGGTGAAGCTAAATCTGGACTCACGCTCCAATAAGCTGAGCGACAAGCATAGCGTGTTTTCCAGTGTGCCCCAGTCCACCCAGTCTGTTCATATACACTGCCTGTCTGCCTGGCCCCTGCTGGCATTTGAGCTTGTTATCCCTGCACTACCCCCAATATTGTGCATGTGAGGTTGATGGTTAACAGCCTCCTGTGTTAATCAACTAAGACAGGGGTGTCCCATCTTTTGGCTTCCCTGGGCCACACTGGAAGAATTGTCTTGGGTGACACAAAATACGCTAAGGATAGCTGATGAGCTCAAAACAAAACAGCTCATAATGTTTTAAGAAAACTTACAAATGTGTGTTGGGCCACATTCAAAGCTGTTGTGGGCTCTGGGTTGGACAAGCTTGAGCTAGGAGAAACTATCCAAAGAATTCCTAACCTTTATCCTGTCTCTAGTAGCTTTAACTGGTACAGCTTGTTTTCTGAAAGTCTTAATTTTCTGCTTTTATTCAAGAAGGTTACTTCACAATATGAAAATAAGATTATGAAATGATGCTAAAACAGTTATACATAGTTCCTTTTTCATGTTGGTAAATGTTTTCTTTTGAAGTGGGAAACAATCTTATTTTTAACCCTGGTTTCAGTCAAAAGTAACTATCCTAGTGTGAAATGATATCGCCAGGATAAACTATCTTTTGTGATTATTTTTAAAGCAGAAATGCCAGTTTCTCTTACCTCAGTAAAAGTTGATTTTATAGCAAATCTATCGAGTAAGAGCTAAATATTTTAAAGCTATGTCAAATTATGGTAATCTATTTCCTGTATTAGAAATAACAGCTTTAGGTCAATTTTTAAGCTATTAAAAAACAGTGTCTCTTAGGACAGAAACAGTGTAAAAACCACTTTTGTTAAGCACCCAACTTTTACCTGCCCCAGATGGCTAGAAGGATGCCTACAACTTGATCACTAAGCATGCAATACTCAATACACTTAGGATTTTGTGACTGAACACATTTGGTCTTTTATAACCTGACCAAACATTAACTGATAAAAGGCTACTAAATCATTAGCAAATCATTTCTGTAATTTCATATTCTGAATTAGTCCTTGGTGCTGCTGTTAACCTAATGTTTTTAAGATGAACAGCTGACAGCTGAAATATCTGCCCCCATGATTATGGGGGAAAAAGCGTGGAGGGAACTATGATAATCCCTGACCTTCCCAATGCTACATAAACTTGTAGTTGCTGGTAACAAACCTGTGCCTCCACAATGGCAATGGGGGAGTGGGGTAAAATCCCCATCTGGATAACATGAAAAGCTCTGATAATCACTAGTTTTGGTTTCAAAGCTGTAGAGCCACAGATTTGCATTATGCTTGTGTTTCTGAAGGAATACAAAGGCTATCAGGAATTTGTAGCAATCTGATCCAGGCCATTTTAACCTTGACATACATGGTCAAAGGGTATAACCTTTTTTTTTTTTTTTTTTTTTTCCCCATTTAAAAATATCTTACAGTGGCATAACTTTCCCTGTACAAATTGGGTTTAAGAAACAAAAGGGACAATTTGCTAATCAATGATGAGCCTTTAATCCAACCATTATATATCCCCTTTCCATCCTTAGATCCCTTGAAGAGACCATTTAGTTAAGACTACCAACAGGTGACACCCTGACCTCCTTACCAACCTTGCCTTTTAGAGGTGACCAGAGACCTGTGCTTTTCCAAAGTACTGTTATACGTGTAATTAGTATAATATCAATGTGGGGAAACTCTACCTTTGGATTTTGAGGACTCTGCTTTTCTTGAAACCCTCTGGGTTAGAGACTGTTTATTCATATGCACCTCAGGAACTTGAGGCCAAGATGAAGTTCACTGTTTCCTAGTCCTTTGCTTGTTCTCCTGGCCATTATGTTTCCACCTTCATTCAAAATGCCTTCTCTTTGAAGCTGCTTATAACCCAGCAACACCATCAACTCACTGTGCTCACTGTCCTCAATCACACATCTCCAAGTCACTCTCCCCTCTTCCATGCAAATCATCCCAGAACCAAGCAACCCTAATTTGAAATGGACAACCTATACAACACCCTTGGCTTCACAGTTCCTCAGCCTGAATTCCAGTGCTCTTTTCCTCCATGCTGCTTCTGTCCACTGCCATGGTTTCCACCCAGGAATCACAAGCACCTCTGGCCAGTTCTGCTTTTGAAAATAATACTGGAATTCCAATTCCTCTGGCCAGTTCTGCTTTTGAAAGTAATACTGGAATTCCAATTCCTCCATTCCCTGTCCTATTCCTAAAAGTGCTGTATCACTTTGATAACTCTGGCCCCTGGATCTCACCTTGTAGCCCCTCACTTTTATTGGCCATGTGGAATTAAATGTGGACTTTGCTCTGTGACCCTGAACAAATCAATTGTCTAATCATAGAAAAAGTTACCTGGAAGGAGATTCCTAAGACCTAACAAGAAGATAATTCCAGTCAAAC
This sequence comes from Homo sapiens, assembly GCF_000001405.40. Taxonomy (NCBI): domain Eukaryota; kingdom Metazoa; phylum Chordata; class Mammalia; order Primates; family Hominidae; genus Homo; species Homo sapiens. The sequence continues at coordinate 64,006,356 of NC_000003.12, read as the reverse complement.
CAATGTCTTAAGAGCACCTGCATAGATTCTACATGGTTGGCTTCTAGTTCTCTTCCCTGAATACCCAGTTCAGACCATCATCAATCACTCAGCCACATCTTCACTCTTTGGCAATCTCCCTGCTCAAGTTCTATCTTTTCCACCCAACCAATACATGCTGTTCCAATTATCCTGGAGAAAACAGCAGGGCAATAAAACGTTAACTAAATAGGTAGATAGCATTGGTAATTATAATGGGATTGACTCAAAACATCTAACCCTGTAAACCATCTCAATGCCTTCCCTTACCTCTCTTTTTACTCTACTGCTCCTTCTCCATTTGTCTTCATGAAAATAGTCTTCTCCAAGGTTTTGTCCTGGGTTTTCTCTCTGGGCCATGGAGGATGGGCTTCAGGTTTGTGATATCCTGGAAGCGGAATATAAAAATGTGGTGTGCCTGTGCCTCGGTCAGACAGGATGCATAACTTCATGTGACTCCTGGAGTCTGAGGAGGGAAAAAATTAAGAATCACTGTTCTGACAGACCTGAATTACCCTGGATCTGCCACCTATTCGTTGTGGGACCTTAAGCAAGATACCTTCTTAGGAGTTCCAATCAGTATGATTGGAATCAAAATACCTGCCCTATGAGGGCTTAGTAAAAGAGAGGATGTATATAAAATGCTTGGCACAGTATCTGGCATATTAAGTACTTCACTAGAGAAGTATTATTTTAACATAATAATAAGCCAAATCGAATAGCTACTTAATTTTCCCAGGTAAACTCCATCTACCCTTATGACCTCACTGATGATCTAAAACTGAAAGACAACTCTCCATCTTTATTTTCCAGCTCAAACCTCCCTCCTAAAGTCCAACCAGCCTGTACAGCCAGCTGGGCACTAAACCAGAATTTCCCACCAGCAGCTCAAATCTATCGTTATGTCTTTTTCCTTCTCTGTTACCATATCGCACATTTCACTTAAAGCTCAATTGGTTTGGCCAAGCTAGAAACCTGAAGTCTTCTTAGACTCACTCTTCCCTTTAATGTTGAACAGAGTTAGACCTCAAGGCTTGTTGGTTCTACTTTTTAAAGATTTCTGAAATCAGTATCACTTATCCTCACAGTCAGCCTTCGTTTGGAAACTTAATAGCTCTTACCTGGATTACAACAGCTTTGTAACTTATTTTTGTCCCAAGGTTCTCACCTGTTGATTCTGTCTTCCATTGTTATTGGAGGGCCATAGGTGGCAGAGATGTTTTTTCCACAAAGTATTAAATTATAAGTGATTCTCCCCTTCCCCCTGGAGACTTTTTCTTTGGCTGATAGCCTCACTCTCCCTTACCTCCTAAGAGATATTCTGGTCCATGGTCTTTGGATGTAGAAAATGAGGATAACAAGTGCCAAGAATTACAGCCTTACAAGGTGAAATACTACTTTAATTAACTTCCATTAACAACAGGAGCAAGAACTTCTTACAGAAAGAGGAGACTAAGAAAGGAGTGAGAAGGGAGAGGAACTTAAGAGTTGATTTAGGGGAGTGCTTTTTGTTAGGACTGGGGACAGGGGCAGGTAAAGACAGATCTTTGAAGCAAAAGAGAGTGAGAATGCAAGACATGGGGAAAGAGACTTAAGTGCTCCTTTGCTTTTCCACAGTTTTCAGTACAGATTTGAATGGCTTTGACTTTTGGCAGCTGCACAGTGCTAGGACTGGACCATGAAATATCTCTGGGCTCTGACAATTACATTTGGGTTAATCTAAGCCTGATCCCATGTGTTCCTGGAAGAGAAGCCCCATGACATTCAAAGTCCTTGACAATCTGACACCAGCTTTTCTAACCCTATAAGGCCCTTCCATCCAGCAAACTTCCTGCAGAATTATTCTCTATCCCTCACATGTTCATACCCATGCTCGACGCATTTGCTCTCTCTGCCTAGAATCTTACTCTTGTCTGCCTTTCTGCCTGGTTAAATCCCACATACGCCAAGATCCAACACTGCTAAACCCCTTTCCTTGAGTTGGGATCATCTTGTTATGCAGGGCCGGGATACCTGCAAGGGAATGGAATTAAAAAGGTTAAGAGATTGAGCAGTTGAACCTTTTCTTGGGAGGTTTGAGGACAAGCCATAGTGAAAGGATTTACCTACAGAGAGCACCTCATTATTAGATTTGTGGAAAGTACTGAGTGGATGGTTGACTCAAGTAAGGAGGGAATGGGAAGTCCACAGGGCAGTAGGAACTGAAGCCAACATGACTCTTTCATATCAGGTATGGACATTCTTGCTAACACACAGCGGTTCCTCCTCTTATTTTAAGCAACAAAAATAATTTATCAGAATGGTTTATTTGCAAACAGTAAAAATGTCTGGATTTCTAGAGGTAAATGATTATGCTGTGTTCCAAATAATACTAAAATGCACTTGTATTGCCAGTAAGGGAGGTATGTAAAAGAAAGGAAGAGATTAGACCGGGTCTGGATAAAAAGCTTATCTTAAACCAAAACTACATGTCATCAAATTTGCACCTAAGTACAAATAGAATGTGTTTCTCAATCCATCAACTCCCTCGTTTCTTTCACAAACATGCAAGGCCAGAATACAGTAATGTTCACTGTTTACACAGTTACTAATTTATCCAAAGCAAAGCTTTGTGCCCCCAGATGGAAACATCCCCAGGCCTTAGAAGTATTTAGCTTATATAAGAGGAAGGCTAAATTGAAGGGGCTTCACAAGGGTGTTCCATGCCAAAAGTGATGAAAAGTCAGAGTAGACTGAAAGGGTTTAGTATCACAACGAGGCAGAAACGTACAATATTTCATGCAGCCAACCTTATTTATTGAGAAGTCCTAATTTTATTGCCCGTTTAGTAACATGTTTGTTCCACAAGCTAATTTCTTATAAAGCAAAGCACAACCTTTTCTTATAAATAGTATAAATTATTTTATTTACAGAAACTTGTTACAAAACAAATAGACTATATATTTCTTCTCTTTTAAATATCCAAAGTAATTTTCTATCCCTTGACATTTGTTCATGTTCTATACAGCAGCCAACACAAAGTCCAGCTGAGATGCTCTTGATTATGTGTACAAATTATCAAACTATTCACACGTTTTTAACACAGGAGATTGCTTTTATAACCAAGCTCAAAAAAAAAAAAAAAAAAAAAAAAGCAAAATGCTTTCAAGGCCCTACATTCACACTGACAGTATGTAGTGCTCATTTAAATTATCTGAAAATGTAAAATGTTTTGCACAAAATGTAAAAGTGATTATTTTCTGCTAAACAAACTTTTAAGAATATTTTTTCAAAGCCCAATCGCCCCAAACCCCCTGGACAGAATGAGCGACATTAAGAAATTCCTTGGCAACAGAACTCTTGCAGGAAGACAGCTGCCCTTATAAGTTACATTTTTCAAATTATACATTTTTTTCAATGTTCTCAGAGGTACTTCTTTGTATTATATTTTTGGAATACAAAATATTTTAAATATTTTAAATTGTATTTCATGAGTGAATAACAAAACGGACACATCGTGTAAGTTGCTGGCTGACAAAAAGATCTGTAACCCTTGGTGCCACCAGGCAATCCATCACCAATTGAATTACTATGAACCAAGAGGTCTTAATTTTAAAATACCTTATAAAATTACCAGCATTGGTGGTTTTCAACTCCGCCCCTAAAATTTTAGAAACAATATTTAGGTGGAAAAAGCAAACTCCAAAAGTTCAACTGAACATTCAAGTCTTTTTAAAGAGATTCTGTCTAAGCTTAAAACTAGTTTCAGGCACTTTCAGTTTTTTCCATTAGTTTTAAACCACATCACATAGTAACATACATGTGCTGAGTATACACACACACGCACAGGCACACACACACGCAGTCACATACTCCCACACATAAAATACTAACAAAAGAAAAGCAGTGTGTCACTTAGTTACATGTAGTCTATCGGGAAACCAGGCAACCAGGAAGAAGCAATGCCCACTTCATCTGTATGAATCCACTCCCGAGACACTAAAAGGGACAAAGACTTTTCACAGAACAGAGGCATCCCTTAAAACTGTAAAGGAGGCAGGTTCTAGAACTATTGGCTTGGCAGTGAACCACTTCAAATTATAAAAAGGTATTTACTTTTATTAATTAATAAATAAATACTAGATGATCTCAATTGTACCAAAACAGGATATCAGAAAAAAAGACCTGTGCAAAAATACATATTTAAATATGTACAATTCATTTTTAACAAAATATGTCTTCTGAAATAGGGATACTTCCATATTTATAATAGAACAAGAAATTCCAAAATAAAGATACAAAAGTAGGTTTTGTATAATTCTTTGTTCATCATTGCAGCACTTTTTTTTTTTTTTTGTAGGTTAAGAAAACTGCAGGAGTTGTCATGAAATTCTATTGGAAAGAATATAAAAATTATCTTGGTTTTAAATTGATACCAAAGTCTGTCTAGAAACAACCCAACCACTGCAAATTTGGTTTTTGCAAGTTAATTTAATTCAAAAAAATACTTGTACTCCCGTGTTTTAAATGGTCTTAATTATTCATCACCATAAAAAGTAGTTTAGGAGAAAATAAAATATTTGAACAACAGTCTAAAATTTAATAGCACTGTTTAGAATAGGTCTGTTTGTGGCAGACAGAATCCAAAATGGCTAATTTCCTAATCCCGATGCTCTGTGTATTACCGGGAGAAATAATGAAATTCATTTAAAACCTCAGTCTAAGAAATCAAATGTTCAATACTTGCTAATCTAAATATCTACATTAGTCTGAATCAACTTGTTATTGTGGATCCTATTCACATCTTTCGGAACAACATGATCGATCTGTAAATTCCATTGCTAAAGGCAACTTTATTTATAACCATCAAGTCCTCTTGGCTCTGAAAATAAATTCTACCCATACCCCATTGCACTTGTCACCAAGGAATCAACTAGGTACGTTCTGATTCCCTCTCACCTCTCTCTTCCCCGACTGGGATGGAAACCAGACTGATTTCTCCCAACTATGCCAAACTGGCCCATCCATGCCCTCTCCTTACTAAGCTCTCCTGTAGTATCATTTTAAAAACATTTACTGATTGATTGCATAATAATTGAACAAGATACTGTTCTCTCCTTCCTTTAAAAAAATCAGTATTTTACATCAATTTATAGCTAAAGTATCTGCATAAAGTTTTTGTTTTCTTACATAATAAGAATAATTCTGTAGCAATTCACATTATTAGGCTGGTAACCAAGTTTATTCATTCTACCTGTTGTTGACTTGAAATTCCCTGAAACTGAAGTTTGAAACCCAAGAACTGTAGGAAAAAAAGAATGTACTGACTGGCTCTCATCAGGCCCTGGCCAGGGCAACGATCAGCGCCTTGGAAATTTTACCCTGTGTTCGGCAACTTCGTGTGTTCTTCTAAGCAACAGTGCCTGTTACTCGTGTCAGGAGCCTGTAGTGGTGGAAGCACCCATTTAAAGGCTCCGGCTCGTCCCGGAATTCAATGACACCTTCTCCAAGCAATGCTGTTTTAACATATTAAGGTCTTTCTTTAGGGGTGGGGGGTGGGGTACTAGAAAAAATATCCTAGAGGGCTCCAAAACTCTCAGGAAGATGGCTGGTATAATCCCAAGAAAGGAGGGTGTGTGTCAGGGCAATCCTATACATGCATCACAAAAGACCTTCAGGTCAGGACTTACATTCTCTCCAACTCCCTTTCCTTGGTGTCTGCTCTCGTCCCCAACCACATCCAAATAAACATCTGAAGTGGCATGAAGGGGAGTGCATACAAAAACACACAATGCCAGAAGTGCTTGAAGCAGAAATCTACACTTAGTCCCAGGACAGTATCCAAAGAGAAAAACAAGGGTAATGTAGAGAGTGCCTTGGAAACATTTAAGTGTATCTAATAATGTCACTTTAAAAGGTGACTTTTAAAAATAGACCAGGTAGGACAACCAACCCAATCTGCCATACTGTTTACTATGAAAACTTAAAAGGATTAAGAAAATTTCATCTCTTTGGAAATCTTGAAAAAAGTTTTTTCTCCCTATAGTGATTTTAACTTCCTCACTCCCACCCTCCCCCGACCCAATTTGGCCTTCCTTTCTCAAAACTAGCTTGCATTTTCTTTCTTCTTAAAAAAAAAAATCACACAGAATTGCTTTTGTATCATGAAAAGTAAGCCTCCAAAATGATTTATACTTGCTGTCTGGGCATCAAAAATTTCAAACCAGTTTGTAAGTTAGAAACTTCTGACAGCTTCTTTTCCCAAATTACTCTCAAAAGGCTGGGCTATTTTGTCATGGTGTCTTGGGCTAACATCTATATTTCATTCCTGGAACATTGCTATCAAAATCTAAAGCCTAATTCCCTTCTTCAGAGGGTTGCTCGGGATGCAGCCCTGTGTTCTCTGGAAGGTTTCTGGTCTCCAGTTAAGGTGCCTAACTGCTGGAGAGTGACCTACAGATGACAGTGTTAAAAAAAAATGGTAGTAAAAGGAAGGAGGGAGAAAGGTCTACAGTAACGCTCTTGCCAAAACATTCTTTTGCCCAGCCAATCTACTTGAAGAGTGGCTCTGTGATATACTGCAAGTTAAAAAACAAAACAAAAACAAAAACTTCTCACAGATTGGTAGCAAGCAGTTCAGACCACTTTAACACTGATAAAAGCAATTCGGTGGCTGAACTTGATCCAGTGTCCTTTATGAGTACTCACTGCTAGAGACATAGCTTCAGGGAAATCCTCGTTAAAACAACAGCCCGGCAGGTTTCTACCCTTGAGGCCCACAGGAGGTTGGGAAAACAGACTCAAAGGCATCGTGGAGTCCAGAGTGCTGAGTGGAGGTGTAACTTGTCCTCAAAAGTGTCCGCATTATTCCTCCCCGTGCTATTTTCAGCTGTCAGGGACGTGCCTTTGGCTTTCAAAAAAGAGGGGGTGGGGAAATAATGAAATGGTAAGTAAGCGTTTGTACACTGCACTCTATTGATTCTAAACAAGAATATTCCAAAGGCTGCACGCTACTAAAGTCTCCATTGACTGAGTGACACCAGGAACAGTCAGCTATAGATTTTGTTCTTAGCTTTCAAATGCCTTCACTACTACTGGGCACAATCATTGCAAAGATTCACTTCTAGCCAACTGGCTAGAAGAGTTGCAGGCCTGGGTTTCTAACTTAGAGAAAAGGCTCTTATGTTTGCCTTTTGGTTTTATTTACTGATTTTGTGTCCTTGAAGGTATTCCAGTGCTTTTGTGTCCTTGAAGGTATTCCAGGTTGTTAACTGAGAAGGGAACAAGGTCAAGGGCTAGCACACACAGGTGTGACAGTTCGCACTCAAGGCAGTGCCCATGCTGGGGAGGAGGAAACTCTGGCATTCACAGTGGGCTTTTACATCTTTGGTGGCACAGGCCATGAACAGACTCTTGGGGGTGCCTACCCAACCCCATCATCTCCTAGGCTTCCCAGCATGTCCCACTCTTCATCCCCTTGTTTAGAAAACTTCAACTAGCCCAGTTATTTTTGTTTTAATGGCAGCTCCACAAGGAACAGCAAGTAGAGGTCCCTACTTTTGTAACAGCAGCATTCTTTAAAGCATTTTGGGGTCACGAGTCCCTTTGAGATTCTTATGAAAGCTATACGATAAATGAACAAAGACATAAAAATGTGCAATACTTCTTGGGGTTCAATGATCCTTTGATCTCTAAGCAAGCACCCCTGCTCTTGCCCCAGGATTTGTGTAGCATAATAAAAAGTATTCCTCTGCACAGAGAAAATCTCTCTCAAACACAAACTTAAGTGGAAACTGATTTTAACTGATTTTAAGGAAAAAGCCCAAAGTTAGGCTGTCTGTGTTGTTCTAGTAAGACATAGTGCCACTACATGGTAAAAATCAAAGGTGGCAAAATGGCAGGTCATGAGCCAAAGATGGCCCACAGATACATAGGCTATACCAGATTTAAGAAGAGAAAAAAAAGTGTGTGTGTATACGTGTGTGTATACATATATATATACACACACACATATATCTCAACTAAATTTCACATGCAAGTCCAGATCTGCAGCCTCTCTTTAAAACTGGTAACAAATGTCTGGAAGCAGCTGCTCCATGTCCCCCCAATTTCTAGTAGGCACTGTCAATCTCTGCTGTGCCCCACCTGGCCCCCCCCCCTTCTGTCCTTTTTGTTACTTGTGGGCATTAAGATCTACACTCCTGTCTAAATGAAGACAGTGTGCTCACTAATACAGATGTGAGATGGACATTACAGCACAATGGAATGCCCCTTCCGTGGGGATCATGTCTCTCTCAAAGACGGTGCGTTGAAGAATCGGCACACCATGTCTTCTGTGTTTATATTGGACTGTTATGCTTATAAACTGTAATGAGTAACTACAAACCAAGAAGGAAAAGCACACTTCTCATTTGTCCAGGAATCCCATGATCAGAATGCCAAACAACATATAATAACCCATAATGCATGCAGCTAGTTAAATTCACAAATATTTTCCCCATACCTTTGGCAATGGGTGTTAATTCACCCAAATATTAGAGGAAAATTATATCACACTACGAAAATACTAAGAAACTTCTTGGTATTTTCTGAAAAAGTCCTAACCCGGCTGGCATTTGAGTTAAGTTCTGAAGACGAGGAAGGGGAAAAAAAATCATGAAAAAGAGCCTCACATTTTAAGTCAGGGCTCTGGGGTGATGTTGCTGAAATTCCTGTTCGTAAGCAAGGTGAGGAGATATCCTGATGAATAAAATAACAAGATGAGAGATGAGCTGGAAGTTAGAGCAAAGGAAGCTGGAAGAAACAGCTACAGGTGAGGTCAGTAACAGGCAGAAGAGCTGGGACGAGACAAAAATACAGCCTAAGAGAGAAAGTCATGGTTAATTATGAATCCCACAACCACTTAGCCACTTCTCTACTGATGGGTTCATATGCAGACTTCTTTTTAACTATGAGCTTGGAATGAGATTTCAGTCTTCTGCTATGCCCATACTGAATCCTGTTTTCCTGCCTCCCTCAAAAACGGGAAGAGAAAATATGGGGTGAGATTTAACCAGAATATCTGAAATTCTTTTGAGAGGGAAAAATAATAAATGCTCTTTTTTTTTTGAGACATAGTCTCATAGGCCGGATGGAGTGCAGTGGCGCGATCTTGGCTCACTGCAACTTCCGCCTCCCGTGTTCAAGCAGTTCTCCTGCCTCCACCTCCTGAGTAGCTGGGATTACAGGCGTGCACCACCACACCCAGCTAATTTTCGTATTTTTAGTAGAGACGGGGGTTTTACCATGTTGGCCAGGCTGGTCTTGAACTCCTGACCTCAAGTGATCTACCTGCTTCAGCTTCCCAAAGTGCTGGGATTATAGGCGTGAGCCGCTGCACCCAGCCTCATTTTAAATCTTAAATCACCCCTTTCTAGATCAGTTTGATTTTAGCGCAGCTTTCCTCAGCGGAACATACTAAAGAACCACTATCCAGGAAACAATGCCTGCTTCCTTCCTTAAAGCCTCGAATGGCACACACTTCACAGCACTGGGATAACACATTACTGGCTATTTCATAAAGGGGCTACCCTCCAATTATGATTTTGCTGTCACAACCGATGCTTTCTGCAGCTCTACTAAAAATGCATTACTGTAGTTTCTTTACTGAAGAACATCTTCCAAAGGCACCAGAAATTCTGGCAGAAGAGCCTGTTTTACCTTCATACGGCCGTGAACCTTTTTTTTTTTTTTTTTTTTTTTTAAGAAGACACCATGAAGCTGAATATCTGTTTACAAACCAACCAACCAACCCAACCAAACACATTTCTGAGCTGACAAAAGATCTTAAGGGAGAAGAAATGGGCATTCCCATGGGGCTCACAGTCCATTTCCTACCTGATGAAGGAGGGAACTGTTCATCAGTCCTTGTGCCCCTGGGATGGTGCCTGTGTGTTTCATGTGGACATTGTTCACGGCTGGCACTTTGGCAACCTTTGTGGGTTTGCTGCTGCTGTTGTTGATGCTGCTCGAGCTGGGTGAGCACTTTCTTTTCTTTCCTATGAGTTTGTCTAGAGGAGTGTGTGAGTGGGAAAAACTGCCGTGGGAGTTGACAGGCAGTTCATTGGACTGGTGAATGAATGGCCCAAGAGAAAGAGTAGAATCACTGCTGTTCACCATCACACTCATCCTCTTGATGGATTCAGCAGGGCTCCCGGTGGGGGGGCCCCTCCCTGACTGGTCATGCCGGACGTTCACCGCATTTGCTTTATTCGTCACACAGTTGAGGCCGATGCTATGGGAAGATGTTACCGTTGAGGGGTAGGGAGGCCCAGAGTGAGCCACACAGTTTTTCCTAAAAGACTCCATGGAATGAGAAGAAGAGGAGGAGGAGGAAGAGGAGGAGGAAGAGTGAACCAACAGTGGGGAACTGTTTTTGCGTTTCTTTCCTGAGCCGCCACTGGTACTGCTACTGGCATTTTGACAGTTAGTGCTGTTACCAGAAGACTCCTTGGGCCTCAAAGATTTGCTGGATTTCAATTTCTGAGGTTTCCTGGACATGGGGGAGGAAGGAACCGAGGAAAGGCCAGAGGGCGTGGAAGGGGATGAGGATGAAGAGGACACTTGTCTGGATTGCATACTGCACACAGGATCCATCGCCCCTGAAGCAGCAGGCTGTGCATTTAGTGTGGTTCCATGAGCTGGTACCGATTTGCTATTTGGGGAGATGCAGGTAGATGAGAGCAGGACTGGGGATGTAGAGACGGTGGCTGCTGCCAGATAGCTGACTCCACATTGTGATGTCGGCACAGAGTTTGTCCGGTGAGGAATACGTGTGGAGATGGGTGAGGTGGTACTGGGCACTGGTGGGATTTTCCTGAAAAAAATTAGAGGACAGTGAATGACACTGACCACAGCCATTCACAGAGACTTTCAGATGGCACCACCCTCTTTGCTTGTGACAAAGAGAAACCATCCACATCAAAGCAATCACTCTGAACTACAAAGCCAATCCTGTCACCTCTCTCCTTCAAATTCTTTAATGCCTTCCTGGTACAGTTCTTACAGAACTGTATGTGTGCAACTCCCCGCTGCTATTGCCCCAGCCTCTAGCTCCACCTCCCACCCCCAACGCCCCCGTTCCCTGCTTCCAGCCACTGTACTTCCTTATATTCTGAGAAAATGCCATGACCCAATACCCCAGCTTCTGCTCATCCTTTAAGTGTCGGATTGCTAATCACCAAATCCTCTGCAGAGAGAGTCATCCCCAGCTTAATTACCGTTGTGGTCCTAGTGTTCAGCACAGTGCAGGAAACACAGAAGGCACTGAATAAATGTCGAGAGAAGTCAGGAATGAATGAGAGAAAAGGAAGGGTGCAGCTAATTAACAGCAACTGCTAGGTCATAACTATTGGCCTGAACAAGGGAATAAAGCCCCACAGTATCAAGGGATATTCAGCATGGTGTTGTAACAATGGATTCTGTTAAGAATGTGTGGGCAAGGTATTTATTAGGGGATGCGGAAACCATCTAAATTCAAACCAGGGAGGGTCTCCTTTTATTTTAGCTCTGAATCTTAAATGTGACAGTAACAAAATTTCAAAAACTTCTTTGGCAGAATTTAAACCGAGGTGGCAGAAGACAAAAAGGCCTGACTGGAAGGCAAGTGCCAGGATTGCCTTGATCCTGACTTAAGGGGTAGCCCTGGCTGACCTGGCCACTACCCCAGTGAGAGAGCTGGCCTAGACTGCTGCCCAGGTGATTTCCAGATGCTTTTAAAGACTACTGTTATTAATAAAATGAATTAATGACTGCAAGTATTTGCAAATGCTTTAAAAATCCCATTCGGCCAGGCGCAGTGGCTCACAACTGTAATCCCAGCACTTTGGGAGGCTGAGGCTGGTGGATCACTTGAGGTCAGGAGTTTGAGACCAGCCTGGCCAACATGGTGAAACCCCATCTCTACTAAAAATACAAAAATTAGCCGGGCATGGTGGTGTGCACCTGTAATCCCAGCTACTTAGAAGGCTGAGGCAGGAGAATCGCTTGAACCGGGGAGGTGGAGGTCACAGTGAGCTGAAATCACACTACTGCACTCCAGCCTCGGTGACTGAGTGAGGCCCTGTTTCAAAAACAAAACAAAACAAACAAAAAAACCCAAAACCCCATTCAAGGGTACAGCTCTGGCCTGATGTTAGTGCTTCTCAACTCCAGCTGTTGCACATTACAGTCACCTGTGGAGCTTAAGCCACATCCATAACGATTACACCAGCGTCTCTGCGGGGAGTGGGGACAGACATCAGTCATTTCTAAATCTTTCCAGGGGATTCTAATGTGGAGCCAAGATTGAGAGGCTAGGCTCTCTCTCCCCGCACTACTCATAGAGGAGGGTGGCAGGCAGTGTCATTAATTACCTGAGAGGTTGGTTAGGAAAACTGAGTTCCTGGGCCCCACCCTAGAATGATGCATCAGAAGCTGCATGGCAACAAGGCCCCTGGGTGATTCTGGAGCATTCAGAAGCCCTGCTCTAAATGAAGTCCAGGCCCTACTGCTCACTGGGAGCAGTGGCTTCTCATGACCACCAGGTGGCTCAGGAAGCCAGGGCCTAAAGACCAGGCTGCCTGGAACCAAATCTCGAGGAAAGGAAAAGCCTTCTAGAGCAGGGAAGGATGTGGATCTCTCCGGGAGGCAATCACAAGTTCCTCTTAGAAAAGCTCTTTTAAGTAGTTAATTACTCTTTTGTGTATAAAGAGGCAAAGTAACAATATGTACTCATACTGACTTGTGTTTGCATAAATAAACTATGTAGAGATACATAAAAAATAATAAAAATGTCTGTGGGGGCTAGGTGGAAAACAAGCATGTAGGAGACAGGAGGACTCGGTTTTCAATGTATGCCTCTTTATACTCGTTTTTCTTTTTTTTTTTTTGAGACGGAGTCTCGCTCTGTCACCCCCAGGCTGGAGTGCAGTGGCGCGATCTCGGCTCACTGCAAGCTCTGCCTCCCGGGTTCACCCCATTCTCCTGCCTCAGCCTTGGTTTTCCTTTTTTAAGCCCAGTGATTGTATTACCATTTCAAAAAGTAAAAAAAAAAAAAAAAAAAAAATACACCAACAAAAATCTTTGAAAACCATCCCAGCCCCTTCTTAGGGAATATGGGATACTGGTCCCAAATCAACAGAGGACAAGTAGTTCACAGAAATCATAGAAGGTGGGCAGTGGCCTTTCAGGTTATGGCCATGCTGCAGAGAAAGTGCTGGTCTAATTTCACCACTGGCCTGAGACTCCACAAACTGAAGTTTACTCATTTCATACTCAATTCCCACCTCACTTACCTTCAATTTTACCACAATAACCCTGTAAGGAAGGATTTTGGGCTGAGCCGGTAGGGTGGGACCTGGATCACTTTGAAAGTTTCCTTGAGGGCTTCAAAGATGCCAGGTGAGAATAGTTCTCTGGATGAGAAGTGCTGAGCTCCCCAGAGAAAATCTCAGGGGCTGCCTGAAAAGGCCGCCAGCACTCCTATGTTGGGAGGCAACATGCACCAAGTTCCCCTCTGCCCCAAGCCTATGTGTCAGCTCATTACTGAGCAACACGTCCCTTGTTGCTGTAGACTTTTTAAAAACCAATGGTCATGCTAATGGAAAGGGTTGGTTTCCTTCTCCCCGGAAGCAAGTAGGCAGCCTTCAGACAGAACAGAGTAGACAGCAGAGTCGACCTTATGATCTTACTTTTTAAAAAGTTCACATCAAGAGGAAAGTCTCACTATACAAGCCACTAGGAACTGAAACTATCTTTGCCCAAACTGTTGGTCATGAGCCACATACCAACATAATGTGGATAAAACATTCAGAAATCCATTCTAAACTCTTAGGAGTACATTAAACCCATAGTTTCATGAGCTCAGTGTGCTTTCCAACTCCCAATGGGTAGTCTGAAGAAATATGAAGTTGAGATTTCATGTATCTTAGGGAGTTCTGGTGTGGAAAAACCCCTGCAGAACCCCCAAACCCAGTCCCCTGATTCTGTGTCTAGCCAGGGACAATGTTCCTTCATAAAGAAGAACCTCTTATCCAGCAAGAACCAGAAAGAAATATGAAAAAGAAAAGCAGAGTAACAGTGCTCTGAATCTGGTGTTCTAAGGAAACGGATGTAAGTCCTGCTAATGATCATGGAGATGGTTCTTTGGGTTGCAGACAATCCAAGGCCTCCGACTAGCGTCTGACTTTATTAGGAAACCAAGGCAGGGAGTCAAATGAATGTACTGGCAGAGTCCATTTAAGGAGGCACTAGTAAATAATGCCCAAACAGAGGATCTGGGATGGCCTGGGGATTACTGGACAGTCACTTTAGCAAAGCTTACTATTCACCAAAGTCACTCCCACCGAATACTAGTTCTCCAAGATGTTCCCCTAAAAAAGGTTCCGAGGTGAAAAGAGCTTGGGACATGTTCCACATTATACATGACGTGACATTCCCTGCTTCAAGAGTTACAAAGCACAGTGCCCATTAAGGCTCTGACAAGTTCTGCAGTAAAAAACAGAACCTTTTTTTTTTTTTACAGGAAAGGCTGAGTTAAACCTTTTTGGCCATGGAACTCTTCTTCCACTTAAAATCCTGTTTGGGAAGCATTAGGTACATAATATCACACAAGGTGTCTTAAATTGCAAACTGGAGCACATGGCTCCTCTACCTAAAACCTTCAACACTGAAACAATTTCAGTGTCACCTGGCCCCTGCTGGTTTCTTGGACCTCATCCTTGTACTGTGCTCAATTTCTTGCTATTTCTTCAACAAACTGTCTTTTCTGACTCAAGACCTTGACACAGCTGCTTCCTTCTGCCCAGAACCCACTCCTCCCTACTGTCCCAGTGACTGCTGTTTCTCATCCATCCTTCTCAGTTCAAGGACTGCCTCTTTCTTCAGAGAGGCTTTCCCTGAATCCCTCTGGCCTCTGTATTTTCAGCTCTTTACTTGAAAACATGTTACCTCTAGGTTCAATTCCTGGCCCTACCACTAACTTGCTGCATGACACTGTATCTCAGTTTTGTCATCTATTAAAAAAACAAAACAAAAAAAAAACCAGGGGTGGGGGGAGGGTATAATCATGGTCACCTGACAGAGAATTGTGAATGTTAAGTATATTTAAGTTGTTTGGTGTATAGTTGGCTCTCACTAAGTCTTGCTGATTGTTATTGTTTCCATTCTGTCACTTAGGACAAGCTATCATCTCCTTATTCTTCTGTAGACTAGTTTTTTTCTCCCCTTACCCAATCCCAACTAGACTGTGAGCTCCATACATGTGGGAGTCCTTCTGCTTTGAATGCCAGCACCCACAACAATATGTAGTTGTGGGGTAAAGGGGTAAATGAATGAATGAATGACAAGGCACCTTCTTCTCAGGGCCAAAGGCCAGTTTTGTTTAGATAAGCATATCTTCATAACATCAGTCTCACAGGAAATAAAAGACAATGCAGCACTGTGTAAAGTCAGCTCCTCTCCCAAGAACAACAGGCACTCACTTCCATAGCTGTGCATTCAGATGCTTCTCCACCATGAGGTTGAGGGCGCAGCGAAGTCGATTCCACCTGGAGTCAAACACGTAATAGCCTCTTCCTATCTGCCGGCTCCCAAATGTGCAAAACTGCAAGAGAAAACATAGCCGCGTGCTTGCTGACTCCCACACTGGCATGCCCAGTCAGGGTTCTAGATCCTTCAGGAAAGGAGCTAATCAGGAAAGACAGAACTGCCTCTGAGTACCGGAGGCTGTGAAGCATGAGAGTGACAATGCCTAGCCCTGAGCGTCATGGAAGAGAAAGGGAAAAAAGCACGAGATGTCCCCCGTACAGAGTGTGTGCTGCCTCTGGGGCACCCTGTTTTGAACTTCTCTCACACCTTGACCGCGTCCCACACATACGGGCATGCCAAGATCCCTGGCGCGCCCCCCTGCAGTGCCCTGTCCATGCTGTGTGGGGAGGGTCAACGCGGGGGTGGACGTGGAACTTACAGATGCTGGCTGAGGATGATGACCTGAATAATGACAGTCCAGTTTTTCAACAGACTCTTCTTTGTCATCGCCTTCGCCCTCCTCACTGGATAACCGAGAAGCTGGCTCAGTGGCAGGCAGGGGAGGGTGTGGAGATTCATGGACTGGAGGAGGGTCAATGGGGGCACTCCCACCTTGCTGAGCAGGGCAGCCTGGAGGCCTTGGTGAGTAGAAAGTGCAGCACGGATCAGATCACACACCTGGGAATCAGCCACCTTAACTGAGATACAACAGTGTGTCCAAAACAACCTAGCAGAGGCCTGGGTTCCACCTCTAGCACTGGGGGAAAACAGATGCTGATCCAGGTGGCTTGGGAGTAAAGGAACCTCTCTCCTGAACTGCAGGATGTTAAGTTCAGCTGTTTGCCAGATACAATCAAGGTAACTTAGAACGAATCCTTTCTATTGCCATTTGGGTGGTTCAGATCCCTCTTCTATTCTCCCCCAAAGAAGGGGAAATACATGTGGAATTTAACAGAATTCTTTGATTCCTCTTCAAATTTCAACTGGATTTGGTTTACCTACACAATAAATGAAACATAGTTGTCCCTCGGTATCCATGGGGAATTGAGGCCAGGACCTCCTGGGGATAGCAAAATCTGCAAATCCACAAATGTACAAAGTGGCCTGATATAAAATGGTGTAGTATTTGCATATAACCTATGCGCATCCTCCCGTATACTTTAAATAATCTCTAGATTATTTTAGTACCTAATACAATGTAAATGCTATGTAATGTATTGTTTAGGGAATACTGAGACAAGAAAAAAAAAAAGCCTATACATGTTCAGTACGACACAATTTTTCTTTCCCCAAATAGTTTCAATCTGCAATTGGTGTAAACCACGGATGTGAAACCCATGGATACAGAGGGCTGACTGTAATTTGCAAAATGCTCTAAGATAACCTAGGAGAGACAGGAGGTGATACAAGAATAAGGTGGTATTACCACTTTATGTGGATAGCCTACAGCCTCTTACTCAAGGGCAGTAATGTATTTTTCCTACACCTACAATGGTCTCTGGAATTAAGCTTACATTTTTCTAGATGCAAAAACTTCAATGAGAAGATGACCAAAGAAAGGACTTGGGGAGGAAATCTCTGGCCAGGTCCTGACCACACTCTGAGGAGCCTCCTCTGATGGCTCCTCCAGCATACTGCACAGAAACCACAAAGCTCACGTTGGGACAGGCTCTAACAGGCACCTGGGTTTCCACGAGGGAGATGCTTCCACCTTTATGCAACCATTTTAAAGATCAGACATGTGAGGGTGAAATGGTAAGCAATAGCAGCCGAGGACTGGCACATTCCTCAGCAGAAGCTCTTGCTCCCAATAAATGAACGGCCAACACTGAAGCCCCTCTTTCTCTATGCCTTTCTCTTTCCCTTCCCTCTGGAAACTAGGTACAGTCTTTACTTCAACTTGGTTCAGTATGTAAGCACAAACACACACATATTCCACCATCACTGTCTCTGAGGTATGTGTATAAGTTCTCATTAAAACACTCTGATCCACTGTTTACTCTGCTACTAAAGTGCTAATACATGCTTGGGCCAAAGCCCCAAATGAATGAATGAAAACACATTGATAAACGGATGCTGTAAAAACTCAGGCTAAACGGCTTGTCCCTAGCAAGAATTCCCACTGCTATATAAAGACAAATGAAAGGGAAACTGCTGCCAAAGCCATGTGAAGAGTTCCTGTCACTAACCCGCAGGAAGGACCCAATTTCTGCCTGCTCAACAGAGTTGAGACACTTGATGTTCAGCAAGTATAGAGCAGATAACTCTAGCTTTATTTTGCTGCTTGCATTTACAACCAAGAGGAGCCCTGGTTGAAACTTACTGAACTCAACCTTTCCTTTTTTTTTTTCATAGTAAAACTCCTTAAAAAACTATCTCCACAGTGAGCCTGAGATATGTTTCTCAACAGCATGACCATACTGAAATTTTACAGTATCTGCAAGTCTCATCTCTGAAGGTGGGAGAAAGAGTTGGAGGGCCTGGCTTACCTTGGAAGACTGGGGGTGTGAGGTTTAGGTTTACTAGCTACAAAAGGCTTTGATTCGGAAGGAATCACTCCGTGAGGGTTTTGGTGCGGCTCCTGTGACGTTCTAGGAGGGGCGGGATGCGGGTCCCTGAGAGGCTGCGGTGGTTGCTGAGAGTCCGGATGGCGAATCAATTCCTTTTCCCTGGTTTTGTTTTTGTGCTCGGCTAATAACACATCAAATCGTTTTCTTCTACCCTGGACAGCCCTGCGCTGGGTTAAGGAATGTGTCTGTGGACCAAAAAAATACAGAAACTGAGGAATCTCATTAATAATTTTTGGTCTGCCTTATATCCCAAAACACCACTCCCAATAAATAAGCAATCTAGACCATAAGCATAGTGAAAGGCTACTCAGCATTTGATAAGCTAAAAACCTTAAGAGCCCATTATTTTCTCCCTAGCTAGACTAGAAGCATACGTTCTAGGCTCTAAATGCAGAAGAATCTGGAAATGTTATTTCCATCAGAAGAAAAAAGATATGTGAGCGGTGACACCTGGTATGTAACTAAGAGCAACCATTAGCGCTATATAACAAGTACTCATGTTTTGTGACACAACAGCAATTTGGTTTTGGGGGCTCTTATTGACTCCATTAGAAAAACCCTCTTTGGACCATTTAAAATTTTGAATGTTAATGTAAAGGGAAGAAACAATCATTCCATAAAACATGTATCAGAAAGTGTTCTTTTAGTAACTTCCACAGAATAAAAATTAAACACAATTGCGTCCCTCTATTCCAATGAAAATGCCATGCAAAAATAGAAAGTGGCCCAAAGCATTCTGCAGACAGACTGCCACAGCCAAGGAGCACTGGACAGAAGATGAGGCTGAGAAGAAATGCTATGAACAGGAAGGGAGACAAAGTAATCCCTATAGATAGACACTGGCTATGGAAATTAAGGAAATGGGATGGACAACACCCCTGGGTCTTCAGACAATGTCTAATTTCAGAATTAAGAAATGGATACACAGAGGAAAAAGAAAAGTCAAATTATGGCAGTGTTTGTCTTAAGGCAACCAATACACACACCTGTGGTTGAAGCAAATCGTATAAGAAAATGTGTCTGTAGTCCAAACGCATTTCATAGTTACTGGCATTAAAACAAAACAAAACAAATAAGCCTAATACTATTGCTAACAGAAGATAAAGTTGAATGTACAAGTGTGAACTGGTCAGAGTTGGGCAAATCTTATTGGCAGTTGAGTCCAATCACTCAAGTTAAACCTGACCATTCCATACTGCTGAGATCTCAGTCTGTAAAAATGCAAGGAGATGCTAATCCTGAGGAGTGGATGAGTTTACATGAGCTACAGTGGCCCCTAATCACATATCCATAAACATAAATGAATTCACCCACGTTTCCTTCTTTTATATTACAAAATATTGTAAATGTGTGTGTGCATGCCCCTACACATAATACAAATGTATTGGCATAGTTGGTACAACTTTAGGGACTTAAAAAGGGAATTATGCTTCTAACTACCATTTTCGGTTGAATAACACAACCCACCTCCTTACGAGACACACTGCAAACTATGTCTACCTAAATAATCTAACCTGGCACAGACAAATGTGTTTAGCTTTTTACATTTTTACTTGATTTTCTTTAATATGGAAAATATCCCTAAGAAAGTAACCTAAAGACCAGGAACTTTGTTTTGTTTGTGTTGTACCAGCATCTAGAAGAGTACCTGACGCTCAAATGCTTCAAACAAAAAGTTTATAAAAATAATGGCCCTCCAACGTGTGTTGAAAGAACGAATGAACATATAATATTACTGGTCCACCTGCCTGTCTCTCCAAGCAGATGTATAAACCTCTCCTCAGCTTGAATGTTCCCGGTGCCTAGCACAGTACAGCCAAATGAAGAAAGCAGGCAGATACATTTTCCCAGCTCAGTTTGAAGCCTAAGTAGGGTTTCCACTGAGCTGTGAAGAACATTCCAAACAGAAATCCGATAGGGGTTGCCCAAGGCTCACAGGATAAAGACTGACTGCATAACTAGGCTCCGGAACCCTGCACACTCTAAGACCCTTGCTTACTGCTCCCTGCTCCTTTGGTCCCGCGTACCTCTTCTTCCCTCTTTCTGTTCAGCCACCTGGCTGGCTTTAAGGTTCTAAGGAATTTGCTCTGCCCCTGTCACAGAGCCTTCACACATATTGTTTCCTCCACCTCTCCTACCTCTCCCATCCCTCTCAAGCCCAGATAAATCATCACATTGATTTCAGCCCAATGTTCCTATGGCAAGAAAGCCTTCCCTGGAAAAACTTCATTTTTGCAGGCTTTCATAATGTAGTCCTCTCATCTTTTTATAACTCATCAGTGGTAATTTTACAGTTATTTTGGTGATTAATACTCTCCATCTCTTTCATTAGACTGTAAGCACCACAAGCATAGGGAACACGTGGTTATTGTGCTAAACCCTTTATTCCCTGCGACCTAGAAAGAGTGAGGCCTGTGCTCACAGATGTACGTAATAAAAAGTTCTACAATGAGTGAATGGACAAAGGCTACAGGAGTCACAAATCTCTCCGCGTGGAAGGCACAGAGGACTTTCGACGGGATATTAGACAGATGAAGAAGTGAGGAGGGGCAGTGAGGATGGGAGACAGACAACAGAGAATGAGTAATGGGAATGAACAGCAGCAAATCCCCTGACGGTGAAGAGAACAGATAACGTTCTAAGTCTAAGACAGAAGAGACCTGGCAGCAACTTGGGAAACACTCAGGGTAGGGACATGCAGGCATGTTTAGCCCTACCAAGCTTAATAGATTCAGACCAACGTGAAGGCAAGGAAAAGGAAAAGAACTGACAAAACAATGAAAAAAAGTCAAGTCATCCTGTAAAAGGGCAGGCCTGGTGGATGCTGCATTTTCTGCCAGTTCTATGCTGATCTCATGACAAGCTGGGTCTCAAGACTTATTAATGCAATGACAGGCTTAGCCCAATGCCACGGAGAGTAATGACACCCTTAAAGAAGGACGACAAGGGGAGCATATATCATTTGAAAAGGAAGATGTGAGAAAAATGCAGACCCATTCAAAGTCACTCCACCTAGCAATAAAGGCACAGGAAGAATGCCAGTCAAGCTCCTTGAAGATTTTGAGTTGAAAAAAAACTTTTGGCAACCTCACTTCTGGGTAGTTATCCAAAATAACTGAAATCAGAATCTCAAAGAGCTATTAGAACTCCTATGTTCACTGAAGTATTATTTATAATAGACAAGATGTAGAAACAATATAAATGTCTGTCAACAGGTGACTGGATGAAGACAACATAGTATATACATACACTGGAATACTATTCAGCCCTTAAAAAGAAGGAAATTCTGCAATATGCTACAACAAGTATGAGGTAAGCTTGAAGACATTATACTAAGATAAATAACCCAGTCACATAATGACTAAACACCGCATGATTCCACTTATATGAGATCTATAATCAAACTCACAGAATCAACAACTAGAGTGGTGGCTGCCAGCGGCTGAAGGGAGAGCGAAATAAGGAGTTACTAATCAATGAGCATAAAGTTTCAGTTATAGCAAGATGAACAAGTTCTAGACATCTGCTGTATAATATTCTTTCACAGTCAACAATACTGTCTTGCACACTTAAAGGTGTGGTTCCCTGCCACGCTTTGTAAATGACTGAAAAAGAACATCTTGGGTTTGAAAAAAGCAAACCTCATTGCCCACAGGTACTGTATTACTGAGAAATCCATGTTACTGAGAGTCAGGTAGGCAGGAAGAGCGCAGAAGGAGAATGGCAAGTTGTGATCATGATGTGGACAGGGCTGAGGCATGCTTTCACACATTCTCTTAGGGACAGCTGAAACTGACATAATTCTACAGAACTCAGGTGGCTATCTTCATACACCACCACCACTACACCACTGTGTGTCCAATTAGTACCCTATACAAAAAAAAAGCAGTTTGTTTTATGAGAGTTTTTAACCTAGAAATCCAAGGATGGGCTTGGGGTGGGGGTGTCCATTAATCCAAGATAGAAAAATTCAGAATGTGTATGTGTATGCACTATTTTATTCTCGGAAGATGGACCGTGGTTTTTTTTTTTTAAAAATGAGATATTTAAAGGTACTCTTGACCAACCCTTTTCCCCAAAAAGGTTCTGAACCACTGTTGTAAGACAAAATCTATATACTAAAATTAAATTAGAAGCTTAAAGTAAGAACCACTTAAAAATTTCCCACTCCAGAAGACTGTAACATGCCTCCACTGGCTGGGGCATGGGACAGGGCCTGAAGTCCTTTATTCAAATACACTTTAATAAAATTTAAAGTAAAACACTAACAATTTTATTAATTTTTAGAAGAAAATGCTAACTTTTATCATTTTTACTTCCTCCCTCTAAGGTTTTAAAATTACATACTTCAAAGCAGTGACTCTGAATGCTTCTTGAACCTATCTGGGGGGTAGCTGGGGACACCCTCCAGAGAAATGCACATCAACATACAAGCTCATTTATGTAGAGGTGTTCACTGATGACCTGAAGCCACCCCACATCAATAACCCACACTTTTCAGCAAATATACCTTATTAGCATACTGGCATTTTAAAAGAAGGAAGACCCCAGAGCAAAAAGGAAGACCATTACATTTTCTTAGCTTGTATATAAATTATTAATATATTTTATCTAGTTTTTTTTTTCTCTTAAAAGAGATGGGTCTCGTAATGTTCTCCAGGCTGGACTCAAACTCCTAGGCTCAAGCAATCCTTCTGCCTCAGCCTCCCCACTAGCTGGGACTTACAGGCATGCCTGGCTTGCAGTATTTTTTTTTTAAACTAGAAAACAGGGATATTTCAAAATCACAGATTTTTTAAAAAGTGGTTCTTTAAAATTTAAGACCATGGGTGACACATTTTTTAAATGTTCATACACACGCAAGGGAAATTTCTGCACTTGCTTTAAGCCAGTATAATTTAAAGCACAGTCAAGGGTAGCCTATATGGAAATATTAAAAGTTTTTAAAAATAACAGACTGGGAGAGAACACTATTCCTGTGGATACAACACTGCTCATTAGAAACAAAACCTCTGTCAAGATTATAATTTATAACAACGCACTTCACATTTTGTCAATCTGAGGCTTTCTTCAACAGAACCAAGTTATTCCTTCACCTACACAATTCACAACAATCCACAGAGCATCTTCTCTGGGTTAGAGAGACTGTGGGAGTAGTGTGGTACATCCCAGTCACCCATGTTTATCAGGATGGTCGACTTGACTTTCAGGAGTCCACCTACCTTGCATGTCAAAGACCGGGTGCAGGGCTTCTTGGTGTCGAGATCAATAACCCCACAGTGGATGTCAGGATCAAACTCTCTTTCTGTCAAAAGAACACAGGCATTACATGTGGCCTGACAAACTCTCCTCCATGTATTTTTTAAGCAAGAAAATAGAAGAAATCAACAGTTAGATAAATTATAGCTGGAATAAAAGCCACATTATCAATAAAATAAAAAATATACAACGTGTGAGTGCTGCAACAAAGCAGCAACATCACTAAGACAGGGGGTGACTACTGCCATCAGATGGTAGAAAAGATATTGTTTAAGTCTGTATTACTTCCTTCAGAAATACACCACTAGAAAGCTACTTTTACATGACACACACACACACACACACACACACACACACACACTCATGCTCTTTAAAACCCAAGAGTGAAAAGAACAAACATATTAACTAAGGAACTTCCTCCTAAAGCTGAAGTTGACCAGTTTTAAAAATAGGAATTCTAGATTGCAGTTGATTTGCTCCCCACGAATGCCCATTTAATATATAGAGAAGCATTATGAAGAAAGAAAATTTGAAGTTACCTGATAATCTCTTATTTAAAAATTTCCTATTATTGGAATTGTCTTCAGGTTTCTTTTCCAGAGTGGGCGGTGCAGGAAGCCCTTTGCCATTCAGAATCTGTCCAGGTGAAGGCAAGGTTGGCTTTGGTATTGAGGGGCAGTTAAGGCCAGGCTTGACTAAGGAACTCACAGTAGCAGGACAGGTTGGCCCCACCGCAGATTTCAGTAGTGTGCCATCCATTTTCGGATGAATCTTTTCCACTTTCACAGAGGGTGTCATGCTGTCACAGGAGGAAGTGAGAAAACCAGTGCCTGAGTGCCTCAGCAGCCCCCAGGTGAATGGTGAGCCAGAGGGATGAGGATAGAGCCTGGGCCTACCCAAGCGCTGCACAGGGCCAGCCTCTTGGAAGGCTCCTTATGAGTTTTGTTAGTAAGGTTCATACTGATTAAGTCTATAAGCCCTTCTGGTGAGGCAAAACCCTCAGTGGACCATCAAATTTGCCTGGTCTTTCATCATTTCAAAAAATTTTACACATGAGGCAATGGGAAACTCAGACCTGATACCCAATGCAATGCAATTTCTATAAGAAGCAAAACATGAGAAGGTCTAAAAGAAACAAAGACTATTTGCAGAACCCTTGGAGAATATCTTTTGAGGACTGCCATTTGTACGAAAGGATTCATCAAAACAAAGTAAACTTCTGAGTGAGCAAATATTTCCAATAAATGTCACTAAAGACTTATGAGAACTCAAACATGCTAAATAACATATCTCCAAGAAGAGGTTCTTTGCTTCTGTCAATAAGGGAGACTAGTGTTTAATAAATATATGTTGTGTCACTAAAGTGGTAATTCTCCAGTCCTTGAAAAATGTTTCTATGACAGGAGCTTAGGGAATACCTGTGCCATTAACAAAGATATGAATCTTGGAATCTTACTGACACTATCATTTTGCTTGGTAAAACTGAAAATACTGGTAGGAAGCTAACAACTGGCCTGGTTCCTATCTAAAGGCCTAGCTCTAAGTAAAGAAGATTTGAATCAATGAGGTTGTATAAACTTTGTTCAGTGGAGTCAGTGCTCTAACAGCTGTTAAGCTGGCCAGTGACTTACACACTACACTGGCACCGTTTGTGGCTTTCAGACTGC
The DNA here is from genome assembly GCF_000001405.40 of Homo sapiens. Lineage (NCBI taxonomy): Eukaryota > Metazoa > Chordata > Mammalia > Primates > Hominidae > Homo > Homo sapiens. Next base: position 63,981,317 of record NC_000003.12, on the reverse strand, counting down.
TCCCGGAACAAAAACCAAGCTTGCTGTACTGTACTTCTGACAGAAGAACAGGGGCTGGGGGCTTAGCAACCAGGACAAACAGCCCCAAACAACTGTACCTGGAATAGCCTGACAGCAGTAGAGAGACTGCAAGATGTCACATCCTCTCCCAGCTGGCAAGGTCCTTATGCAGCAGCAGGTGCTGGACCCTACCCTGAGATTAACCAGGTTACCGGATCTTGGACCTACGATGTGTGCTATACCCTCCAAAAGCAGGCTGGCCCAAGAAAAGCCATCCGTCACCAGGCTGAGGGATGCCATGACAAGGCGAAGCATGTTCCTATTGGAGTGCGTGGCTGCTCCCTCACGTGACCTCAAGAAACCTGTCAATCTACTGAGTGACCATGGAAACTTGCCAAAGCCATGCCTGGCAGGTGTGAACTTCCTTCAGTCTTCCCTCATCACTGCTGTGATGTGAACCTAAGGCTGAAGGGAGGAAGCACTGCTTCCCTATTTGCTCCGTAGACCCCCAAAAATTCTACAGCAGCATCTGGGAATCTCTGCATCTTTTTATCATTACTATTATCCACAGCAGCAGTAGCAGGAGTGCCAGTATCCATTTGTTAACCGTCCCCTATGGCCAGACACTATGCCAGGTGCTAGACATATATTAACTAAAATATTCTCAATAACCCAGCATAGTGGCTGTTATTCTTAGACAGAAACAGTGCCTTGCCCAAACCCCTACAGCTAAGAAGTGACAGAAATGGGACACAAATCCAGGCCTATGTGACTTGAGGCCTTTTTGGACAAAACTCCCCCACCTCACGAAGCTTCCTTCTCCTCATCTGGAAAACGAGGATAGTAACAGTACCTATTCCATAGGGTTGTTGTGATAAGTGACATAGTACACACATAGAGTTAGGTTTCAGTAGCTAGCACACAAGAATGGATCAATAAATGTTAGTAACCTTATTATCACTGCTATTACTACTCTGAAAAGTTTCCTATGACATGACAGGGAAACATCAAGAAACAATACAACATACATTTGAATTCTTCCCCAAGTAGACTCTCTTTTATATTACTCACAGGCACTCTCACATGCCACTAGTGTACACAGTTTCATTTCCAGCAGGTAAGCTTTAAAAACCCTCTTGGCCATACTCACATTCTACCATGGGGAACTCTACTTTGCTGAATGGGATGCATTGGCCTGGTGTTCCCCCTGAGCTGCAGTTTCTCTTTGGGTGATTTCAACAACTTGGAACTTGATGAGGATGCGCTAAGAACACCTCCACTGGAAGAACGGTTGCTTCCACTTGCACTGCCTCCTTTGCTTTTGGACAGAGAAGGGAAGAAGGAAAATACTGAAGTGGGAGGAACGGCCAAAGGCGGCTTGCTGGATGAGCTATGTCTTCTTTCTGAAAACGAAAGCAAAGAAAAAAAGACATCATGTTTTAGGCGAATCTCAAATGTAATTCTGGAAGAATTCCCTGAAATCAATATATTCAGGTTAAAACACGTGTCGTTAAGTGAAGGTATGTTAAACTCAGCAGACTTCAGAAATGGCTCATCTAGGCCCCACAGACTTACTTAGCATTCTAGGAACGGGTCCTTCTCTTTCTGAAGTATCTCAGCATAAAGAGTTTTATCACATACACCCATCAGGAAATTAGACAACCATCGTAAACATGAGAATATTGCCTTTTGGGTTTTGCGTGCTAAAAATGAACCTCATTGGCTCCAACTTGCATTAAGAGAGAGGAAAATTATTCATTCATCTGCAGAGCTCTGCTAAATGACACTGCAAGCAATTCTTTCTTCCTTTCTAACACCGCACCTCTCTGATTTTCAAAATAGCAAAATCTTAAGAAACAAGTTGTACCTTCTTTTTTTTCCCTGTCACTACCCACCAGCAGATGACACCAAATAAGAATGTTTCTAGGGTTATCTTATCGTTCCCTAAGAATCTGTGCTGAAATTTTCCAGTGAATCATTTCACTTCCCACCCCCCCTTTTTTAATAATCTCACTTGACTACAGATGGCATAGCTCCGGTTCACACCGCTAAGATGCCAAAGGCGCAAGACAAAAATACCACAAATAGCTACGCCTGTTTTTTAAACCAGGAAGTAATTCATGGTTAAGTACAGACTACAAAGGTTTAGCTGAAAATAAATCTATCCACTGGAGAATCAGGTTTTCTTAGAGTAAGGTAATCCATACTAATATAAATCAAGAGCTGTTGAAGAATGTTACCATCAGAAACAAGTAAATCATTTGGTAACTTTATCCGCTTGAGTACCTTAGTGGCTGCCTTTAATTAATTAATTTAAAATTACACATTTGCTTAACTCTAAGTTTTAAAATGCATGTGATCCAACACTGCCTTATCACAATACAGGAGCTATATAAGTATTTAAAACATTAAGCACATGATGATCAATGACCACAAGTAAGACTTCAATGGTTTATTTCCAAAGATCTTCTTATAGCAGTCCTGAGCTTCTTGGTAAAACTGTGGTGACTTATTCCTGGAAGGGCATTACTTCAATGATGGCTTATAAAGTACTTAACTGTGTGTTCCACATCAGGACAAAATTATTATCCTAGCTATCTACAGACAAAATTCAAATTTCTATTCTCCAACTCAACTACACAAAGGCTACAATCAAGTTAGGAAGGTTAAATTGATAGTGATTTATAAGTGCCTTTTGCTTTTTGTTCACCCCAAAATGAAAGCTGTGTATAAGGAATAAAAAACTAAAATAAATTCAGTTCGGCAGTTTTCCAAATTTGGCATCTGAAGATGTTTTTAAATTTAGTTTTTCTCTCTTTTATGATCCCAAACACTCTGAACATACTTTTAAGCATCAGCACTTGTCAGCCAGGATTGTAAACATGTGTTTGCAGTTTTGTCACCTGCCTTAGACGATACAGCTTCTGTGGGCCATGTCTCCATTGTCTTTCTCTGTAAGGCATGGGACAGAGGTCTTCAATTAACTTCTGCATGACTAGTAAAGCTTTTCTTGTGAAAAGGAGTGATTTTGGAAGGCCCTAGACCAGTGGCTGTCAACCTTGGCTACCCACTGGAATAACGTAAGGAGCTTTAAAAACACTGATGCATAGGTCCCTCCCTCAGAGACTGAGTTAATTCGTTTGGGGTGTGGACTAGGCATCCAGATTTTTGACAAGTTTCCCTGTCTGATTCTACTGTGCAGCCACGGTTGAGACACTACAGTAGACCAGGCTAATGCCTCAAGAACCATTAACCACAGCTGAGTAAGTTATCATGTGCATGGCACTGAGAATACTGCCTGCTACAAGGCACTAAAGGGTTTGTCAAATGAAGCTCACCACTACTACTTGTCTTGAATTAGTGTTTTCCAAATTTTCATCAACTGCAAACTATTTTCATCGTTCTTACCAAAGCTACATAAAATACTATTTTTTTAAAACTCAACATTTTAATTTACTTTATCAATTCTATCATCTCCTCCTCCTTACTCTAATACTAGCCAGTCTCTCATGGGGACATCATTGGTATTTCAGACAGGACAATTCTTCATACAGGATTTCAGGATGGTTAGCATTCCTACTCTCCTACTGCTTCTTCACCAGTAGTGCCCGTCTGCCAAAGACAACCTGAAACCACCCCCTAATCCATTTCCAGATGGGCCCCAGAGTGAAGCAGGGCACCTCTACCCTCAGCTGAGATAGATTTTTTTCCAAAACAATAGTATCTGTGAAACAGTAAGTTCAATAAGCTTATTATATAAACTGAACATTAAAATATTCATCCGTGTTTATCTACAAAAATCACCTTGTGTACCCCCTGAAACAGTGCACTAAAGGAACAGCATGTCTGTGATATGAAGAAGACAGAGAAAACCCTCAACTAGAACTCTGACTTTTAAGAAGTACACTCTAGGTATCAGAATTCTCAAGCAGGTGTCTCAGAGCAAATGTGTGATGTATTTTCTTTGAAGATCAAATGATTAGATAAAATTCTCAATCGAATTAAATACCCTCAGTTCTGCTATGAAGCTTGTTTTGAGAATGCAAATGCATTCCAAAGCCACCGATATACTAAGAAACAATTTGAACATACTGAAATTTTGCATTCGCTTTTTCATGATTTTTGTCTGTAAGAAATACCAGGTGAACACAGAAAACTATACCTGGCTGAAATGAGCCACGTAGGAAAACACAAAATGCACAACCCCTCAAACTTCCACCATCTACCTCAGTTCACCACCATGGGTGTTATTAACCACACCCAAACACAGCTGATGCTACAGTTTTTCATCCAATTTCAGATAACCTCCTTCCATGACTTCACAGTCAAGCTGCAACCCTTCCCACGCCTTCCACAAGCAAATGCCAGGTCTTTTCAAGGTAACTGCCATGTTTATTCTAGTATTTATGTATTTTTTTACCATTTAACATTTGTAAGACTGTGCTACCCTTTTCATTAGGTTCCTATGTTTTTCTGTGTGTGTCACTGATGAGGTCTTTGAGTGTTGTGCCATAACCCTGTTTTCCCAATAAGCCTCATGTGGTTTTTGTTGCGTAATTTTGCATTGTGCAGTAATTTTTTAGGAATGCATGTTGTGCTATAGCAGAACTGACTGTAACTTTAAGCTTGTCCTTTCAATTTTCCATTCCCATCACTGTCCATCCTCCCCGTTTTCTTTGGTTAAAATCTTCTTTTCTTGCCTATTAACTCTTAATATGGAATTCCACTAGAAAAATCAAGGTTCAAAGCTTCTTAAGTTAAAAGTCTGCTGATGTATCGATAATATCCCAAAAAAGTCTATTTTCTACTTCAATAACAATAAAAACTATTTAAAAACTAAGAATGACAATCTATCATGTGAATTTTTCATTCATTAAAACTTGAAACAGATTGTGTGTGTGTAGTGTGTGTAAGTAACTGAGATTCTGGCTGAAAAGTGCCAGCTCAAATTCTTGTCATGCTACTGAATTATCACGGACTGGTAACTTACTCTGTGAAAAGGACAGCATCTGGCTTTCCCCCCACAAGAAAGCAAGAAGGAAAAACCAAATTTATTGTAGTTGAGTTGGACTCCCCTTATCCTTTCACTGAGCTCTTATTTTTCACAGGATTTTAAACTGGGCATCTAGCTCTAAAAAAGTGTTTGCTCCCAGATCAGAAGAGAAGTGGGCAAATTATAGGTGGGGTTAGGGACCCTATATTAAGTGGACAAAGTGGTGGCCAGATGCTGAGCACAACTGCAATGTGGTCTGCTGAGGAGTCCAAGTTGAGTTTTCAAAGCGCTCCTCTCTCCAGGATCTGGCACCAGCCCAGAGAAAGCACACTCTGTCCCTGAATGAGGAGGGCATGATGAATGGCTCCAGTAAGGGAGAGACAGGCCGACTGACAGACAAGTACAGACACAAGAAAAGAGCAGAGACAAAGAAAGACAAACATGCCTAAGTGTGTATGTGTGTGTTGTGCTGGGGAGAAGAGAGGGAGACAGAGCTTCATGGGGCTCTTTCCCCTTGTGGCTTCAGTACGTCACATGGCAAGGACAGGATATTAGTAGTGGTGTAGGAGGGTGGACAGCTCTCTATAGGTCTTCCAAAATAGAATGCAACCAATACTAAGCTTATAATTCTGAATTCACGCTGAGATTTTTTTAAAGTTATAAGTATTAACATCCAGGTACACACCAAAAAGGAGTTCAAAGCAAATAATTAGATCTTTTTATATCATAAATATTGCTTTGAAAACAACTAAAAATAATTTACAGTGAGCAACTGTCAAAATTAGGGCACAAATCTAAAAAGCAGTCAAAACAAAATGTAACTCCAAATGCTAACATTCATACTCGAAAATAATCTAGAAGGATATATGTCAAGCTTTTTAAAAAGTGGTTATTCCCAGGATTATGGCTCTATTTTTTAAAACATTTGTGTATTGTTTTTCTATAATGAATACAGTTTACTTGGTTATCAAATACATACTTCTAAAGAAGAAAAATTTGGTGTTCTGGTTTCAATTTTACACATGCCAAAATAAAGCAAGGCATACTATCATTCCTGAGCATAGTATCAATTTGTCCCATTCTCAACGGGTATCATGCAAGTGGCTAACTACTAAGAAACCCCCACAGAACCTGAATTAAATATCTTCAGTTCTGCTATAAAGCTTGTTTTGAGAATGAAAATGCATTCCAAAGCCACCGATATACTAAGAAACAATTCGAACATGTTGAAATTTTGCATTTACTTTTTCATGATTTTTGTCTGTAAGAAATACTAGGTGAACACAGAAAACTGTAACTGGCTGAAATGAGCCATGTGGGAAGATTCAAAATGTACACCCTCAAACTTCTACCATCTACCTCAGTTCACCACCACGTGTATTATTAACCACACCCAAACACATCTGATGCTACAATTTTTCATTCAATTTCAGATAACCTCCTTCCACCATCTCATGGTAACTCACAAGCTGCAACCCTTCCCATACCCTTTATTCAGGGCTCTTTTCTTATAACTTATTAAACATTTTACTAATCTTTTATAATCCAAACAACTGGCTGATGAGAAATCTCACCTTCAAGAACAACAACATCAACAACAGCTGCTACTGTGTACTGTGTAGAAACCACATGCCAGGCACCATGCTACGGGATTTACATGGATTATCTCATTCAATCCTGACCATCTTTCTAACAAAGTAGATACTATTATTAACCTCACTTTCCAGATGAGGAAGCCAAGGCTTTTAAAGGACTCAAGTCAGTTGTCCAACATCACATGGTTACTTAAGAGGCAAAGATGGGTGCAATCCCAGGCAGGCTGACTCCAGCACCTGGGTGAAAGCACAAGGCAACTTGCCTGCTCTGAAATGGCATTATTAGCAAGTCATAATACATGATGGAGGGGCAGGGATAAAGGTGAGGGCTGGGGCATAAATCAGTAAGAAGCCCATCTTCCCTAAGTGCTGGGCAAAATCAGGTTGTTAGTGTACAAGTCTGCATAGGCTGAACATTTGTCATCGATGACAGTTTTTTGGTATATTCAGGGTGGGATCCAGAATATGTTTAAGGGAAATCCAGATTGTTTTCGATTTCATCTTTCCATTTTGGAAGTTGCTAAGCTAAAAATCAGCTATGGGTGTGTCAGCCAGTGTAGCAATTCCCTGCTTGGAGGGTCTTAAAGCATCCAAGATGGTTTTGATAGAGGCAGACAAATGCCTAGAAAGACAGGGGAGGGTCTCCGACGAAACCCCACCTCCAAGTCGAAGACAGTTTAAAGCCTGAAAACCAAGCTACAGGTTAAATCCTAGGACTGGATTAAGAATTTGTCTTCCCATTTGGGATGCTTTCCTCTAACTGGTCCCCACCCTTCACCTATTTTTATATATACTTACCCTTTCCAAATTGGTTTTTCTACACTGTCATGCCCACCTTTGAGTTGTGCCTTCCCTTTAAACTTTTTTGCATACTCACAAACCAATCAGCAGGCACTCCCCATTCTGAGTCCATAAAGGGCCCCAGAACCAGCCACATGGGGGAATTATTCCCCTCTCCCTGAATCCTCTCTCTGCTTGAAAGCCGTTTTCATTGCTCAATAAAATTCTTCTCCACTCTTCTCACCCTCCAATGTTCCACGTATCCTCATTCTTCTTGGGTGCAATTCAAGAGCTCAGGAACTGCCAAACGCAGGTACAACCTTAACACAGGCAAGCTGCGGCACACCCAGCGTGGCCGAGGGAGGCCCAAGCAGGGCGTATCACTGGCCGGGCATCCCTGGTTTGCAGAGTGACCAAGAAGAAAAATCCTGCATCAGTTTGAAGAGTGAACTGTGACAGAATGTGCCAATTGGGGCTGTCTTTATAGCTTGGCTAAAAAGAATCAACTTACACAGTTTCCAGGTGAGGATGCTCTACAAAAGACCATCAGCAAACACCTGCTCAATAGGGTAAGGCTGGACCCACCAACCAATACACAACACAATATGCATGCTTCGAGTCACTCTCAGGTTGTTTATGGTCACCTTCCCAGCAGAGGCTCAGGACTGCTGGGCACAGTCTTGATATGTATGGGTTGAGTAATCAGCCTGAATAGAATCCAAATCAAATAAAAACACTTTTTAAAAGATTACCTGAAAAGGGCAAGAACTTTAGAGTCAGGGATATGTGGGTTCATATCCTTGCTCTGCCAGTTACTAATTGGGTGACCCTGGGCAACCAGCTCACTCCATCCTCGTTGGCAGCGTCTTCAGTTGCCAAGCCTACTTTGCAGGGCTGCTGTGGATTAAACGATCAAGAGTTGCAAAGCCTGCAGCACAGAGCCTACTGTGGACCAAGTACTGGGAACACATCAGCACATAAGACAGAGGCCCCCTGTTAGCTTGGCTGATACCAGCTACAGGCTTGTTTATTTAGACAGAAAAGTACTCACAAATAACACCTCCTGACTTCTAAAGGAGGTAGAAATCACTTAAGAACAAATCAAACCCTCTTTACTGTAAGTTATCTTCTCCAGTGTGATAAGGATTTAGTATACATATTTTTACGTGCCATTTCAGGAAGATATCAACCTCTTCTAAGATAGGAGCTCAGGGGAGCAACTTTAAGAATTCATTTAAAAATCAGCAAATTCACACCAAACAAAAAGAACATTCATTCAAGCTAAAGTTATTTTACAAATAAAAGGCTGGCTCATTTTCCTCACAGAACTCAGAAGACACTCAGGAAGAACTGCAAGTAGAATAAAATGAAGATCAAGTCTCAAATTCAGTTTACAGATCCAAAGGTGGAAATTTTGGGCAGATTTTCTAAGTAAAACCCACATATTTTTCTTTAAATGAAACTCACTCACACTTTCAGATAGACTCAGTTAAGGTTAAACAGAGTGTGCACTCTGCATGGATGGGCCTTATGAGAAATACCAATGCATGCTTCAAGGAATGCATGACTTCATGCCTTCTGACAGCTCCATTCCACAAACATCCCATAATGACGCCCATTTAAAGCAAGGACTTTCAATAATGAAGGTTATACATGGCTATAAAATGTAAAACATAGGTAAACATGCACACAGTCTTTGGCCAGTCACAGTAAGTAACAACGCATGTATCAAAAGCTCAGTTTAAAAACTTCAGGTCATTCATTAAGCTGTCCCTTCACAAAATTATTTATTGTTTATTTTTATGTCCAGGTTGAAAAATAACTGCAGCTTGCTATTATACAGCTCCCAATTAATCCAAACTGTCATAATCCATTTCCAGGCCACCAAACACAACTCGTGAGGTGTCAATTGGCATCATGTGTCTTTCACAAGGATTATAACTCCTTAAGAAAACATCCAAGAGCAGGACCTGAGGCAAACTAGAAATAAAGACTGCATAAAACAAAAACAAAAACAAAAACAAAAAAAACTCAGCACTTTTTTCTTACACATCTACTTTGCTCCAGACTAGTGTTTTCCCTAAACTTTTGTTATTCACAACTAAACCATATTTTGGATCCTTTTCCAAATCTGCACAATATCTAGACCATTATTTACTTAATATATTTTTTAAAATTCAGTGGCTGACTAGGGACTAATTTAGCATTATCCTAAGCAATAATATCTCTGAAAGAATGACTTTGTATTTGATGTAGGAGTTTTTTATATATATATGTATATATTTTTTCTCACGAATATTAAAAAATATTTGGCATACCATTGAAAATCACACCATGGACTACACATGAACATCGAGCATTTAATATTTCCTCACTACTTTCATTGTTGTCAACTTTTCCCTCTAAATTTTCTTATTCTTCTTAAAAGCACTCACATATGGCCTGACAAGCAAACATGGTCCTACTCCATCCACTCTTTGTAGTCCCAGGTCCTTTTTATTCCTAAATCTGCTTTATCTTTGATCCAATTTCTTTATGTTCCCCAGGCACTTGATGAAACTATTCCAGAGAGAGCTGAGTGTAGTCTAATTGCTTAAAAGGAAGCAAGTCGGTGGGACTGTCCCTGGAACATTCAAATCTCAAGTTGGGGAATTCAGAACTGACCTCTGACATGCAGTGCCTCAAAGGACAATTAGCCAAAATTGGGGCTGGGAGGCAACTCCAGAGCATGCTTAGGTGGGTTACAAATGGCACTGGAAAACACTGAGAAAGAAAAAGTCCTTGCCACAAAGCACTCGGCATCATTTCCACTAGAGAGATTTAACTGAAAAGGATGATTTCAACACTGGCTGCCCTAACAAATTAGTCTCCAACTGCTACCTCTGCCAAAGGCATCTCTCCTCCCCCTAATGCGGAGGTGCTTTTAAATTAAAACCTAACGGGAAAGTGCAGAAAAGAGAGTCATTTATAGCACTTGGGCCACTTGAAACAACTTTTCACCAAAGGTCCTAATCAAATTATCAAGCTCTTGAAGTCAGCGCTTTATGACATAAATAAAGGCCCCACTAAAGTATTCGGGTCTCCTGGCATTTCCACGTCTCTGGGCAGAGCGCGCACTGCAGCATACCCATTCACACTGGCTGCATGAAAGAGAACAGATCACAAAGGGCAGATTACAAGGGAGAACGACTCCACTCCAGTGGGGGAAGGGACAGGCGTGAATGGATTGTAAATAATGTTGCTAAGAAAGGAGCAGAAATATGGCAACCTCAAATAATCCTCTTGCCAGGAATTCTTCCCAAAAGGACTGTTCTTTCTAAACTCTGCTTTCAAGTATGTGAGAAATATGAAAAAGTTATTGAATATCTGGGGGATACTCCTTCCCTGCCTAACTTGTTGCTTTTTGCAAACATTTGTAAAAGGGCTTTAAAAAAAATCCAAATATTTTATTGAAAAATACGGAATGATAGGGAAAAAGAGGAGGTACAGAATGTCACAACAGTTGATCACCTCAGCTATGAGTATAACACCCTTTTTTTTTGTCTTTCAAAAAACAGCTTGTCTTACATAAAACTGAGTGGTCTGAGTGATCAGTTCAGTTCCTGAAGGACGCCCTTTTTATGCTCCTGCAACCCTGTTCAAGGTGCAGACTTTTGACCAGAGGATTATCATCCTCTCTAACACATGCATACACACAACACTTAGGGAAAGTACATTTTGGGAAAAGGATGCTGTTGCTTTTGAGTGTTAACACAACCATCCAACTGTTTATGCCACCTCTGTGATCTTTATGTCACTGTTTCTGACTACAGATACCACACAATGAATGACATGCTGGCTGACACTTCTACTTTGCTAACAGCCATAAGGACTTCTCTCTGCTATCCTCAGAGAGCACGGTGTTACCCAAATGATGCTGACAGAGTACAGCAATAAATCACCCTGGCCGATTTATTTGACCTCACTATCTGAGTGATGCACATCATTTTGTAAAATTTCACTCCCCTTTCTCCCTCTTACACCATCATTCACTTGAACTGTTTCTATACCTCAGGTATACAGGTGAGAAGAAAAGAGAGAGCCAAAACGAAAATCCACCAGTCTCTAGCTACTTTTGATTCAATCCTCTATGTGTTAGGGAAAAGAACACTTTAGAATTTTAGCAATTTACCTTTATAAGGATAGCCTTCCAATTTGTTATACTATCTGTAGTTCAAGCATCAAACATACTCAGTCTTTACACAAGTATCTCTATAGTCTCAATTTGGTCTAGGTCACTGTTTTCCCAAATGAAACATATGGGCTATTACCAAAATGCTAAAAGACAATTAAAAAAACAAAACAAAACTATGCCGTTAACCACTCCAATCCAATTTTTACAAAAACATAAAAAGAGAGAGAATAAAAGGAACCTGGTAAAACTCAATTTAGAGGAGCTGCCTTGTTTTTGTTTGGTTGTTTCTGTTTTGTCTTTTAAAATAGAAATTTCTGTGTAGGAATCCCAACAGGGAGCATCATCTTCCCACAGTCCAACAAACAAGAGCAACTCTGCAAGGTACAACGAAATGACAAAACTATCTGCTGAAAAGTGCTACACTGAGCCAGTCACAATCCTTATTGCCATTTTCCACTGGTTTTATATCCTTTTTATATCACCTTATTCTGGGTGGGGGAGGGCAGAATACCTGAAGACCAGAACATGGAAATAAGAAAAACCTCACATTTTGAACACAGCCTTACAGATTCCTTCATTATACATTCTTTTAATAAGGAATGAGTGATTAATTACCCAGGAATGCCAATGTTTTCAATGAGTCTGCAACACACATTTATTTTTTCTGAAGAGAGAAACAGTATCTGCTCCACCTGCATGCCAGGGCTGTCAACTAATAAAACATCAGAAGTGACATGCAAAAACGAAAGCAGAAACAGTGAACCTAAAACTGTCTGACAAGAGTTTTCAGAAAAATCAATTATAGAGAATCAACAGCAATTTGATTAAAGGTTTAAGATCTTTTCATATTTAAAGTCCTACAACTGGGGAGCTCAATTTCAACCTCAATTAAAACCTTCCGGTCAAGCTCATTATTACACAAGGCATGAAATCTGAATCCCCTGAAAACTGAAGAACTCAATTGACACCTCACTTCCCGCATGAAGACAGAAGGTCTGAGACAGGTAAGGTAATATTGAGACCAGCCTCCACACATCCACCCAAGAATCAGCTTAGCTCTGCTGGCTACCTTAATAACACAACTAAAAAAAATCATCTTTTCTGGCAGTCAGTCCATAATTAAATTTTTATACACTCAATTTAAGTTACTGAATGACTTCCCAGGGTTACTGTTTGTATTTTGAAGTTGTTCTTCCTCTTGACGCAGTGTTCTGTTTGAAACTTTGCTGTGGAATTGAAGTATCTGACAAAACAGCTTTCAAACACATTCTACAGGAAACACTGCAAACTGCCTGTCATGAAACCTCACTTACCACAAGTAAGATAAAAAACAAACAGTTAAAGCGTGTTACAACGTTCCTCCATTTTTAGAGAGAGATGTAACCAATACTCTCTCTGTTTTGAGATATGGGAACTGTTTGGTGCAAACCTCAGCATTTTGTTGGAGTTAATAACAAACTCGGCTCCCGTCTGCATCTGAACTTTGGCCAGATCACTCAAATGACATTTCAGAATGGCTTCTGTGGACAGCTTGCAGCAGCTAATCCCTGTGGCTGCGATTACCCACGCTGATCCCCTAGCTCTGCAGGCTCCCTCCCTCCACTACTTGAGCAGCAGAACCCTCCTGGCCTGCTGGCAAGGCAAGACAAATGCCAGGAGGAAAAAGGCCTGCATAAACTCTTCCCAAATCTGCTTGGTTCTATGTAAGGTTAGCAAAGACCTACCCCACCGTCCACAGGCTCATCCAGAGCTGGGCCCTGAGCCAAGCCCAGACTCTGAAAACTGCCTCAGAAAACTTACCCAGTGGAGCTTTCAGCTCCTGCGCAGAAGGGCTGCTTTGGAGAGGCGTCTTGCTACCTTCCATTCACAGAATTTGGTTGTGCTTCATTGCACACTTGCTACTGCAGGCTTGCATCATGATTTGGGTCTGCCCACCAACTCCAAATATGCTCCATGTTTGGGCTTATGTAACATTTGCTACTACTGTAAAAAGCACTTGAATTACAAAGGTCCTGGCAGATCAACAGAAAACAGGGGGTGGAGTCTAATTTCATCTAATATGGTCATACAAGGCGTCCTGGCTGGTGTAAATTAATCTTTCTATTGGAAAGGCAACTTGTCAAAACTGGGGAAGATGGAATTTATAAGTTTAACCTGCTAAAATGCAAATTACTTATATTTTGTGAATTTTTTTTCTGAATACCTTTAAACTGACAAAGCTACTACCAGGTATATTACAAAACTTACATGATTTATTTAAAAACCTACATTTTAAGTCTCGGTAGACCTAAAGGTCTTAAAGTTAAACATTTCTATAAAATACCTGCAGCATTTTTCCAGGTTTTATTTCCCCTATACTATCTACAGTTGCTAAGCTTTTCAAAAAAAGTTTATTATTCCTAAGCATACTTTTCCTTCCTAAATCTAGTAACAAAATATCTGAACCCACTTTCTGTGCATATTTGTAAAATATGTATAATTTCATATCCACATTTGTCCAGTTTGTTGTTCAATCACTAGAGGACTGACTAAAGCTTTCATACTTTTAAATCCAAGAATTTCTCTCACTGAGTGCCCCCTTGAAAACAGTGTCTTCCTGGCCTGTTTCCCTATCATCCCTATCACACTCCCTCTCTCTGGCCAATCAACAAATCTACTGTCAAATGACACAGAATGGGGTGTAATGGCTCACACCTGTAATCCCAACTACCTGGGAGGGTGAGGCAAGAGTCCAGGAGTTTGAGGCTGCAGTAAGCTATGACTGTGCCACCGCACTCCAGCCCAGGTGACAGAGTTCTAATAAAAACAAAACAACAACAAAAAATCCCCACAAGTGACATGGAAAAAACTGCCAAGTGATCTGAGTTTTATGATAATAATGACTTAGATACCTGATAGTTCAAAATGAACTCTTTTAAATGTCAAAAGAAGCAGCAAAAGATTCTTCTACAGAATCCTATCACCCCATACAGAATATTTGGCAAAAGTCATGAATTACATATGTGGAAATGATTTAGCCTGAAAGGTGCGGGGAAGAGTTCTGAGAGAGGCATGAAAACGGCTTCTATTAGACCAAATTCTAAATTGACTCTAAAACAGAAGAACAGTAGCTGCACTGCCCTATTTTCACAAGGATTCAGATCCCAACCCATGTCAACAATACTAAGACCCAGGGGGTTTTCTGAAACCCACTTTTTTTCCCCCAGATTCCTTACAGTAACGTTCATACAATCCAAAACTATGGAAGCCCTTAGAAGACACTAGAAGAACGCAAGGGAAGAGCCATCAGCAAGCCTTAGAAGCACAGGATGAGGATACATCTCCCAAATCTTTTTAAAAGCTCATAAGCGAAAATAAGAATTTTAAGTTAATTCACTGAAGCTTTTCTTAAGCTAGAAAAAAAAAATTCCATGGCTGTAAAACCTGATTGCCACAGGTCTTAGTATTGTTCACCCTACTTCACCTGCCCTCCCTGCAGGGGTAGCCAAGGAATCTCCTTAATGCCATCAATAGCAGAAAAGAACAGGGTAGGAGGATCTTTCTGGAGCTAAATCTCACTTCCCTATCACTGTACTTGTATGACAGAACACCAGAGTCCTTGCTGGCCTTCCTAGCACAAATGCTTGCCTTTCTAATATTCCCTTTCGTACACAGTGATTGTACGAAATACAGTGGGGAAAAATATCGTTATGAGAGTCAGCCAATCCAAGACAGTTCTAAGAATCAAGTCGTTCTGCAACCCTGTAAAAAACCAGGGTGAATTTTAGCAAATGTTCTTAAATGCTACAAACAAACGTCTATATTTAAGTTCACAAATAAACAAGAGAAAAACGAATTTTAACTTATTTTTAAGACCTACATCAGAAAAGGGATGAATGGTCGTGTATGCCAGGAAAATATTAATTTTGTACACATACACAGAAATTGAGAACAAAGCTCAGATTAAAATTTTAAACACTCACATGTGCCCCCTTAATGCCCTGAATAAAATGTTTAAGCAAATACTGCTTTGTTCTGCTTGTAAAGCATTATCACAATTTTCTTCAAACCGTTTCTCGATATCCTATCCAAATAAAGTTTATTTTGATATTAAATATCCCAATGATGGCTCAGACGTTAATTGTCTAGGTCTGGGGACATGGTCATATTTCTTTTTCCCTAAGAAAAAAATTAAGACTACAGACTAAAAAAATACTACAGACTAAAATAACATCTTAATAGAATAACATCCGTGCCTCACTGACCGAAAATTATATGTATCAGCTGTGGTTTGGATGGTGTACACATGTCAATTTTACTCTAGTGCACAAAGGGAGTTCTGAACTGTGCATTAGCCTATTCGCAGCAAACAGGCAAACTTGCAGGAGGCTAGGAGGAACACTCAAGGTTTGGGTTCAGGGGGCAGCCAGCCTGCAGTCTGAGCACTTCTAGTTGTGCAGCCGTGGGCAAGAGACTCAGGAGAGCTAAGGACTGATACTGCCTCCTCCCACAAGCCTGGGGTGAGGAGTAAATTTGAGATAATGCAGGTAATGCAACGCCCAGCACTTGTTAAACGTTCAGCAAATGTTAGCTATTATGATTACAACCAAGGAGAAACTGGATGGATGATAGAGGAGTTAAACAGAAACAGAAAAACTGAGGTTTCTATTATAGAAATTAGTCAAGTCCCCTACAAATCTTGGGATTTCCTAAACTGAATCCTTGAGAAGCCAGCAGAGGTGTCATTCAGTGCTCTGGAGGGCAATAAACAAGCTGTTGGCAGTTATGAAATACTGTGTTCCTATCATTGGTGAAAGCCAGTTCTCCATTTTACAGGAATACAAGTCTCCACTAACTCCACTTCACTGTCTCAGCAGGCCGGGTGAGTTATAATTGGCCTTAATTGGCACTTACAGGAGCTTTAACATTCCTTACCTGCTGCCAAGGAGCACTTGAAAGGGGAAAAAAGTATTTTCAAACTTGGAAATACCAAGCAATTCATTCGGCTGTGGGCCTGGAAGCCTGCTATCCAGAATCAGATTAGCTTCACCTAGAAATGTTGCTATGTTATTATCCAGAGCTCATTAGGTACTCACACTGGATTAGGAGAGGTGGGAGATGAAATTTAAATGGGGATAATTCACCTTGGGGGCTAAAACCATGCAGCAGCCTTCCTCCAGCTGATCTTTTGGTCGATGGCTCTCCAGGGCTCAGCCACACTTCATGTGTGTAAGGCAGGCAAATAAAATATATCTTCATGGCCTGATTTACACAGGCTTTGAGTTAACCACAGCGTGACCTCAGCCCAGTCATTATTTGAAACACACAATGAACACCTTTATAAGGTGACCAGTCATACCAACTGCAAAGAGGATAGGGAGATCAGAAACAAAACTGGCCATAGTTTTTCCTTGGCCTTGCAATTAATCACACTCAAAATTATGATCCTCTAGGAGGCCTCACATTTTGCACAGGGGAATCCTAGCATAAGAGAATGAGATTTCTTCCTTAAATTCCATACAGAATGAATAGAAACTTCCCATAGACGCCCGAGAAACTGCCTATAATTGTTTAAATATTTTTTAAAATAATCACTCGTTTTGAAAGATCTCTTTGTCTCATATTATTAAGTATTACTAGACTTGTGGTTGTTTGAGGAATTTATTTCAAATTAAAATTAATCATACGTGTGTGTGTGTGTGTGTGTGTGTGTGTGTGTGTGTTTATGTGTCTAAGGAACATTGTAAGAGGCTTTAGAAAATTAAATGGAAGCTTAGAAAAATAAATACAACACCTACTCCTTTGGAGATAACTCTCATAGTGGCTGGTAGAGATATAAAGCATTACAGCCTTTTTGGAAAGCAATCCAGCAGCAGCTATTAACACTGCAAATAACTAGTCTTTTGTGACCCAGGAATCCCTTCCTGAGACTCTATCCCACAGAAACTAAACCACCAGTAATTAAGTATGTATGTACCAGAGTGGGTACTGCTGTTTGGTTCACACAGACAAAAAGCAAGAAACAAAATGAATGTCCATAGAGGGCCTGGCAGAGGAAGCTACAGCACAGCCACACTTTAGAGCAGTATGCAACCATTAAAAAGAGGGGATTAGTGTTATCCAGGGCTGTGAATGGATTTACATGAGGTATTGTTGAGTAGAAAAGGAGCAGAAGTGTGCATAATAGGATCCACTTTTTTGTAAAACTATCACCAAAAGCCCCTACTAATAAAATACGTGATTCTATGTGCCTGGATAGAGTTAGAAGCATGAGAAAAATATACAAGGATGCATATTAAGTTACATACTAAGAATGCAGCATGTATGATTTATAGCGTAGCATGGACTGCTACAGTTAGAGAAGGCAGGTAAGTTGAAAGAGCCAATGAAATAAGAAAAAGGCTGCACTGAAAATAGTTGAGATGATTACATTTGTGTATTTATATAAAAATACGTTATAGGTGTATATATTTCATATATTCATATGCCAATCAAAAAATCTATAAAGAAACAGGTCTAAAAAATTTGTGTTACAAAAATGCACTGTGAAGGTAGCTAAGAAAAATTAAATACAAAATTCTGGCCGAGTGTGGTGGTTCACACCTGTAATCCCAGCACTTCAGGAGGCAGAGGCAGGTGGATTGCTTCAGCCCAGGAGTTTGAGACCAGCCTGGGCAACATGGTGAAACCCTGCCTCTACAAAAAATACAAAAATTAGCTAGGTGTGGTGGCGTGTGCCTGTAGTCCCAGGTACTGGAAGGGCTGAGGTGGAAGGATTGCTTGAGCCCGGGAGGTGGGGGTTACAGTGAGCCAAGATCACGCCACTGCACTCTAGCCTGGGCAAGAGAGTGAGAATCTGTCTTGAAGAAGAAAAAAAAAAAAAAAAAAGAAATACAAAATTCTGGTATTACATCAAACAAGTGTATCTTGATTATTGTCACTCTCTTAATTTGTTTGGCTAAGCAGACTGAGACTCAAGTAGCACAACAGACCACAGTTGAATCACCCAGAAAAAGGCCTATTAGCCACTTTGGCAAAATAACATCTTAACTCTCTAAAGCTCACTACAAATCTTCAGTATTAGAAGTTGTAGGCCAGGCATGGTGGTTCACGCCTATAATCCCAGCACTTTGGGAGGCTGAGGCAGGCAGATGACTTGAGGTCAGGAGTTCAAGACCAGCCTGGCCAACATGGCGAAATTCTGTCTCTACTAAAAATGCACAAATTAGCTGGGTGTGGTGGTGCATGCCTGTAGTCCCAGTTACTCGGGAGGCTGAGGCACGAGAATCACTTGAACCTGGGAGATGGAGGCTGCAGTGAGCTGAGATTGCACCACTGTACTCCATCCTGAGCGAGACAGTGGGACTCTGTCTCAAAAAAACAAAACAGAAGTTCTAACGACCTTTTTAATAAATATATCAAGCATAAGAGGCAACGAAACAAATTTCATTCCAAAGTTTATTTGTGACCTGAAGAGAATACAAACCAAGAACTCTATATTGTGTGATCAGGGGCTATTTGTATTTTATTTTAAATGGAAATAATTATCTGTTCTTCTTTTTTAACATTCAAATGCACAAGATGAAAAGGTATAAAATTACTTTGAAGTAAACCTCAAGAGTGGGATTTCTACATACAAAATGTGGGATGAGGGAAATAGCTAAATTTAGCTATTGGGCCCCTCCCAAACCAGTCTGTTTTATGGACTTGGACTAGTACATACATCAGAGGAATTATTCCAGTCAGGTAGTAGGTACCACAGCATTAAGAAGTGATAAAAACTCCCTCTTCTGGTCATATGTAAGATCACAGCTTAGTGGGGTTGAAATCGCAGGTGTGTTTATCTTAGTCATCGTACAAATTAGTCTTGTGAAATGACTGTCAGGAAAAGTACTTTTTAGAAAATATAAATAAAATATGGATTTATATCCCGAAATATCTCCATTAAAGCTGAAGCATGGCAATCCTATAATAGCTAATGATTTCTACATGTAGCAGGCAAGTCAAGAGTGACACTGGTGAATATCAACAATTCATATATATATTAAATAATAATTTCTTACTTAATTTTTATTAAGCCTTTTTAAAAAAAATTTCCAACTGTTTTTTCCTCTACTTTATTAAGGTATAAATGACAAATAAAAGTTCTATATATTTACAGTACAGTGTAATGTTTTGATCCATATACACATTATAAACAATTTATATATATATAAAGATAGATATTGCCAGAAACTCACATTTTCACTGCCTTATTATTGTGGCAACCCAAATCAGAACTGCTGAAGTAGTTCATCAAATCACAGTAGTACAAACCTGGAGGGCACTGTGACCAGGTTCCATGCGGAGAATCAATATGCTAAAATACTGACAGACATTCCCAAAGAAGGACGGTCCTTAGAGCACTGTATACAGTAATGCAACACTGAAGATCTAAGTGTCCATCAACAGGAGTCAGGTTAAGTGAAAATACATTAATAAAGTGGAATAACAGGCAGTCCTTAAAAAGATTATAGCAGAACAATATGTATTAACATGAAAAAATATTTTAGATAGATTATTAAGTTAAAAATGTAAATTCACACTGAATCTACTTTTTTTTATGTGAGGGGAAAAAATACATTGGTAAATATTACTTTGTCCAGGTTCTAGGAACCCTCCAAGAGTACATGTCAAACTGTACCCCTGAAAAGTAAGATGAAGGAGCTTTCTTCAGTCTGATTGCATACTTATCCTCTGGTTGTTTAATTTCTTTTACAATGTATTTTATTTTAATAATTAAAAACAAATTGAAAGGCAGTGGTTTTTGTTAGTCAATAAATTTTCACAATTACCCAATGAATACATGAGAAGTCCCAGGAAAGTGCACACAGTATCTTTTGTTTCCTGGCTTGTATGACTAGATTACAGAAACATTAAAAAACTGAAAAGAAAAAATGACCCCCCACCCCCAACTTGGCATCACTGCAATAATTATTTTCTTCTATAATCTTTAGAAAATGCCTAAAGACTTAATATAATACATCAACACTTTTTATTCAGGTCAGTGCACCTCATTAAAAATAAATGCCCATATACAAACTGAAAGAACAACCTCCTGATCCATAAGCTCAAGTAAATTCATCCAGCTGCTTGAGCCAAAAACCCCATGAGTCATTCCTCCTCCCTTCCTTTCCCAGTCCATCAGCAAGCCCTGCTGGCTTTATATTTCCGATGCAGATTTTAATTCTGTTCACACTTCTCTGCCCCTGCTGCTACAATCCTAATCTAAGCTTTCTCTCCTGATCCAGCTCTCACCTTAACTAGTATAAAACAGCTCACTAACTGGTCTCCCTGGTTCCACATTTGCCCCGTGTTCCATACAGCAACCACGTGATCATAACACTTCCTGGCCAAAACCCTCCAGCGACTTCCCATTGCCTGCGCCGTCCAATCCTGATTCTTCTCATGGCTTGCAGGGCCCAGTGTCATCTGGTCCTGGACCCACTTTCTCCAGTTTCAACTTGGACCCCTTTCCTCCTTGCACACTGTCCTTAGGCCTCCTCACTGGCCTTTCTGCCAAGACCACTTCCATCTAAGGACCTCTGCACTTGCTATTTCCTCTATGTGAAGCACTTGTCCTCTACATCTTCAAATGGGCTGGCTCTCTTTCATCACTGAGTTTAAACATCAACTCCAGAGACAGGCTTTCTTTAACTAGCCTTACCTAAAGTGGTCTGCCCCAGTCATTTTCTCTCACATTATTCCTAGCATTTATCACTACCTGAAACAATCTGATTTCACACAATTTCATTTTTCTCTCTCCTCCTTAATACAATGTATTGTATTAAGTCAGAATATAAGGTGCATGAAATCATAGACACTGTTTTCCTACCTCAGTGGAGGGCAATGCCTAGCATATATTAGGCACCAGTAAATTTTGTTAAATGCATGAATAATACCATTGCTAGTTTAATTCCTTTCTAAAGCAGCCCCAAAGGCACAGACATTCATAAAAGCACAGATATCAGTAAGAGGAAAAATAAGTACATTTTATATCTAGAAATTAAAATGTTGCTCCTACAAATGACATAACTTTATTTTAAAGATATTTGCTTATAATACAACTAAGGAAAAAAGATAAATTTATATTAGCTGAGAGAGAATAAACCTTTATCTAATGCTACTTAAGTTATCTGAAAAATTTAATTAGCATTTTTTCACTTGTAGCAGAGAAAAAAATGAATACACTGTATGTCACGCTATCACTCTCTAATATTAATAACAATAAATGACAAGTGAAATAAAAAACATTTTCTTTCTTTATCCAAAAATGGTTACTTAATGACAAGAAGTTTAGGGCAAAAGGCCAACCTGGAATTTCCTTCCAGAGTTAAACTAATGTCCACCTTGACATCATTCATGTTTTCATGTGCCTGTTTTGGTTAGCTCCCATCCCTGGCTCATCCCCCGACTGCTGGAGAAAGACCTGGTACAAGTCTTCCAAGCAAAAGAGTGAGGTAATTTTTTTTTGCTCTGCAACAAGTTTCAGTCTTTATACTGACTGCAGAAATAAACATGTCAGCCAATTCTCTAAAGAAGCTACAAAATGCTACGAGTCTCATACAAAAAGAGGAGGAGTTTGGCTTTAGATAGCGACTATGATTTAGAATTAAATAAAGTAGAACAGGCAGAAGAGAAATCCAATGACTACGCTAAATCAATTATCTACCTACCATCATTATATCTTTGAATTACTAAATGTTCTGAGGTAACAGGTTTACAATACTGATCCAGCTTCTTGAAGCAAACTTAAAATTCTACTTCAGCTAGAACATCTGTCACTAATGATAGTTTTGTGACACATGCAATTCATATTGTCTCCGAATTTTTTTTACTCTATACATCCTTATCATGCAAAATAAATCAATGTTAGTAGGTAGAAAAGATGGTCTGGTTGGTATATTTTATCTGTGTGAATGAAATTTAATTTACGACTTTGATCTGTAAACTAAGCATAAAATCTATTCAGTGGATTGTTAAGAACAGGAAATAAGATAATACATGCAAAAATTCTCTGTAAATCACCAGGTACTATTAAAAGTTATCATTAGTCAGTGGACTTAAATTTAGCATACTTAAGAGAAAAAAAACATTTTCTTTCTTTATCAAAAACAGTTATGAGCTAAATAAAATGACATGTTAAAAACTATCTGAACCTGTTACTTTCCAGGTCTAAGTTAATCAGAGAGCAAAAGGGGAGGGAAGTGTTCTGTATTAAATGGTAAAACCTTTGCTTTGTGATGCAAGATAATTATACGATGGCAATTGCTGGTCAGAACTATGAGAAATGTTGTCAACAATGAGAACCAGCATTTTTGCCAGAACCAGTCCATCAGATCTCAGAGAAAAAATTCATTTTTCTCTTATAGTACTAACATTCTTTGAAACCAATTACTTAGCTCAAAAAAGTATGAGTAATTTCTCATATGAATATATAAGTAATTTGTTCATCCTGATGAAAATGACGTTTCAGAAAATATAATTTATGATAGCATCTAAAAGAATCCAAACCACCTCAATGCATATCAAGGAACATTAAGTCCAAGCAATGTGTGTGGCTGTTAATTTTACAGGATTTGTAATATGTGCAAGGAGAGAAAGCTGTAAGATCACAGGAGTGTTTCTACTAAAACTACGTTCATAAAGTCATGAAAAAGCCAAATTTTGACACTTCCGTTTGTGAACAGTCTGAGAGAAATGCAGATGTTTTACACTGAAGCCTCACCAACAGACTCAAATACCATTCACAGTGATCAGTAGTGGCTCAATATATAACATTATCGATAGGTGACAAAGGGTATTTGTCTTACGTGGTCTTCTTACAGATCAACATGAGATTCTAAAATTCTGTTTTCAAGGTCTGTTATTTCCTAGGGCTAAGGCTGGCCTCAGTAGATAGCTCTTTAAACATCTGATTTAACAAAATTCAAGAACTTGAGCTGGTATTTCCCAACAATATGGAGTAGGTATCACTCTCTAATATTAATAACATCAAATGACAAGTGAAAACTTACTCCCTTTCCAATCTCTTTCCATTTTCCTGATAATATCACACTACTGTGTGGACAACACTTGCCTAAAATGTGCTAGTCTCCATTTTAACAGAGAGCAAGCCTCAGGCTCAGAGCCAGCACTGGCAAAAGCATCAACATAAAATTAAATAATTTTCTTTTCACAGTATTCATTTTCACATTTACTACTTCTTATAGCAGACAACACTAGTTTCCCCCTTTATTGTTCTACTAAGATTTTCCTTGTAAATTGATTTATTTAAATAAAAGTGGTCTGATTTAAAGAAAAATACTAAGTGGAATTAAGTCAGCAGATGATAAAACCAGCACTTGATTAAGGTTGGGAAAAAGTGGCTGCTCCAACCTGCTTAGAGACTCAAGCTGAGCCCAAAGGTGAACAAATGGATCAGCCTAACTAATCTGAAGCAAATACTTAAACAGCCAACATCTGAGTAGGGTTTCAATTAATCACAGAGATTCTAAATGTGGTACTTGTCCAAGCTGAATAAACATCATTCATCTATTTCTCCTAGGTAATATCACCCCTGTGTCTGCATAAAAGAGAAACATTAAGGTATTCTTCATAAGCAAACTCAGTGAAGCTGCAGAGCACAAAATAGGAATTCCTGGGAAGCTCTCAGTATACAGCCTCAAAAACACCCCACAAGTCATCTGCTAACCCTGTGCTAATCCCACCATTCAGATCCAGAGTAAATGCATGTAAGTAGTACTACACAGTTTATGCTATTCAGTAGCCAGTATAGGACCAACACACTTATCACTAAACTAACTGAAGAACTTAAGATTCCCACCTCAAAAGAATGGGGCTTCTGACTTTCGGAACGTCACCATCTCAACGCTGCTTCCTACTTAAAAGTTCTCTGGCAATTAATGTGACATTTGCAGCACATAATACACATACTTTAAAAAGTAGGGGCCTCCCTTCCTGCCATTCTGGTTGGCTCAACGAATCTCTGAGCACCAATCTCTTGTCAGTCATTGTATGTCTCCCACTGTATGTACCAAGCAGCAGCTCCACCAGAGTGGACTGTATCTGCATCTGTGAAAGCAATGCATTCCAGCCAGCCAGTGTGTCAGAATCAGCCCAGGGAGCTGTTTAGAATGCAGATTCCTGGGTTCTATCTCTGGAAATTCCCACTCAGAGCATCTGGAGTGGGCCTTGGGAAGCTGCTCACTTAGAAAGCTCCTCTTTGATTCAGATGCACAGCAGGTTTGGGATCCACTGATTCGAATTATATTTTTAAATCTGAAATTAGCAGTAAGAAACACCTTACTCTTTTTTTTTTTTTTTTTTTTTTTTTTGAGATGCAGTCTCGCTCCGTCACCCAGGCTCCAGTGCAGTGGTGCTATCTCGGCTCACTGCAAGCTCCACCTCCAGCGTTCACGCCATTCTCCTGCCTCAGCCTCCCAAGTGGGAGCGCACGCCACCACGCCTGGCTTATTTTTTGTATTTTTAGTACAGACGGGGTTTCACACCTTATTCTTAAAAATACTAAGTAACTGAAGAGAAATATGAGGCACACTGGAGTATTTTAAAACATTAAAACAACATCAAGAAATCATGGTATTACTATGTAGTTTCCAAGAAAGCAAACTATGCTGTGAGAGCAATCAGACTGAAAAAACTGGAAATGCCAAAATGGCAGCACAATCATTCACCATCATTGCTCAAATGGAAATCCTGGTTAATTGTTAACTCCTAAAACTGCAGCTTGGCTAGCAAAAAAGTACAGGGCTTCTTAACTACTCCGAATAATAAGCTGCTCACCAATTCAGAATAGTTTTACCACCAACACTGACTGATTTTACAAGACTTGCTGCCACGGTAGCATGTTTTCTTGTCCTGGTAGCAGTGGTTTTAACGGAACTGCCTGCTGGAGTTGGTAGGAACTATTCATTTGTTCATAAAAGTCACAGATGGATATCAGCAATACATGAATTCACAGAAGACTGCCGACACATTTTCACCAATATCACTGAAAGAAAATACCATCCCTCTTTTGGCACGTAAATAGACTACAACAGTCACTGTGAAAGATTCTGAATTTGAAAACTGTGTTTTGTTAACTGTGGAAAACAATAATGCAACAACTGGCTTTCTAAAAATTTCAACAAAAAAGAAAATGTACCAAAAATAATCTTTCCTGTCACAACCCCTGTCCCCAAAAGATAGACGACACTGTGGCAGCACTGGGAAAGGTTGTTGGTCCTGGGAACCCTGCCCACCTCTCCTTCCCTCCAAGTAAGTGGGGTGTCACTCCAGGGCCACCACATGGTGCCTCCCTCTACTTCATGCAGTTACTCTCCCAAACCCCCATCCACCTCTAAACCTCTTGTCAATTCCACCAGCAGCCATCTCCACTGCTGATTCAAAGAGGGCATTCCTTACACATTTCCCAGCAGAATCCCTCTCTCAGAGCACTTGGCCCTCATCTTTCTGCCAGGAACTCTCCTCTCTCATATCTTTAATATTTCCCTTGTCACTAGAGGGACCTCAGCCCTCCTACCTAGTGGCTTTGTCAGTCACATCTCCTGCCAAGCCACAGGAGACCTTGGAGTAAATGAATCTTGAATTCACACTTTCCCATTTACATGTTTGAAGTTATCACCAACGCTTTGTCATTCAACAAGTATCTTATTAGGAGATACCGTGCTAGGGACTGAAAGGCAGGAAAGGAGAAAGACAGAAAAATGTGATTTTAAGATATTTTCCTGGCCGGGCTTGGTGGCTCATGCCTATATTCCCTGTACTTTGGGAAGGGGAGGCAGGCAAATCACTTGAGGTCAGGAGTTCCAGACCAGCCTGGCCAACATGGTGAAACGCCATTTCTAATAAAAATACAAAAATTAGCCGGGCATAGTGGCATGCACCTGTAATCCCAGCTACTCGGGAGGCTGAGGCAGGAGAATTGCTTGAACCCAGGAGGCAGAGGTTGCAGTGAGCCGAGATGGCGCCACTACACTCCAGCTTGGGTGACAGAGCGAGACTCCGTCTCAAAAAAAAAAAAAAACAAAAAAAAAAACACTTTTTCCTACCCGTACACTGATATTCTAAGAGGGAAATGAGAAGATTAAAAAAAAAATAAGTATACTGTAACCAGTGAGTAAATGCTCCTAGAATAGGTCTTCTTTCTGCCTAAGGAATCCACTCTACCCATCAATTCTCTGGGGCACCACTAAGTCACATCACTCTGGTTCTAAAAAATCTGCAACAGGTCCTCACCAACACGTCCAGAGCAGGGAACTCCGATTGGCACTGAGGCCCTGTGAGCTAGTCCCAGCCTGCCTTTGCACTCCACTCATCCACAGGTGGGTACATCAGTTCTGGCCAATGGTGACTCGTGCAGCACATCCCAGAGAGCCTGGAATTTCCTGCTCCTGTGCTTGCTCACGTCAACCTTGTTGCCAATCCGGGGCCACCAAATATGGTTGTTCAGTGCACAAACTGTGCAGCCATATGTGGCAGCTCTGTCTATCCCCAGTAAAACACCTCCCATCTTTAGTGCATTACAAGTGATTTTTCCAAAATATTGTCTGTATTGTCCACAACTCAGAAGCAGGGAAATGACATCTTATCCACCTCTGTACCCACTCTAGTGCCTACCCTAGGGCTTCTCCTAGAAGCAGGAACTCAAAGAATCTTTTTATGGTTAAATAAAGGATTTATTATTCCTTGAAAAAATGGTGGAATGTTGCTTATGATGGTGTGACTCTTAACCCAACAACAGCAGTCTCGACAGCCAAGATCTGTAAATTCTAACTTTAAAACGTCTCTTGGCTGAGCGCGTGGCTCATGCCTGTAATCCTAGCACTTTGGGAGGCAGAGGTGGGCGGATCACTTGAGGTCAGGAGTTCGAGACCAGCCTGGCCAACATGGTGAAACCCTGTCTCTACTAAAAATACAAAAATTAGATGGTGGTGGCGGGTGCCTGTAGTCCCAGCTACTCAGGAGACTGAAGCAAGGGAATTGCTTGAATCTGGGAGGCGGAGGTTGCAGTGAGCCGAGATCGCACCACTGCACTCCAACGTGGATGACAGAGAGGCCGTCTCAAAAAAAAAAAAAAAAGAAGTATCTCAAAGCTATGCAGTCTTCCTAGCTCTACTGCCAGATCTTACTCTCAGTCCGGTGTCATCTCTTGCCTCTGAACTATTCCCCCTACTTCTGTCCTTCTCCCAGAAATTTTTCTCAGCAAATCAACCACTGAAATAGGACTGTGTTACTCTCTTACATAAATCCTCCAGTGCTCCCAAGCTGCTTCTTAGCCTGGCCTATGAATATCAGGTTCCTGCTTATAATGCTGGATTCCTCCAGTTTCTACCTCCCTTCTCTAAATACTAAATACCCTTCAGCCACACGGGCCTTCTGTGTGCTGGCTGTTCCCTCTGCATCAAACGCTCTTATTCTAGATTGCTGCCCGAGTTGCTCCTTCTCATCACTTAGGACTCAGCTCCAGTGTCACCTCCTAAGATGCTTTCTTTAAACACTCTATCTATAGAAGAACCCCAATGTTACTCTATTGCAAGCTTGCATTTGTAGTAGTAAGAGCAATGAGGAAAAAACTTATAGTTATTTTTAAAGTATATCTAGTTAGTTTTGCCTGCCTCTCCAATTCGACTGTAAACTCTGTGGCGGTAAGAATCATACTACATACTCAATGCCTGAAACAAGGTACGTATTCAAATACTTATGATTTGCTATTGAGCCAAACTGGGCAGAAAACCAAGTTTTAGAATCAGAATCTTAAACACTTTAAAGGCATTATGACAATGCCAACTAACTGTATTTGGATTCTTCAACAATTAACACCCAATATTTAGAACTATTGAACAGAGAAGTTTCAAAATCACATTTCCTTAAAAAAAAAAAAAAAAAAAAAAAAAAAAAAAGGCCCATGCATCCATATTGTGAGTGTATATAATTTTAAAATCCACTGAATTCACAACCAGGGGCTCCAGAAGGAAACAAACTTGTAATTATACTGATGCAACATTTTAAGAGACATTTTATAAACTATACTTTCTCTAATTTCAATAAAAGTCAAAAAATTCCTATCACTTTTAATAAAAATTTAAAAATACCCAACATCTGATAGTTATTAACCCACTGAGTGAATTAAAAAGCCTACTTCCTGGTGGGGGAGGGACATTATGTCCCATGCATGCCATCACTGTTCCTTAGTTTAATCTTGCTTTACCTTTTACCTTCTATTAACAATTTTTTAAATGGTTAAGCACTTACCATAATGTGATTGAAATGCCTGCGGTTTGACAACCTGATTACAGTCGTTACACACCACCAAGTAGAAATCATCATGGGCTGGACAGAAACCAAATATTGGCATGTCTGCAACACAGAAACAGAGCATCACTCACTCATCTGGTTCTGACTGATATAAAACCATTTTGGGAAACTACTTTCTAAAGGAGTTGCCTTATTGTAAAGTATACCAGGACAAATGAACTGATGTGGTACACCACCACTATTAAACAGAGAAATCAAATCAGGCTTACAGACACACTTTAAAAAGGGTTAAAGTGCACCAAAAATAATTATGATGTGGTGAAACAATCTTTTAAAATGCAAACAATGAATATATTTGCACAATAAAGCAACATTAGATGAACTCTACCAAGAGTTAAGGGAAAGAATCTGCAACCATGTAAACTGCTTAGTTCACAAAGCTGTACCATCTAATGCTTTTGTTTAACTGTGCATTCTATTCCAGCTCTCTGGTTCCTGAGTTCTATGGAACAATTAAGAAAGGGAGCAGAGACAGAGGAATAGAACTGCTGGTTTGCCAGCATGTCATATAAAGAAAATTATTTTAATATATTTTTTCCAAGTCATAGCAACCTCTAGTCCTTTTGCTTACATACTAATGCCACCAGAAAGGCAGAATGAACTTTAGTACAAACAGCATTTCATATATTAATCAGTTTGGTTACCAAAATAGGGTAGGATACGAGCTGTTTGTTTGTTTTAACAGTAAGACAGCAACTTAATTAAATGCAAAAGTAAAACTAAACTGTCTGCATATACATGAAAACTGAAAGTAACTTGATACCTGGTAAATATGGTTAACTAAAACATCTCAACCATTCAATTAATTATGAACAACAATTTGGGGAACAGAGCTAAAAGTTCAGATCCAGAATCTAACTTTTTAAGTATTTCAAAATCAGTGGATTTTAAACAGCATTTTACACTACATTCACTCTTTAGAATATCTGCAATGAATGGATAATTAGCACACTTCAATTTAAGCAAAAGTTTTAGTAGATCAAATACCAAGTTTAAAGGACAAGGGGGAAGATCCAAAAAGCTGATTAGCATCTACTTTCTTTCCTATGAAGATTTAATTTCACACTTTCTCCAGCCGGGGAGATCCTGGTGGTTTTAAAGGGAGAAGAAAATTCCTTAAGGAGATGTCAAGTGAGGATAATCTCTAAAATATCAAATTACTGATCTAGTATCTACACATGGCTATGGCTTGAATTTTCTTAAACAGTTTCTATTACACTGAATTGCACAGATAGCTAGCTATAATCCGAAATATACTAGAGTCTAGCACGATTTGGGGATGTACTTGCAGCACCGAGTAGTTTCTACAAGCTATTATTTCATTTTTATCCTCACAACTACCTAGGTAGACATCATTATATCCCCCCTCTAAAGAAGAGAAAACTGACTCACAGAGAGGTAAAGTACTTTGTCTAAGGTCAATAGCTGGAATTCAATTCTGACTTATAATGTGGCTTGGATTTCTTACCTCTTGAAGACCAGAGGAATAATGATATCTAGAGAGTCCTTCCAGATTCCAATGTCAATAAATTGGAATGTCAGGGCTGACCATCTTTGATGGTATAAACTGATTAGATAAGAAGCTTCCAGTAGACTACAGACTTCTGTGACTACGCTTATTTAATAAAAAATAAGAGCCAAACAATATGCTATTTTCCCTGAAAGCCTGCCCACATTGAGTTAAATATAGTACATGTGGGAGAAGGGGAAAGGTTATATCTATGCAATGATATACATGTAATAAGTCACTTTCCAAGATTACAGTTTCTTGACATGACATTTCATTCTGAAAAATAAAATTTAAAGTCATTTACCGTAAGTTCCATATGCTTCTGTGCTAAATGCCTCTGATACATCTAAATTACAGAACTGGTATAACATTCATAATTTACAACTGAAGAGTGTGAGATAGATATCAAATGAACAATTTCATTAATGAAATCAACTCAATTAGTTTTATTATTAGATAGCAGTTAAAACAGTATTAAATAAACAGTGTTAGTTTAGTTTTAGGTCTCTGCAATGTGCTGCTGGTGGTCTCTGTGATTTCCCTCAGTTCTGAATGTAAAGCACTGTTGCTTAAAATAGATCACTTTGCCAGATACCAGATTCTTCTGTGGACTAACCCTCTACCCCTTTAAAAATAAAGCAATTAAGAGAAATAAAAACCTAAACTGATCCTTTCAAATAATAAGGATTCAATTTGTCACATGATGTTTATCATGTACAAAATTATTCTTTTTTGCCCTGGTTCCTTTGATCCTTTTCTGAGACTTAGGACTAGTAAAACTAAAAAGATAGGGGTTATCCTGTAAGGAACCAAGAATCTATACTTCTGTAAAAATTTCTATTTCCTCAATAACTTAAGATCAATTGCAACTGATGATGACTATAATGATAACCAGCTGACATTTACTGAGAGACTACTATGTGCCAGGTCCTATGCCAAGCAGTTCTTACATGGTTTTTCCCATTTATTTCTAATAATAACCCTACATAATAATCCCCATTTTACTTATGGAGAAACAAACTTATTTAATATCACTCAGCAAGAAAGCGGCATAACCAGGACTCTGGTTTGTGTGACCGGAAAACTCGGTTCTTAATTTCTCATGAGCACACTGAATCTCTCTAAAAAGCATGCACACACACACCCCCTCTGTGGGAAGAAACATGGTATACTTAAACCCAGTTCATTCTACCCTATGAAACTGAGCTCCCTGGGCCAGGCGCGGTGGCTCATGCCTGTAATTCCAGCACTTTGGGAGGCCGAGGAAGGCGGATTACCCGAGGTCAGGAGTTCGAGACCAGCATGGCCAACATAGTAAACCCTGTCTCTACTAAAAATACAAAAATTAGCTGGGTGTGGTGGCAGGTGCCTGTAACCACAGCTACTCAGGAGGCTGAGGCAGGAGAATCACTTGAACCTGGGAGGTGGAGGTTGCCATGAGCCAAGATTGCGCCACTGCACTCCAGCCTGGGTGAAAGAGTGAGACTCTGTCTCACAAAAAGAAAAAGAAATTGAGT